>NC_000015.10:17752000-18052000 GCF_000001405.40 Homo sapiens
TAATACCTTTTGTTTTAAAATAATCTGACTCATAAGAAGTTAAAAAAAGAAGTAAAATGAATGACCATGCTATTTTCAGGCAACTTTCCCCAATGATTATATATAACTTAACCTAGTACGTTGCCAAAATCAGGAAATTGACATTCTTTCCATACCATTAACTCAGGTTCAGACCCTATTCATATTTCTAAGGATTTTACATGTACAGATGTGTTTGAATGTATGTGTGATGTGTGTGTACCTTCACATAAAAACTACACGGAAGAGCACTCTGAGAAACTGCTTTGTGAGGTGTGCTTTCAACTCACAGAGTTGAACCTATCTTTTGATTGAGAAGTTTTGAATCTCTCTTTTTGTAGAAGCTGCATGTGGATATTTGGAGACGTTTGTGGCCTATGGTAGAAAAGGAAATATCTTCAAATAAAAACTAGACAGACGCATTTTGAGAAAATTCTCTGTGCTGTGTGGATTCATATCACCTGGTTGAAACTACCTTTGGATTGAGCAGTTTTGAATCTCACTTTTTGTACCATCTGCAATGGATATTTGGAGCCCTTTCTGGTCTGTGGTGGAAAAGGAACTATCCTCAAATAGAAACTACACAGAAGTACTCTGAGAAACTTCTTTGTGATGTGGGCATTCATCTCACAGAGTTGAACCTTTGGTTTGATTGAGCAGTTTTGAGACAATCTTTCCATAGAATCTGGAAGTGAATATTTGGAGAACTTTGAGATCCATTTTGGAGAAGGAGATATCTTTATATGAAAACTACACAGAAGCATTCTGAGAAAACATCCTTGTGAGGTGTGCACTGAAGTCACAGAGTTGAAACTGTCTTTTGATTCAGCAGTTTTGAATCTCTCTTTTTGCAGAATCTGTGAGTGGATATTTGGAGCGCTTTGAGGCCTACTGTGGAAAACCAAATATCTTCACATAAAAACTACACAGAAGCATCCTGAGAAACTTTTTTTGTGATGTGGTCTTTCAGCTAATGGAGTAGAAACTATCTTTTGATTGAGCAGTTTTGAATCTCTCTTTTTGCAGAATCTACGAGTGGATAATTGGAGAACTTTGAGGCGTACTGTGGAAAATCGAATATCTTCGCATAAAAACTACACAGAAGCATTCTGAGAAACTTCTCTGTCATACGTACATTCATCTCACAGGGTTGATCCTATTTCATGATTGAGCAGTTTTGGAACACTCTTTTTGTAGAATCTGCAAGTGAATATTTGGAGCTCCTTGGGGCCTACTGTGGAAAAACAAATATCTTCACATAAAAACTACACAGAAGCATTCTGAGAAACTACTTTGTGATGTGTGCATTCATCCCACAGAGTAGAACCTTTCTTTTGATTGAGCAGTTTCGAAACACCCTTTTGGTGGAATCTGCAAGTGGACATTTGGAAAGCTTTGAGGCCTATTGTGGAAAGGGAAATATCTTCAAATAAAAACCACCCAGAAGTACTCTGTGAAACTTCTTTGCGATGTATGCATTCAACTCACAGTGTTGAACCTATGTTTTGATTGAGCAGTTTGGAATCTCTCTTTCTGTAGAATCTGCAAGTGAATATCTGGAGCCCTATTTCGCCCTATACTGGAAAAGCAATTATCTTCAAATAAAAACTGCACAGAAGCATTCAGAGAAAGTTCTTTGAGATGAATGCATTCATGACACAGAGTTGAAACTTTGTTTTGATTTAGGAGTTTTGAGACAATCTTTCCGTAGAATCTTGAAGTGAATATTTGGAGGGCTTGGAGTTCTGTTTTAGAGAAGGAGATATCTTCATCAAAAACTACACAGAAGCTTTCTGAGAAACTTCTTTGTGATGTGTGCATTCAACTATCGGAGTTGAACCTATCTTATGATTGAGCAGTTTGGAAACACTCTTTGTAGAGTCTGCAAGTGGATATTTACAGAGATTTGAGGCCTATTGTGGAAAAGGAAGTATCTTCACATAAAAACCACACAGAAGCACTCTGAAAAACATCTTTGGGATGTGTGCATTCAACGAACCGTGTTGAAACAATGTTTTGATTGAGCAGCTTAGAATCTCTCCTTTTGTAGGAAATGCAAGTGGATATTTGGAGCCCCATTTCGCCCTATGGTGGAAAACGAAACATACTCACAAAAAAGCTGCAGAGAAGCATTCTGAGAAACTTCTTTGCGATGTTGGCATTCAACTCACAGAGTCGAATCTATCTTTTGATAGAGCAGTTTTGTATCTCTCTTTTTGCAGAATCTGCAAGTGGATATTTGGAAAGCTTTGAGGCCTATTGTGGAAAGGGAAATATCCTCAAATAAAAACTACCCAGAAGCACTCTGTGAAACTTCTTTGTGATGTGTGCATTCAACTCACAGTGTTGAACCTATGTTTTGATTGAGCAGTTTGGAATCTCTCCTTTTGTAGAATCTGCAAGTGAATATTTGGAGCCCTATTTCGCCCTATACTGGAAAAGCAAATATCTTCAAATAAAACTACACAGAGGCATTCAGAGAAACTTTTTCTGTGATGAGTGCATTCATCACACAGAGTTGAACATTTGTTTAGATTTAGCAGTGTTGAGACAATCTTTCCGTAGAATCTTGAAGTGAATATTTGGAGGGCTTTGAGACCTGCTTTGGAGAAGGAGATATCTTCATATAAAAACTACACAGAAGCTTTCTGAGAAACACCCTTGTGAGGTGTGCATTGAAGTCACAGAGTTAAACCTATCTTTTGATTCAGCAGATTTGAATCTCTCTTTTTGCAGAATCTGCGAGTGGATATTTGGAGTGCTTGGAAGCCTGCTGTGGAAAATCAAATATCTTCACAAAAAAAACTACACAGAAGCATTCTGAGAAACTTCTTTGTGATGTGTGCATTGATCTCACAGAGTTGAAAGTTTATTTTGATTGAGCTGTTTTGAAACACTCTTTTTCTAGAATCTGCAAGTGGATAATTGGGGAGATTTGAGGCATATTGTGGAAAAGCAAATATCTTCATATAAAAACTATGCAGAAACCTTCTGAGAAACATCTTTGTGATGTGTGCATTCAGCTCACAGAGCTGGACCTAACTTTTGAGTGACCAGTTTTGAATCTCTCTTTTTGTACAATATGCAAGTGGATATTTGGAGCGATTTGAGGCCTACATTTGAAAATCAAATATCTTCCCTTAAAAACTACACAGAAACATTCTCAGAAATTGTTTGTCATGTGTGCTTTCCAATTACCAAGTTGAACCTATCTTGTGATTGAGCAGTTTTGAATCTCTCTTTTTGTGGAATCGGCAAGTGGATATTTTTAGCCCTTTGCGGACTGTGGTGGAAAAGGAATTATCTTCAAATCAATTCTACACAGAAGCATTCAGACAAACTTCTTTGTGATGAGTGCATTGGTCACACAGAATTGAACCTTCCCTTTGATTGAGCAATTCTGAAACACTCTTTTGGAGGGCCTGCAAGTGGACATATTAGAGCTTTGGGACAACTGTGGAAAAGTAAATATCTTCACATAAAAACTACACGGAAGCATTCTGAGAAACTTCTTTGGAGGTGTGCATTCAACTCACAGAGTTGAACCTATCTTTTCATTGAGCAGTTTTGAATCTCTCATTTTGTAGACTCTGCTCGCAGATATTTGGAGAGCTTTGAGGCCTATTGTGGAAAAGGAAATATCTTCACATAAAAACACACAGAAGCACTCTGAGAAACTTCTTTGTGAGGTGTGCTTTCAACTCACAGAGTTGAACCTATCTTTTGATTGAGAAGTTTTGAATCTCTCTTTTTGTAGAAGCTGCATGTGGATATTTGGAGACGTTTGTGGCCTATGGTAGAAAAGGAAATATCTTCAAATAAAAACTAGACAGACGCATTTTGAGAAAATTCTCTGTGCTGTGTGCATTCATATCACATGGTTGAAACTACCTTTGGATTGAGCAGTTTTGAATCTCACTTTTTGTACCATCTGCAATGGATATTTGGAGCCCTTTCTGGTCTGTGGTGGAAAAGGAACTATCCTCAAATAGAAACTACACAGAAGTACTCTGAGAAACTTCTTTGTGATGTGGGCATTCATCTCACAGAGTTGAACCTTTGGTTTGATTGAGCAGTTTTGAGACAATCTTTCCATAGAATCTGGAAGTGAATATTTGGAGAACTTTGAGATCCATTTTGGAGAAGGAGATATCTTTATATGAAAACTACACAGAAGCATTCTGAGAAACATCCTTGTGAGGTGTGCACTGAAGTCACAGAGTTGAAACTGTCTTTTGATTCAGCAGTTTTGAATCTCTCTTTTTGCAGAATCTGTGAGTGGATATTTGGAGCGCTTTGAGGCCTACTGTGGAAAACCAAATATCTTCACATAAAAACTACACAGAAGCATCCTGAGAAACTTTTTTTGTGATGTGGTCTTTCAGCTAATGGAGTAGAAACTATCTTTTGATTGAGCAGTTTTGAATCTCTCTTTTTGCAGAATCTACGAGTGGATAATTGGAGAACTTTGAGGCGTACTGTGGAAAATCGAATATCTTCGCATAAAAACTACACAGAAGCATTCTGAGAAACTTCTCTGTCATACGTACATTCATCTCACAGGGTTGATCCTATTTCATGATTGAGCAGTTTTGGAACACTCTTTTTGTAGAATCTGCAAGTGAATATTTGGAGCTCCTTGGGGCCTACTGTGGAAAAACAAATATCTTCACATAAAAACTACACAGAAGCATTCTGAGAAACTACTTTGTGATGTGTGCATTCATCCCACAGAGTAGAACCTTTCTTTTGATTGAGCAGTTTTGAAACACTCTTTTGGTGGAATCTGCAAGTGGACATTTGGAAAGCTTTGAGGCCTATTGTGGAAAGGGAAATATCTTCAAATAAAAACCACCCAGAAGTACTCTGTGAAACTTCTTTGCGATGTATGCATTCAACTCACAGTGTTGAACCTATGTTTTGATTGAGCAGTTTGGAATCTCTCTTTCTGTAGAATCTGCAAGTGAATATTTGGAGCCCTATTTCGCCCTATACTGGAAAAGCAATTATCTTCAAATAAAAACTGCACAGAAGCATTCAGAGAAACTTCTTTGAGATGAATGCATTCATGACACAGAGTTGAAACTTTGTTTTGATTTAGGAGTTTTGAGACAATCTTTCCGTAGAATCTTGAAGTGAATATTTGGAGGGCTTGGAGTTCTGTTTTAGAGAAGGAGATATCTTCATCAAAAACTACACAGAAGCTTTCTGAGAAACTTCTTTGTGATGTGTGCATTCAACTATCGGAGTTGAACCTATCTTATGATTGAGCAGTTTGGAAACACTCTTTGTAGAGTCTGCAAGTGGATATTTACAGAGATTTGAGGCCTATTGTGGAAAAGGAAGTATCTTCACATAAAAACCACACAGAAGCACTCTGAAAAACATCTTTGGGATGTGTGCATTCAACTAACCGTGTTGAAACAATGTTTTGATTGAGCAGCTTAGAATCTCTCTTTTTGTAGGAAATGCAAGTGGATATTTGGAGCCCCATTTCGCCCTATGGTGGAAAACGAAACATACTCACAAAAAAGCTGCAGAGAAGCATTCTGAGAAACTTCTTTGCGATGTTGGCATTCAACTCACAGAGTCGAATCTATCTTTTGATAGAGCAGTTTTGTATCTCTCTTTTTGCAGAATCTGCAAGTGGATATTTGGAAAGCTTTGAGGCCTATTGTGGAAAGGGAAATATCCTCAAATAAAAACTACCCAGAAGCACTCTGTGAAACTTCTTTGTGATGTGTGCATTCAACTCACAGTGTTGAACCTATGTTTTGATTGAGCAGTTTGGAATCTCTCCTTTTGTAGAATCTGCAAGTGAATATTTGGAGCCCTATTTCGCCCTATACTGGAAAAGCAAATATCTTCAAATAAAAACTACACAGAGGCATTCAGAGAAACTTCTCTGTGATGAGTGCATTCATCACACAGAGTTGAACATTTGTTTAGATTTAGCAGTGTTGAGACAATCTTTCCGTAGAATCTTGAAGTGAATATTTGGAGGGCTTTGAGACCTGCTTTGGAGAAGGAGATATCTTCATATAAAAACTACACAGAAGCTTTCTGAGAAACACCCTTGTGAGGTGTGCATTGAAGTCACAGAGTTAAACCTATCTTTTGATTCAGCAGATTTGAATCTCTCTTTTTGCAGAATCTGCAAGTGGATATTTGGAGTGCTTGGAAGCCTGCTGTGGAAAATCAAATATCTTCACAAAAAAAACTACACAGAAGCATTCTGAGAAACTTCTTTGTGATGTGTGCATTGATCTCACAGAGTTGAAAGTTTATTTTGATTGAGCTGTTTTGAAACACTCTTTTTCTAGAATCTGCAAGTGGATAATTGGGGAGATTTGAGGCATATTGTGGAAAAGCAAATATCTTCATATAAAAACTATACAGAAACCTTCTGAGAAACATCTTTGTGATGTGTGCATTCAGCTCACAGAGCTGGACCTAACTTTTGAGTGACCAGTTTTGAATCTCTCTTTTTGTACAATATGCAAGTGGATATTTGGAGCGATTTGAGGCCTACATTTGAAAATCAAATATCTTCCCTTAAAAACTACACAGAAACATTCTCAGAAATTGTTTGTCATGTGTGCTTTCCAATTACCAAGTTGAACCTATCTTGTGATTGAGCAGTTTTGAATCTCTCTTTTTGTGGAATCGGCAAGTGGATATTTTTAGCCCTTTGCGGACTGTGGTGGAAAAGGAATTATCTTCAAATCAATTCTACACAGAAGCATTCAGACAAACTTCTTTGTGATGAGTGCATTGGTCACACAGAATTGAACCTGCCCTTTGATTGAGCAATTCTGAAACACTCTTTTGGAGGGTCTGCAAGTGGACATTTTAGAGCTTTGGGACAACTGTGGAAAAGTAAATATCTTCACATAAAAACTACACGGAAGCATTCTGAGAAACTTCTTTGGAGGTGTGCATTCAACTCGCAGAGTTGAACCTATCTTTTCATTGAGCAGTTTTGAATCTCTCATTTTGTAGACTCTGCTCGCAGATATTTGGAGAGCTTTGAGGCCTATTGTGGAAAAGGAAATATCTTCACATAAAAACACACAGAAGCACTCTGAGAAACTTCTTTGTGAGGTGTGCTTTCAACTCACAGAGTTGAACCTATCTTTTGATTGAGAAGTTTTGAATCTCTCTTTTTGTAGAAGCTGCATGTGGATATTTGGAGACGTTTGTGGCCTATGGTAGAAAAGGAAATATCTTCAAATAAAAACTAGACAGACGCATTTTGAGAAAATTCTCTGTGCTGTGTGCATTCATATCACATGGTTGAAACTACCTTTGGATTGAGCAGTTTTGAATCTCACTTTTTGTACCATCTGCAATGGATATTTGGAGCCCTTTCTGGTCTGTGGTGGAAAAGGAACTATCCTCAAATAGAAACTACACAGAAGTACTCTGAGAAACTTCTTTGTGATGTGGGCATTCATCTCACAGAGTTGAACCTTTGGTTTGATTGAGCAGTTTTGAGACAATCTTTCCATAGAATCTGGAAGTGAATATTTGGAGAACTTTGAGATCCATTTTGGAGAAGGAGATATCTTTATATAAAAACTACACAGAAGCATTCTGAGAAACATCCTTGTGAGCTGTGCACTGAAGTCACAGAGTTGAAACTGTCTTTTGATTCAGCAGTTTTGAATCTCTCTTTTTGCAGAATCTGTGAGTGGATATTTGGAGCGCTTTGAGGCCTACTGTGGAAAACCAAATATCTTCACATAAAAACTACACAGAAGCATCCTGAGAAACTTTTTTTGTGATGTGGTCTTTCAGCTAATGGAGTAGAAACTATCTTTTGATTGAGCAGTTTTGAATCTCTCTTTTTGCAGGATCTACGAGTGGATAATTGGAGAACTTTGAGGCGTACTGTGGAAAGTCGAATATCTTCGCATAAAAACTACACAGAAGCATTCTGAGAAACTTCTCTGTCATACGTACATTCATCTCACAGGGTTGATCCTATTTCATGATTGCGCAGTTTTGGAATACTCT
Source organism: Homo sapiens (assembly GCF_000001405.40). Lineage (NCBI taxonomy): Eukaryota > Metazoa > Chordata > Mammalia > Primates > Hominidae > Homo > Homo sapiens. Next base: position 17,760,038 of record NC_000015.10, read on the forward strand.
TTTTGTAGAATCTGCAAGTGAATATTTGGAGCTCTTTGGGGCCTACTGTGGAAAAACAAATATCTTCACATAAAAACTACACAGAAGCATTCTGAGAAACTACTTTGTGATGTGTGCATTCATCCCACAGAGTAGAACCTTTCTTTTGATTGAGCAGTTTCGAAACACTCTTTTGGTGGAATCTGCAAGTGGACATTTGGAAAGCTTTGAGGCCTATTGTGGAAAGGGAAATATCTTCAAATAAAAACCACCCAGAAGTACTCTGTGAAACTTCTTTGCGATGTATGCATTCAACTCACAGTGTTGAACCTATGTTTTGATTGAGCAGTTTGGAATCTCTCTTTCTGTAGAATCTGCAAGTGAATATTTGGAGCCCTATTTCGCCCTATACTGGAAAAGCAATTATCTTCAAATAAAAACTGCACAGAAGCACTCAGAGAAACTTCTTTGTGATGAATGCATTCATCACACAGAGTTGAACCTTTGTTTTGATTTAGCAGTTTGAGACAATCTTTCCGTAGAATCTTGAAGTGAATATTTGGAGGGCTTGGAGTTCTGTTTTAGAGAAGAAGATATCTTCATCAAAAACTACACAGAAGCTTTCTGAGAAACTTCTTTGTGATGTGTGCATTCAACTATCGGAGTTGAACCTATCTTATGATTGAGCAGTTTGGAAACACTCTTTGTAGAGTCTGCAAGTGGATATTTACAGAGATTTGAGGCCTATTGTGGAAAAGGAAGTATCTTCACATAAAAACCACACAGAAGCACTCTGAAAAACATCTTTGGGATGTGTGCATTCAACTAACCGTGTTGAAACAATGTTTTGATTGAGCAGCTTAGAATCTCTCTTTTTGTAGGAAATGCAAGTGGATATTTGGAGCCCCATTTCGCCCTATGGTGGAAAACGAAACATACTCACAAAAAAGCTGCAGAGAAGCATTCTGAGAAACTTCTTTGCGATGTTGGCATTCAACTCACAGAGTCGAATCTATCTTTTGATAGAGCAGTTTTGTATCTCTCTTTTTGCAGAATCTGCAAGTGGATATTTGGAAAGCTTTGAGGCCTATTGTGGAAAGGGAAATATCCTCAAATAAAAACTACCCAGAAGCACTCTGTGAAACTTCTTTGTGATGTGTGCATTCAACTCACAGTGTTGAACCTATGTTTTGATTGAGCAGTTTGGAATCTCTCCTTTTGTAGAATCTGCAAGTGAATATTTGGAGCCCTATTTCGCCCTATACTGGAAAAGCAAATATCTTCAAATAAAAACTACACAGAGGCATTCAGAGAAACTTCTCTGTGATGAGTGCATTCATCACACAGAGTTGAACATTTGTTTAGATTTAGCAGTGTTGAGACAATCTTTCCGTAGAATCTTGAAGTGAATATTTGGAGGGCTTTGAGACCTGCTTTGGAGAAGGAGATATCTTCATATAAAAACTACACAGAAGCTTTCTGAGAAACACCCTTGTGAGGTGTGCATTGAAGTCACAGAGTTAAACCTATCTTTTGATTCAGCAGATTTGAATCTCTCTTTTTGCAGAATCTGCGAGTGGATATTTGGAGTGCTTGGAAGCCTGCTGTGGAAAATCAAATATCTTCACAAAAAAAACTACACAGAAGCATTCTGATAAACTTCTTTGTGATGTGTGCATTGATCTCACAGAGTTGAAAGTTTATTTTGATTGAGCTGTTTTGAAACACTCTTTTTCTAGAATCTGCAAGTGGATAATTGGGGAGATTTGAGGCATATTGTGGAAAAGCAAATATCTTCATATAAAAACTATACAGAAACCTTCTGAGAAACATCTTTGTGATGTGTGCATTCAGCTCACAGAGCTGGACCTAACTTTTGAGTGACCAGTTTTGAATCTCTCTTTTTGTACAATATGCAAGTGGATATTTGGAGCGATTTGAGGCCTACATTTGAAAATCAAATATCTTCCCTTAAAAACTACACAGAAACATTCTCAGAAATTGTTTGTCATGTGTGCTTTCCAATTACCAAGTTGAACCTATCTTGTGATTGAGCAGTTTTGAATCTCTCTTTTTGTGGAATCGGCAAGTGGATATTTTTAGCCCTTTGCGGACTGTGGTGGAAAAGGAATTATCTTCAAATCAATTCTACACAGAAGCATTCAGACAAACTTCTTTGTGATGAGTGCATTGGTCACACAGAATTGAACCTTCCCTTTGATTGAGCAATTCTGAAACACTCTTTTGGAGGGTCTGCAAGTGGACATTTTAGAGCTTTGGGACAACTGTGGAAAAGTAAATATCTTCACATAAAAACTACACGGAAGCATTCTGAGAAACTTCTTTGGAGGTGTGCATTCAACTCACAGAGTTGAACCTATCTTTTCATTGAGCAGTTTTGAATCTCTCATTTTGTAGACTCTGCTCGCAGATATTTGGAGAGCTTTGAGGCCTATTGTGGAAAAGGAAATATCTTCACATAAAAACACACAGAAGCACTCTGAGAAACTTCTCTGTGAGGTGTGCTTTCAACTCACAGAGTTGAACCTATCTTTTGATTGAGAAGTTTTGAATCTCTCTTTTTGTAGAAGCTGCATGTGGATATTTGGAGACGTTTGTGGCCTATGGTAGAAAAGGAAATATCTTCAAATAAAAACTAGACAGACGCATTTTGAGAAAATTCTCTGTGCTGTGTGCATTCATATCACATGGTTGAAACTACCTTTGGATTGAGCAGTTTTGAATCTCACTTTTTGTACAATCTGCAATGGATATTTGGAGCCCTTTCTGGTCTGTGGTGGAAAAGGAACTATCCTCAAATAGAAACTACACAGAAGTACTCTGAGAAACTTCTTTGTGATGTGGGCATTCATCTCACAGAGTTGAACCTTTGGTTTGATTGAGCAGTTTTGAGACAATCTTTCCATAGAATCTGGAAGTGAATATTTGGAGAACTTTGAGATCCATTTTGGAGAAGGAGATATCTTTATATAAAAACTCCACAGAAGCATTCTGAGAAACATCCTTGTGAGGTGTGCACTGAAGTCACAGAGTTGAAACTGTCTTTTGATTCAGCAGTTTTGAATCTCTCTTTTTGCAGAATCTGTGAGTGGATATTTGGAGCGCTTTGAGGCCTACTGTGGAAAACCAAATATCTTCACATAAAAACTACACAGAAGCATCCTGAGAAACTTTTTTTGTGATGTGGTCTTTCAGCTAATGGAGTAGAAACTATCTTTTGATTGAGCAGTTTTGAATCTCTCTTTTTGCAGGATCTACGAGTGGATAATTGGAGAACTTTGAGGCGTACTGTGGAAAGTCGAATATCTTCGCATAAAAACTACACAGAAGCATTCTGAGAAACTTCTCTGTCATACGTACATTCATCTCACAGGGTTGATCCTATTTCATGATGGAGCAGTTTTGGAACACTCTTTTTGTAGAATCTGCAAGTGAATATTTGGAGCTCTTTGGGGCCTACTGTGGAAAAACAAATATCTTCACATAAAAACTACACAGAAGCATTCTGAGAAACTACTTTGTGATGTGTGCATTCATCCCACAGAGTAGAACCTTTCTTTTGATTGAGCAGTTTCGAAACACTCTTTTGGTGGAATCTGCAAGTGGACATTTGGAAAGCTTTGAGGCCTATTGTGGAAAGGGAAATATCTTCAAATAAAAACCACCCAGAAGTACTCTGTGAAACTTCTTTGCGATGTATGCATTCAACTCACAGTGTTGAACCTATGTTTTGATTGAGCAGTTTGGAATCTCTCTTTCTGTAGAATCTGCAAGTGAATATTTGGAGCCCTATTTCGCCCTATACTGGAAAAGCAATTATCTTCAAATAAAAACTGCACAGAAGCACTCAGAGAAACTTCTTTGTGATGAATGCATTCATCACACAGAGTTGAACCTTTGTTTTGATTTAGCAGTTTGAGACAATCTTTCCGTAGAATCTTGAAGTGAATATTTGGAGGGCTTGGAGTTCTGTTTTAGAGAAGAAGATATCTTCATCAAAAACTACACAGAAGCTTTCCGAGAAACTTCTTTGTGATGTGTGCATTCAACTATCGGAGTTGAACCTATCTTATGATTGAGGAGTTTGGAAACACTCTTTGTAGAGTCTGCAAGTGGATATTTACAGAGATTTGAGGCCTATTGTGGAAAAGGAAGTATCTTCACATAAAAACCACACAGAAAGCACTCTGAAAAACATCTTTGGGATGTGTGCATTCAACTAACCGTGTTGAAACAATGTTTTGATTGAGCAGCTTAGAATCTCTCTTTTTGTAGGAAATGCAAGTGGATATTTGGAGCCCCATTTCGCCCTATGGTGGAAAACGAAACATACTCACAAAAAAGCTGCAGAGAAGCATTCTGAGAAACTTCTTTGCGATGTTGGCATTCAACTCACAGAGTCGAATCTATCTTTTGATAGAGCAGTTTTGTATCTCTCTTTTTGCAGAATCTGCAAGTGGATATTTGGAAAGCTTTGAGGCCTATTGTGGAAAGGGAAATATCCTCAAATAAAAACTACCCAGAAGCACTCTGTGAAACTTCTTTGTGATGTGTGCATTCAACTCACAGTGTTGAACCTATGTTTTGATTGAGCAGTTTGGAATCTCTCCTTTTGTAGAATCTGCAAGTGAATATTTGGAGCCCTATTTCGCCCTATACTGGAAAAGCAAATATCTTCAAATAAAAACTACACAGAGGCATTCAGAGAAACTTCTCTGTGATGAGTGCATTCATCACACAGAGTTGAACATTTGTTTAGATTTAGCAGTGTTGAGACAATCTTTCCGTAGAATCTTGAAGTGAATATTTGGAGGGCTTTGAGACCTGCTTTGGAGAAGGAGATATCTTCATATAAAAACTACACAGAAGCTTTCTGAGAAACACCCTTGTGAGGTGTGCATTGAAGTCACAGAGTTAAACCTATCTTTTGATTCAGCAGATTTGAATCTCTCTTTTTGCAGAATCTGCGAGTGGATATTTGGAGTGCTTGGAAGCCTGCTGTGGAAAATCAAATATCTTCACAAAAAAAACTACACAGAAGCATTCTGAGAAACTTCTTTGTGATGTGTGCATTGATCTCACAGAGTTGAAAGTTTATTTTGATTGAGCTGTTTTGAAACACTCTTTTTCTAGAATCTGCAAGTGGATAATTGGGGAGATTTGAGGCATATTGTGGAAAAGCAAATATCTTCATATAAAAACTATACAGAAACCTTCTGAGAAACATCTTTGTGATGTGTGCATTCAGCTCACAGAGCTGGACCTAACTTTCGAGTGACCAGTTTTGAATCTCTCTTTTTGTACAATATGCAAGTGGATATTTGGAGCGATTTGAGGCCTACATTTGAAAATCAAATATCTTCCCTTAAAACTACACAGAAACATTCTCAGAAATTGTTTGTCATGTGTGCTTTCCAATTACCAAGTTGAACCTATCTTGTGATTGAGCAGTTTTGAATCTCTCTTTTTGTGGAATCGGCAAGTGGATATTTTTAGCCCTTTGCGGACTGTGGTGGAAAAGGAATTATCTTCAAATCAATTCTACACAGAAGCATTCAGACAAACTTCTTTGTGATGAGTGCATTGGTCACACAGAATTGAACCTTCCCTTTGATTGAGCAATTCTGAAACACTCTTTTGGAGGGTCTGCAAGTGGATATTTTAGAGCTTTGGGACAACTGTGGAAAAGTAAATATCTTCACATAAAAACTACACGGAAGCATTCTGAGAAACTTCTTTGGAGGTGTGCATTCAACTCACAGAGTTGAACCTATCTTTTCATTGAGCAGTTTTGAATCTCTCATTTTGTAGACTCTGCTCGCAGATATTTGGAGAGCTTTGAGGCCTATTGTGGAAAAGGAAATATCTTCACATAAAAACACACAGGAAGCACTCTGAGAAACTTCTTTGTGAGGTGTGCTTTCAACTCACAGAGTTGAACCTATCTTTTGATTGAGAAGTTTTGAATCTCTCTTTTTGTAGAAGCTGCATGTGGATATTTGGCGACGTTTGTGGCCTATGGTAGAAAAGGAAATATCTTCAAATAAAAACTAGACAGACGCATTTTGAGAAAATTCTCTGTGCTGTGTGCATTCATATCACATGGTTGAAACTACCTTTGGATTGAGCAGTTTTGAATCTCACTTTTTGTACCATCTGCAATGGATATTTGGAGCCCTTTCTGGTCTGTGGTGGAAAAGGAACTATCCTCAAATAGAAACTACACAGAAGTACTCTGAGAAACTTCTTTGTGATGTGGGCATTTATCTCACAGAGTTGAACCTTTGGTTTGATTGAGCAGTTTTGAGACAATCTTTCCATAGAATCTGGAAGTGAATATTTGGAGAACTTTGAGATCCATTTTGGAGAAGGAGATATCTTTATATAAAAACTACACAGAAGCATTCTGAGAAACATCCTTGTGAGGTGTGCACTGAAGTCACAGAGTTGAAACTGTCTTTTGATTCAGCAGTTTTGAATCTCTCTTTTTGCAGAATCTGTGAGTGGATATTTGGAGCGCTTTGAGGCCTACTGTGGAAAACCAAATATCTTCACATAAAAACTACACAGAAGCATCCTGAGAAACTTTTTTTGTGATGTGGTCTTTCAGCTAATGGAGTAGAAACTATCTTTTGATTGAGCAGTTTTGAATCTCTCTTTTTGAAGGATCTACGAGTGGATAATTGGAGAACTTTGAGGCGTACTGTGGAAAATCGAATATCTTCGCATAAAAACTACACAGAAGCATTCTGAGAAACTTCTCTGTCATACGTACATGCGTCTCACAGGGTTGATCCTATTTCATGATTGAGCAGTTTTGGAACACTCTTTTTGTAGAATCTGCAAGTGAATATTTGGAGCTCTTTGGGGCCTACTGTGGAAAAACAAATATCTTCACATAAAAACTACACAGAAGCATTCTGAGAAACTACTTTGTGATGTGTGCATTCATCCCACAGAGTAGAAACTTACTTTTGATTGAGCAGTTTCGAAACACTCTTTTGGTGGAATCTGCAAGTGGACATTTGGAAAGCTTTGAGGCCTATTGTGGAAAGGGAAATATCTTCAAATAAAAACCACCCAGAAGTACTCTGTGAAACTTTCTTTGCGATGTATGCATTCAACTCACAGTGTTGAACCTATGTTTTGATTGAACAGTTTGGAATCTCTCTTTCTGTAGAATCTGCAAGTGAATATTTGGAGCCCTATTTCGCCCTATACTGGAAAAGCAATTATCTTCAAATAAAAACTGCACAGAAGCACTCAGAGAAACTTCTTTGTGATGAATGCATTCATCACACAGAGTTGAACCTTTGTTTTGATTTAGCAGTTTGAGACAATCTTTCCGTAGAATCTTGAAGTGAATATTTGGAGGGCTTGGAGTTCTGTTTTAGAGAAGAAGATATCTTCATCAAAAACTACACAGAAAGCTTTCTGAGAAACTTCTTTGTGATGTGTGCATTCAACTATCGGAGTTGAACCTATCTTATGATTGAGGAGTTTGGAAACACTCTTTGTAGAGTCTGCAAGTGGATATTTACAGAGATTTGAGGCCTATTGTGGAAAAGGAAGTATCTTCACATAAAAACCACACAGAGCACTCTGAAAAACATCTTTGGGATGTGTGCATTCAACTAACCGTGTTGAAACAATGTTTTGATTGAGCAGCTTAGAATCTCTCTTTTTGTAGGAAATGCAAGTGGATATTTGGAGCCCCATTTCGCCCTATGGTGGAAAACGAAACATACTCACAAAAAAGCTGCAGAGAAGCATTCTGAGAAACTTCTTTGCGATGTTGGCATTCAACTCACAGAGTCGAATCTATCTTTTGATAGAGCAGTTTTGTATCTCTCTTTTTGCAGAATCTGCAAGTGGATATTTGGAAAGCTTTGAGGCCTATTGTGGAAAGGGAAATATCCTCAAATAAAAACTACCCAGAAGCACTCTGTGAAACTTCTTTGTGATGTGTGCATTCAACTCACAGTGTTGAACCTATGTTTTGATTGAGCAGTTTGGAATCTCTCCTTTTGTAGAATCTGCAAGTGAATATTTGGAGCCCTATTTCGCCCTATACTGGAAAAGCAAATATCTTCAAATAAAAACTACACAGAGGCATTCAGAGAAACTTCTCTGTGATGAGTGCATTCATCACACAGAGTTGAACATTTGTTTAGATTTAGCAGTGTTGAGACAATCTTTCCGTAGAATTTTGAAGTGAATATTTGGAGGGCTTTGAGACCTGCTTTGGAGAAGGAGATATCTTCATATAAAAACTACACAGAAGCTTTCTGAGAAACACCCTTGTGAGGTGTGCATTGAAGTCACAGAGTTAAACCTATCTTTTGATTCAGCAGATTTGAATCTCTCTTTTTGCAGAATCTGCGAGTGGATATTTGGAGTGCTTGGAAGCCTGCTGTGGAAAATCAAATATCTTCACAAAAAAAACTACACAGAAGCATTCTGAGAAACTTCTTTGTGATGTGTGCATTGATCTCACAGAGTTGAAAGTTTATTTTGATTGAGCTGTTTTGAAACACTCTTTTTCTAGAATCTGCAAGTGGATAATTGGGGAGATTTGAGGCATATTGTGGAAAAGCAAATATCTTCATATAAAAACTATACAGAAACCTTCTGAGAAACATCTTTGTGATGTGTGCATTCAGCTCACAGAGCTGGACCTAACTTTCGAGTGACCAGTTTTGAATCTCTCTTTTTGTACAATATGCAAGTGGATATTTGGAGCGATTTGAGGCCTACATTTGAAAATCAAATATCTTCCCTTAAAAACTACACAGAAACATTCTCAGAAATTGTTTGTCATGTGTGCTTTCCAATTACCAAGTTGAACCTATCTTGTGATTGAGCAGTTTTGAATCTCTCTTTTTGTGGAATCGGCAAGTGGATATTTTTAGCCCTTTGCGGACTGTGGTGGAAAAGGAATTATCTTCAAATCAATTCTACACAGGAAGCATTCCGACAAACTTCTTTGTGATGAGTGCATTGGTCACACAGAATTGAACCTTTCCTTTGATTGAGCAATTCTGAAACACTCTTTTAGAGGGTCTGCAAGTGGATATTTTAGAGCTTTGGGACAATTGTGGAAAAGTAAATATCTTCACATAAAAACTACACGGAAGTATTCTGAGAAACTTCTTTGGAGGTGTGCATTCAACTCACAGAGTTGAACCTATCTTTTCATGGAGCAGTTTTGAATCTCTCTTTTTGTAGACTCTGCTTGCAGATATTTGGAGAGCTTTGAGGCCTATTGTGGAAAAGGAAATATCTTCACCTAAAAGCTACACAGAAGCATTCTGAGAAACTTCTTTGGGATGTGTGCATTCAACTAACAGGGGTGAACCTATCTTTTGATTGAGCAGCTTAGAATCTCTCTTTTTGTAGAAAATGCAAGTGGATATTTGGAGCCCCATTTCGCCATATGGTGGAAAATGAAACATATTCACAAAGAAGCTACACAGAAGCATTCTGAGAAACTTCTTTGCATTGTTTGCATTCAACTCACAGAGTCGAATCTATCTTTTGATAGAGCAGTTTTGTATCTCTCTTTTTGCAGAATCTGCAAGTGGATATTTGGAAAGCTTTGAGGCCTATTGTGGAAAGGGAAATATCCCCAAATGAAAACTACCCAGAAGCACTCTGTGAAACTTCTTTGTGATGTGTGCATTCAACTCACAGTGTTGAACCTATGTTTTGATTGAGCAGTTTGGAATCTCTCTTTTTGTAGAATCTGCAAGTGAATATTTGGAGCCCTATTTCACCCTATACTGGAAAAGCAAATATCTTCAAATAAAAACTACACAGAAGCATTCAGAGAAACTTCTCTGTGATGAGTGCATTCATCACACAGAGTTGAAACTTTGTTTTGATTTAGCAGTGTTGAGACAATCTTCCGTAGAATCTCGAAGTGAATATTTGGAGGGCTTTGAGATCTGCTTTGGAGAAGGAGATAACTTCATATAAACACTACACAGAAAGCTTTCTGAGAAACACCCTTGTGAGGTGTGCATTGAAGTCACAGAGTTAAACCTATCTTTTGATTCAGCAGATTTGAATCTCTCTTTTTGCAGAATCTGCGAGTGGATATTTGGAGTGCTTGGAAGCCTGCTGTGGAAAATCAAATATCTTCACAAAAAAAACTACACAGAGCATTCTGAGAAACTTCTTTGTGATGTGTGCATTGATCTCACAGAGTTGAAAGTTTATTTTGATTGAGCTGTTTTGAAACACTCTTTTTCTAGAATCTGCAAGTGGATAATTGGGGAGATTTGAGGCATATTGTGGAAAAGCAAATATCTTCATATAGAAACTATACAGAAACCTTCTGAGAAACATCTTTGTGATGTGTGCATTCAGCTCACAGAGCTGGACCTAACTTTTGAGTGACCAGTTTTGAATCTCTCTTTTTGTACAATATGCAAGTGGATATTTGGAGCGATTTGAGGCCTACATTTGAAAATCAAATATCTTCCCTTAAAAACTACACAGAAACATTCTCAGAAATTGTTTGTCATGTGTGCTTTCCAATTACCAAGTTGAACCTATCTTGTGATTGAGCAGTTTTGAATCTCTCTTTTTGTGGAATCGGCAAGTGGATATTTTTAGCCCTTTGCGGACTGTGGTGGAAAAGGAATTATCTTCAAATCAATTCTACACAGAAGCATTCAGACAAACTTCTTTGTGATGAGTGCATTGGTCACACAGAATTGAACCTTCCCTTTGATTGAGCAATTCTGAAACACTCTTTTGGAGGGTCTGCAAGTGGACATTTTAGAGCTTTGGGACAACTGTGGAAAAGTAAATATCTTCACATAAAAACTACACGGAAGCATTCTGAGAAACTTCTTTGGAGGTGTGCATTCAACTCACAGAGTTGAACCTATCTTTTCATTGAGCAGTTTTGAATCTCTCATTTTGTAGACTCTGCTCGCAGATATTTGGAGAGCTTTGAGGCCTATTGTGGAAAAGGAAATATCTTCACATAAAAACACACAGAAGCACTCTGAGAAACTTCTCTGTGAGGTGTGCTTTCAACTCACAGAGTTGAACCTATCTTTTGATTGAGAAGTTTTGAATCTCTCTTTTTGTAGAAGCTGCATGTGGATATTTGGAGACGTTTGTGGCCTATGGTAGAAAAGGAAATATCTTCAAATAAAAACTAGACAGACGCATTTTGAGAAAATTCTCTGTGCTGTGTGCATTCATATCACATGGTTGAAACTACCTTTGGATTGAGCAGTTTTGAATCTCACTTTTTGTACCATCTGCAATGGATATTTGGAGCCCTTTCTGGTCTGTGGTGGAAAAGGAACTATCCTCAAATAGAAACTACACAGAAGTACTCTGAGAAACTTCTTTGTGATGTGGGCATTCATCTCACAGAGTTGAACCTTTGGTTTGATTGAGCAGTTTTGAGACAATCTTTCCATAGAATCTGGAAGTGAATATTTGGAGAACTTTGAGATCCATTTTGGAGAAGGAGATATCTTTATATGAAAACTACACAGAAGCATTCTGAGAAACATCCTTGTGAGGTGTGCACTGAAGTCACAGAGTTGAAACTGTCTTTTGATTCAGCAGTTTTGAATCTCTCTTTTTGCAGAATCTGTGAGTGGATATTTGGAGCGCTTTGAGGCCTACTGTGGAAAACCAAATATCTTCACATAAAAACTACACAGAAGCATCCTGAGAAACTTTTTTTGTGATGTGGTCTTTCAGCTAATGGAGTAGAAACTATCTTTTGATTGAGCAGTTTTGAATCTCTCTTTTTGCAGAATCTACGAGTGGATAATTGGAGAACTTTGAGGCGTACTGTGGAAAATCGAATATCTTCGCATAAAAACTACACAGAAGCATTCTGAGAAACTTCTCTGTCATACGTACATTCATCTCACAGGGTTGATCCTATTTCATGATTGAGCAGTTTTGGAACACTCTTTTTGTGGAATCTGCAAGTGAATATTTGGAGCTCTTTGGGGCCTACTGTGGAAAAACAAATATCTTCACATAAAAACTACACAGAAGCATTCTGAGAAACTACTTTGTGATGTGTGCATTCATCCCACAGAGTAGAACCTTTCTTTTGATTGAGCAGTTTCGAAACACTCTTTTGGTGGAATCTGCAAGTGGACATTTGGAAAGCTTTGAGGCCTATTGTGGAAAGGGAAATATCTTCAAATAAAAACCACCCAGAAGTACTCTGTGAAACTTCTTTGCGATGTATGCATTCAACTCACAGTGTTGAACCTATGTTTTGATTGAGCAGTTTGGAATCTCTCTTTCTGTAGAATCTGCAAGTGAATATTTGGAGCCCTATTTCGCCCTATACTGGAAAAGCAATTATCTTCAAATAAAAACTGCACAGAAGCACTCAGAGAAACTTCTTTGTGATGAATGCATTCATCACACAGAGTTGAACCTTTGTTTTGATTTAGCAGTTTGAGACAATCTTTCCGTAGAATCTTGAAGTGAATATTTGGAGGGCTTGGAGTTCTGTTTTAGAGAAGAAGATATCTTCATCAAAAACTACACAGAAGCTTTCTGAGAAACTTCTTTGTGATGTGTGCATTCAACTATCGGAGTTGAACCTATCTTATGATTGAGCAGTTTGGAAACACTCTTTGTAGAGTCTGCAAGTGGATATTTACAGAGATTTGAGGCCTATTGTGGAAAAGGAAGTATCTTCACATAAAAACCACACAGAAGCACTCTGAAAAACGTCTTTGGGATGTGTGCATTCAACTAACCGTGTTGAAACAATGTTTTGATTGAGCAGCTTAGAATCTCTCTTTTTGTAGGAAATGCAAGTGGATATTTGGAGCCCCATTTCGCCCTATGGTGGAAAACGAAACATACTCACAAAAAAGCTGCAGAGAAGCATTCTGAGAAACTTCTTTGCGATGTTGGCATTCAACTCACAGAGTCGAATCTATCTTTTGATAGAGCAGTTTTGTATCTCTGTTTTTGCAGAATCTGCAAGTGGATATTTGGAAAGCTTTGAGGCCTATTGTGGAAAGGGAAATATCCTCAAATAAAAACTACCCAGAAGCACTCTGTGAAACTTCTTTGTGATGTGTGCATTCAACTCACAGTGTTGAACCTATGTTTTGATTGAGCAGTTTGGAATCTCTCCTTTTGTAGAATCTGCAAGTGAATATTTGGAGCCCTATTTCGCCCTATACTGGAAAAGCAAATATCTTCAAATAAAAACTACACAGAGGCATTCAGAGAAACTTCTCTGTGATGAGTGCATTCATCACACAGAGTTGAACATTTGTTTAGATTTAGCAGTGTTGAGACAATCTTTCCGTAGAATCTTGAAGTGAATATTTGGAGGGCTTTGAGACCTGCTTTGGAGAAGGAGATATCCTCATATAAAAACTACACAGAAGCTTTCTGAGAAACACCCTTGTGAGGTGTGCATTGAAGTCACAGAGTTAAACCTATCTTTTGATTCAGCAGATTTGAATCTCTCTTTTTGCAGAATCTGCGAGTGGATATTTGGAGTGCTTGGAAGCCTGCTGTGGAAAATCAAATATCTTCACAAAAAAAACTACACAGAAGCATTCTGAGAAACTTCTTTGTGATGTGTGCATTGATCTCACAGAGTTGAAAGTTTATTTTGATTGAGCTGTTTTGAAACACTCTTTTTCTAGAATCTGCAAGTGGATAATTGGGGAGATTTGAGGCATATTGTGGAAAAGCCAATATCTTCATATAGAAACTATACAGAAACCTTCTGAGAAACATCTTTGTGATGTGTGCATTCAGCTCACAGAGCTGGACCTAACTTTTGAGTGACCAGTTTTGAATCTCTCTTTTTGTACAATATGCAAGTGGATATTTGGAGCGATTTGAGGCCTACATTTGAAAATCAAATATCTTCCCTTAAAAACTACACAGAAACATTCTCAGAAATTGTTTGTCATGTGTGCTTTCCAATTACCAAGTTGAACCTATCTTGTGATTGAGCAGTTTTGAATCTCTCTTTTTGTGGAATCGGCAAGTGGATATTTTTAGCCCTTTGCGGACTGTGGTGGAAAAGGAATTATCTTCAAATCAATTCTACACAGAAGCATTCAGACAAACTTCTTTGTGATGAGTGCATTGGTCACACAGAATTGAACCTTCCTTTTGATTGAGCAATTCTGAAACACTCTTTTGGAGGGTCTGCAAGTGGATATTTTAGAGCTTTGGGACAACTGTGGAAAAGTAAATATCTTCACATAAAAACTACACGGAAGCATTCTGAGAAACTTCTTTGGAGGTGTGCATTCAACTCACAGAGTTGAACCTATCTTTTCATTGAGCAGTTTTGAATCTCTCATTTTGTAGACTCTGCTCGCAGATATTTGGAGAGCTTTGAGGCCTGTTGTGGAAAAGGAAATATCTTCACATAAAAACACACAGAAGCACTCTGAGAAACTTCTTTGTGAGGTGTGCTTTCAACTCACAGAGTTGAACCTATCTTTTGATTGAGAAGTTTTGAATCTCTCTTTTTGTAGAAGCTGCATGTGGATATTTGGAGACGTTTGTGGCCTGTGGTAGAAAAGGAAATATCTTCAAATAAAAACTAGACAGACGCATTTTGAGAAAATTCTCTGTGCTGTGTGCATTCATATCACATGGTTAAAACTACCTTTGGATTGAGCAGTTTTGAATCTCACTTTTTGTACCATCTGCAATGGATATTTGGAGCCCTTTCTGGTCTGTGGTGGAAAAGGAACTATCCTCAAATAGAAACTACACAGAAGTACTCTGAGAAACTTCTTTGTGATGTGGGCATTCATCTCACAGAGTTGAACCTTTGGTTTGATTGAGCAGTTTTGAGACAATCTTTCCATAGAATCTGGAAGTGAATATTTGGAGAACTTTGAGATCCATTTTGGAGAAGAGATATCTTTATATAAAAACTACACAGAAGCATTCTGAGAAACATCCTTGTGAGGTGTGCACTGAAGTCACAGAGTTGAAACTGTCTTTTGATTCAGCAGTTTTGAATCTCTCTTTTTGCAGAATCTGTGAGTGGATATTTGGAGCGCTTTGAGGCCTACTGTGGAAAACCAAATATCTTCACATAAAAACTACACAGAAGCATCCTGAGAAACTTTTTTTGTGATGTGGTCTTTCAGCTAATGGAGTAGAAACTATCTTTTGATTGAGCAGTTTTGAATCTCTCTTTTTGCAGGATCTACGAGTGGATAATTGGAGAACTTTGAGGCGTACTGTGGAAAATCGAATATCTTCGCATAAAAACTACACAGAAGCATTCTGAGAAACTTCTCTGTCATACGTACATTCATCTCACAGGGTTGATCCTATTTCATGATGGAGCAGTTTTGGAACACTCTTTTTGTAGAATCTGCAAGTGAATATTTGGAGCTCTTTGGGGCCTACTGTGGAAAAACAAATATCTTCACATAAAAACTACACAGAAGCATTCTGAGAAACTACTTTGTGATGTGTGCATTCATCCCACAGAGTAGAACCTTTCTTTTGATTGAGCAGTTTCGAAACACTCTTTTGGTGGAATCTGCAAGTGGACATTTGGAAAGCTTTGAGGCCTATTGTGGAAAGGGAAATATCTTCAAATAAAAACCACCCCAGAAGTACTCTGTGAAACTTCTTTGCGATGTATGCATTCAACTCACAGTGTTGAACCTATGTTTTGATTGAGCAGTTTGGAATCTCTCTTTCTGTAGAATCTGCAAGTGAATATTTGGAGCCCTATTTCGCCCTATACTGGAAAAGCAATTATCTTCAAATAAAAACTGCACAGAAGCACTCAGAGAAACTTCTTTGTGATGAATGCATTCATCACACAGAGTTGAACCTTTGTTTTGATTTAGCAGTTTGAGACAATCTTTCCGTAGAATCTTGAAGTGAATATTTGGAGGGATTGGAGTTCTGTTTTAGAGAAGGAGATATCTTCATCAAAAACTACACAGAAGCTTTCTGAGAAACTTCTTTGTGATGTGTGCATTCAACTATCGGAGTTGAACCTATCTTATGATTGAGCAGTTTGGAAACACTCTTTGTAGAGTCTGCAAGTGGATATTTACAGAGATTTGAGGCCTATTGTGGAAAAGGAAGTATCTTCACATAAAAACCACACAGAAGCACTCTGAAAATCATCTTTGGGATGTGTGCATTCAACTAACCGTGT
The DNA here is from genome assembly GCF_000001405.40 of Homo sapiens. Classification (NCBI taxonomy): domain Eukaryota; kingdom Metazoa; phylum Chordata; class Mammalia; order Primates; family Hominidae; genus Homo; species Homo sapiens. The sequence goes on from NC_000015.10 coordinate 17,776,218, forward strand.
TGAAACAATGTTTTGATTGAGCAGCTTAGAATCTCTCTTTTTGTAGGAAATGCAAGTGGATATTTGGAGCCCCATTTCGCCCTATGGTGGAAAACGAAACATACTCACAAAAAAGCTGCAGAGAAGCATTCTGAGAAACTTCTTTGCGATGTTGGCATTCAACTCACAGAGTCGAATCTATCTTTTGATAGAGCAGTTTTGTATCTCTCTTTTTGCAGAATCTGCAAGTGGATATTTGGAAAGCTTTGAGGCCTATTGTGGAAAGGGAAATATCCTCAAATAAAAACTACCCAGAAGCACTCTGTGAAACTTCTTTGTGATGTGTGCATTCAACTCACAGTGTTGAACCTATGTTTTGATTGAGCAGTTTGGAATCTCTCCTTTTGTAGAATCTGCAAGTGAATATTTGGAGCCCTATTTCGCCCTATACTGGAAAAGCAAATATCTTCAAATAAAAACTACACAGAGGCATTCAGAGAAACTTCTCTGTGATGAGTGCATTCATCACACAGAGTTGAACATTTGTTTAGATTTAGCAGTGTTGAGACAATCTTTCCGTAGAATCTTGAAGTGAATATTTGGAGGGCTTTGAGACCTGCTTTGGAGAAGGAGATATCTTCATATAAAAACTACACAGAAGCTTTCTGAGAAACACCCTTGTGAGGTGTGCATTGAAGTCACAGAGTTAAACCTATCTTTTGATTCAGCAGATTTGAATCTCTCTTTTTGCAGAATCTGCGAGTGGATATTTGGAGTGCTTGGAAGCCTGCTGTGGAAAATCAAATATCTTCACAAAAAAAACTACACAGAAGCATTCTGAGAAACTTCTTTGTGATGTGTGCATTGATCTCACAGAGTTGAAAGTTTATTTTGATTGAGCTGTTTTGAAACACTCTTTTTCTAGAATCTGCAAGTGGATAATTGGGGAGATTTGAGGCATATTGTGGAAAAGCAAATATCTTCATATAGAAACTATACAGAAACCTTCTGAGAAACATCTTTGTGATGTGTGCATTCAGCTCACAGAGCTGGACCTAACTTTTGAGTGACCAGTTTTGAATCTCTCTTTTTGTACAATATGCAAGTGGATATTTGGAGCGATTTGAGGCCTACATTTGAAAATCAAATATCTTCCCTTAAAAACTACACAGAAACATTCTCAGAAATTGTTTGTCATGTGTGCTTTCCAATTACCAAGTTGAACCTATCTTGTGATTGAGCAGTTTTGAATCTCTCTTTTTGTGGAATCGGCAAGTGGATATTTTTAGCCCTTTGCGGACTGTGGTGGAAAAGGAATTATCTTCAAATCAATTCTACACAGGAAGCATTCAGACAAACTTCTTTGTGATGAGTGCATTGGTCACACAGAATTGAACCTTCCCTTTGATTGAGCAATTCTGAAACACTCTTTTGGAGGGTCTGCAAGTGGATATTTTAGAGCTTTGGGACAACTGTGGAAAAGTAAATATCTTCACATAAAAACTACACGGAAGCATTCTGAGAAACTTCTTTGGAGGTGTGCATTCAACTCACAGAGTTGAACCTATCTTTTCATTGAGCAGTTTTGAATCTCTCATTTTGTAGACTCTGCTCGCAGATATTTGGAGAGCTTTGAGGCCTATTGTGGAAAAGGAAATATCTTCACATAAAAACACACAGAAGCACTCTGAGAAACTTCTTTGTGAGGTGTGCTTTCAACTCACAGAGTTGAACCTATCTTTTGATTGAGAAGTTTTGAATCTCTCTTTTTGTAGAAGCTGCATGTGGATATTTGGAGACGTTTGTGGCCTATGGTAGAAAAGGAAATATCTTCAAATAAAAACTAGACAGACGCATTTTGAGAAAATTCTCTGTGCTGTGTGCATTCATATCACAGGGTTGAAACTACCTTTGGATTGAGCAGTTTTGAATCTCACATTTTGTACCATCTGCAATGGATATTTGGAGCCCTTTCTGGTCTGTGGTGGAAAAGGAACTATCCTCAAATAGAAACTACACAGAAGTACTCTGAGAAACTTCTTTGTGATGTGGGCATTCATCTCACAGAGTTGAACCTTTGGTTTGATTGAGCAGTTTTGAGACAATCTTTCCATAGAATCTGGAAGTGAATATTTGGAGAACTTTGAGATCCATTTTGGAGAAGGAGATATCTTTATATGAAAACTACACAGAAGCATTCTGAGAAACATCCTTGTGAGGTGTGCACTGAAGTCACAGAGTTGAAACTGTCTTTTGATTCAGCAGTTTTGAATCTCTCTTTTTGCAGAATCTGTGAGTGGATATTTGGAGCGCTTTGAGGCCTACTGTGGAAAACCAAATATCTTCACATAAAAACTACACAGAAGCATCCTGAGAAACTTTTTTTGTGATGTGGTCTTTCAGCTAATGGAGTAGAAACTATCTTTTGATTGAGCAGTTTTGAATCTCTCTTTTTGCAGAATCTACGAGTGGATAATTGGAGAACTTTGAGGCGTACTGTGGAAAATCGAATATCTTCGCATAAAAACTACACAGAAGCATTCTGAGAAACTTCTCTGTCATACGTACATTCATCTCACAGGGTTGATCCTATTTCATGATTGAGCAGTTTTGGAACACTCTTTTTGTAGAATCTGCAAGTGAATATTTGGAGCTCTTTGGGGCCTACTGTGGAAAAACAAATATCTTCACATAAAAACTACACAGAAGCATTCTGAGAAACTACTTTGTGATGTGTGCATTCATCCCACAGAGTAGAACCTTTCTTTTGATTGAGCAGTTTCGAAACACGCTTTTGGTGGAATCTGCAAGTGGACATTTGGAAAGCTTTGAGGCCTATTGTGGAAAGGGAAATATCTTCAAATAAAAACCACCCAGAAGTACTCTGTGAAACTTCTTTGCGATGTATGCATTCAACTCACAGTGTTGAACCTATGTTTTGATTGAGCAGTTTGGAATCTCTCTTTCTGTAGAATCTGCAAGTGAATATTTGGAGCCCTATTTCGCCCTATACTGGAAAAGCAATTATCTTCAAATAAAAACTGCACAGAAGCATTCAGAGAAACTTCTTTGAGATGAATGCATTCATGACACAGAGTTGAAACTTTGTTTTGATTTAGGAGTTTTGAGACAATCTTTCCGTAGAATCTTGAAGTGAATATTTGGAGGGCTTGGAGTTCTGTTTTAGAGAAGGAGATATCTTCATCAAAAACTACACAGAAAGCTTTCTGAGAAACTTCTTTGTGATGTGTGCATTCAACTATCGGAGTTGAACCTATCTTATGATTGAGCAGTTTGGAAACACTCTTTGTAGAGTCTGCAAGTGGATATTTACAGAGATTTGAGGCCTATTGTGGAAAAGGAAGTATCTTCACATAAAAACCACACAGAAGCACTCTGAAAAACATCTTTGGGATGTGTGCATTCAACTAACCGTGTTGAAACAATGTTTTGATTGAGCAGCTTAGAATCTCTCTTTTTGTAGGAAATGCAAGTGGATATTTGGAGCCCCATTTCGCCCTATGGTGGAAAACGAAACATACTCACAAAAAAGCTGCAGAGAAGCATTCTGAGAAACTTCTTTGCGATGTTGGCATTCAACTCACAGAGTCGAATCTATCTTTTGATAGAGCAGTTTTGTATCTCTCTTTTTGCAGAATCTGCAAGTGGATATTTGGAAAGCTTTGAGGCCTATTGTGGAAAGGGAAATATCCTCAAATAAAAACTACCCAGAAGCACTCTGTGAAACTTCTTTGTGATGTGTGCATTCAACTCACAGTGTTGAACCTATGTTTTGATTGAGCAGTTTGGAATCTCTCCTTTTGTAGAATCTGCAAGTGAATATTTGGAGCCCTATTTCGCCCTATACTGGAAAAGCAAATATCTTCAAATAAAAACTACACAGAGGCATTCAGAGAAACTTCTCTGTGATGAGTGCATTCATCACACAGAGTTGAACATTTGTTTAGATTTAGCAGTGTTGAGACAATCTTTCCGTAGAATCTTGAAGTGAATATTTGGAGGGCTTTGAGACCTGCTTTGGAGAAGGAGATATCTTCATATAAAAACTACACAGAAGCTTTCTGAGAAACACCCTTGTGAGGTGTGCATTGAAGTCACAGAGTTAAACCTATCTTTTGATTCAGCAGATTTGAATCTCTCTTTTTGCAGAATCTGCGAGTGGATATTTGGAGTGCTTGGAAGCCTGCTGTGGAAAATCAAATATCTTCACAAAAAAAACTACACAGAAGCATTCTGAGAAACTTCTTTGTGATGTGTGCATTGATCTCACAGAGTTGAAAGTTTATTTTGATTGAGCTGTTTTGAAACACTCTTTTTCTAGAATCTGCAAGTGGATAATTGGGGAGATTTGAGGCATATTGTGGAAAAGCAAATATCTTCATATAAAAACTATACAGAAACCTTCTGAGAAACATCTTTGTGATGTGTGCATTCAGCTCACAGAGCTGGACCTAACTTTTGAGTGACCAGTTTTGAATCTTTCTTTTTGTACAATATGCAAGTGGATATTTGGAGCGATTTGAGGCCTACATTTGAAAATCAAATATCTTCCCTTAAAAACTACACAGAAACATTCTCAGAAATTGTTTGTCATGTGTGCTTTCCAATTACCAAGTTGAACCTATCTTGTGATTGAGCAGTTTTGAATCTCTCTTTTTGTGGAATCGGCAAGTGGATATTTTTAGCCCTTTGCGGACTGTGGTGGAAAAGGAATTATCTTCAAATCAATTCTACACAGAAGCATTCAGACAAACTTCTTTGTGATGAGTGCATTGGTCACACAGAATTGAACCTTCCCTTTGATTGAGCAATTCTGAAACACTCTTTTGGAGGGTCTGCAAGTGGACATTTTAGAGCTTTGGGACAACTGTGGAAAAGTAAATATCTTCACATAAAAACTACACGGAAGCATTCTGAGAAACTTCTTTGGAGGTGTGCATTCAACTCACAGAGTTGAACCTATCTTTTCATTGAGCAGTTTTGAATCTCTCATTTTGTAGACTCTGCTCGCAGATATTTGGAGAGCTTTGAGGCCTATTGTGGAAAAGGAAATATCTTCACATAAAAACACACAGAAGCACTCTGAGAAACTTCTCTGTGAGGTGTGCTTTCAACTCACAGAGTTGAACCTATCTTTTGATTGAGAAGTTTTGAATCTCTCTTTTTGTAGAAGCTGCATGTGGATATTTGGAGACGTTTGTGGCCTATGGTAGAAAAGGAAATATCTTCAAATAAAAACTAGACAGACGCATTTTGAGAAAATTCTCTGTGCTGTGTGCATTCATATCACATGGTTGAAACTACCTTTGGATTGAGCAGTTTTGAATCTCACTTTTTGTACCATCTGCAATGGATATTTGGAGCCCTTTCTGGTCTGTGGTGGAAAAGGAACTATCCTCAAATAGAAACTACACAGAAGTACTCTGAGAAACTTCTTTGTGATGTGGGCATTCATCTCACAGAGTTGAACCTTTGGTTTGATTGAGCAGTTTTGAGACAATCTTTCCATAGAATCTGGAAGTGAATATTTGGAGAACTTTGAGATCCATTTTGGAGAAGGAGATATCTTTATATAAAAACTACACAGAAGCATTCTGAGAAACATCCTTGTGAGGTGTGCACTGAAGTCACAGAGTTGAAACTGTCTTTTGATTCAGCAGTTTTGAATCTCTCTTTTTGCAGAATCTGTGAGTGGATATTTGGAGCGCTTTGAGGCCTACTGTGGAAAACCAAATATCTTCACATAAAAACTACACAGAAGCATCCTGAGAAACTTTTTTTGTGATGTGGTCTTTCAGCTAATGGAGTAGAAACTATCTTTTGATTGAGCAGTTTTGAATCTCTCTTTTTGCAGGATCTACGAGTGGATAATTGGAGAACTTTGAGGCGTACTGTGGAAAATCGAATATCTTCGCATAAAAACTACACAGAAGCATTCTGAGAAACTTCTCTGTCATACGTACATTCATCTCACAGGGTTGATCCTATTTCATGATTGAGCAGTTTTGGAACACTCTTTTTGTAGAATCTGCAAGTGAATATTTGGAGCTCTTTGGGGCCTACTGTGGAAAAACAAATATCTTCACATAAAAACTACACAGGAAGCATTCTGAGAAACTACTTTGTGATGTGTGCATTCATCCCACAGAGTAGAACCTTTCTTTTGATTGAGCAGTTTTGAAACACTCTTTTGGTGGAATCTGCAAGTGGACATTTGGAAAGCTTTGAGGCCTATTGTGGAAAGGGAAATATCTTCAAATAAAAACCACCCAGAAGTACTCTGTGAAACTTCTTTGCGATGTATGCATTCAACTCACAGTGTTGAACCTATGTTTTGATTGAGCAGGTTGGAATCTCTCTTTCTGTAGAATCTGCAAGTGAATATTTGGAGCCCTATTTCGCCCTATACTGGAAAAGCAATTATCTTCAAATAAAAACTGCACAGAAGCATTCAGAGAAACTTCTTTGAGATGAATGCATTCATGACACAGAGTTGAAACTTTGTTTTGATTTAGGAGTTTTGAGACAATCTTTCCGTAGAATCTTGAAGTGAATATTTGGAGGGCTTGGAGTTCTGTTTTAGAGAAGGAGATATCTTCATCAAAAACTACACAGAAAGCTTTCTGAGAAACTTCTTTGTGATGTGTGCATTCAACTATCGGAGTTGAACCTATCTTATGATTGAGCAGTTTGGAAACACTCTTTGTAGAGTCTGCAAGTGGATATTTACAGAGATTTGAGGCCTATTGTGGAAAAGGAAGTATCTTCACATAAAAACCACACAGAAGCACTCTGAAAAACATCTTTGGGATGTGTGCATTCAACTAACCGTGTTGAAACAATGTTTTGATTGAGCAGCTTAGAATCTCTCTTTTTGTAGGAAATGCAAGTGGATATTTGGAGCCCCATTTCGCCCTATGGTGGAAAACGAAACATACTCACAAAAAAGCTGCAGAGAAGCATTCTGAGAAACTTCTTTGCGATGTTGGCATTCAACTCACAGAGTCGAATCTATCTTTTGATAGAGCAGTTTTGTATCTCTCTTTTTGCAGAATCTGCAAGTGGATATTTGGAAAGCTTTGAGGCCTATTGTGGAAAGGGAAATATCCTCAAATAAAAACTACCCAGAAGCACTCTGTGAAACTTCTTTGTGATGTGTGCATTCAACTCACAGTGTTGAACCTATGTTTTGATTGAGCAGTTTGGAATCTCTCCTTTTGTAGAATCTGCAAGTGAATATTTGGAGCCCTATTTCACCCTATACTGGAAAAGCAAATATCTTCAAATAAAAACTACACAGAGGCATTCAGAGAAACTACTCTGTGATGAGTGCATTCATCACACAGAGTTGAACATTTGTTTAGATTTAGCAGTGTTGAGACAATCTTTCCGTAGAATCTTGAAGTGAATATTTGGAGGGCTTTGAGACCTGCTTTGGAGAAGGAGATATCTTCATATAAAAACTACACAGAAGCTTTCTGAGAAACACCCTTGTGAGGTGTGCATTGAAGTCACAGAGTTAAACCTATCTTTTGATTCAGCAGATTTGAATCTCTCTTTTTGCAGAATCTGCGAGTGGATATTTGGAGTGCTTGGAAGCCTGCTGTGGAAAATCAAATATCTTCACAAAAAAAACTACACAGAAGCATTCTGAGAAACTTCTTTGTGATGTGTGCATTGATCTCACAGAGTTGAAAGTTTATTTTGATTGAGCTGTTTTGAAACACTCTTTTTCTAGAATCTGCAAGTGGATAATTGGGGAGATTTGAGGCATATTGTGGAAAAGCAAATATCTTCATATAAAAACTATACAGAAACCTTCTGAGAAACATCTTTGTGATGTGTGCATTCAGCTCACAGAGCTGGACCTAACTTTTGAGTGACCAGTTTTGAATCTCTCTTTTTGTACAATATGCAAGTGGATATTTGGAGCGATTTGAGGCCTACATTTGAAAATCAAATATCTTCCCTTAAAAACTACACAGAAACATTCTCAGAAATTGTTTGTCATGTGTGCTTTCCAATTACCAAGTTGAACCTATCTTGTGATTGAGCAGTTTGGAATCTCTCTTTTTGTGGAATTGGCAAGTGGATATTTTTAGCCCTTTGCAGACTGTGGTGGAAAAGGAATTATCTTCAAATCAATTCTACACAGAAGCATTCAGACAAACTTCTTTGTGATGAGTGCATTGGTCACACAGAATTGAACCTTCCCTTTGATTGAGCAATTCTGAAACACTCTTTTGGAGGGTCTGCAAGTGGACATTTTAGAGCTTTGGGACAACTGTGGAAAAGTAAATATCTTCACATAAAAACTACACGGAAGCATTCTGAGAAACTTCTTTGGAGGTGTGCATTCAACTCACAGAGTTGAACCTATCTTTTAATTGAGCAGTTTTGAATCTCTCATTTTGTAGACTCTGCTCGCAGATATTTGGAGAGCTTTGAGGCCTATTGTGGAAAAGGAAATATCTTCACATAAAAACACACAGAAGCACTCTGAGAAACTTCTTTGTGAGGTGTGCTTTCAACTCACAGAGTTGAACCTATCTTTTGATTGAGAAGTTTTGAATCTCTCTTTTTGTAGAAGCTGCATGTGGATATTTGGAGACGTTTGTGGCCTATGGTAGAAAAGGAAATATCTTCAAATAAAAACTAGACAGACGCATTTTGAGAAAATTCTCTGTGCTGTGTGCATTCATATCACATGGTTGAAACTACCTTTGGATTGAGCAGTTTTGAATCTCACTTTTTGTACCATCTGCAATGGATATTTGGAGCCCTTTCTGGTCTGTGGTGGAAAAGGAACTATCCTCAAATAGAAACTACACAGAAGTACTCTGAGAAACTTCTTTGTGATGTGGGCATTCATCTCACAGAGTTGAACCTTTGGTTTGATTGAGCAGTTTTGAGACAATCTTTCCATAGAATCTGGAAGTGAATATTTGGAGAACTTTGAGATCCATTTTGGAGAAGGAGATATCTTTATATGAAAACTACACAGAAGCATTCTGAGAAACATCCTTGTGAGGTGTGCACTGAAGTCACAGAGTTGAAACTGTCTTTTGATTCAGCAGTTTTGAATCTCTCTTTTTGCAGAATCTGTGAGTGGATATTTGGAGCGCTTTGAGGCCTACTGTGGAAAACCAAATATCTTCACATAAAAACTACACAGAAGCATCCTGAGAAACTTTTTTTGTGATGTGGTCTTTCAGCTAATGGAGTAGAAACTATCTTTTGATTGAGCAGTTTTGAATCTCTCTTTTTGCAGAATCTACGAGTGGATAATTGGAGAACTTTGAGGCGTACTGTGGAAAATCGAATATCTTCGCATAAAAACTACACAGAAGCATTCTGAGAAACTTCTCTGTCATACGTACATTCATCTCACAGGGTTGATCCTATTTCATGATTGAGCAGTTTTGGAACACTCTTTTTGTAGAATCTGCAAGTGAATATTTGGAGCTCCTTGGGGCCTACAGTGGAAAAACAAATATCTTCACATAAAAACTACACAGAAGCATTCTGAGAAACTACTTTGTGATGTGTGCATTCATCCCACAGAGTAGAACCTTTCTTTTGATTGAGCAGTTTCGAAACACTCTTTTGGTGGAATCTGCAAGTGGACATTTGGAAAGCTTTGAGGCCTATTGTGGAAAGGGAAATATCTTCAAATAAAAACCACCCAGAAGTACTCTGTGAAACTTCTTTGCGATGTATGCATTCAACTCACAGTGTTGAACCTATGTTTTGATTGAGCAGTTTGGAATCTCTCTTTCTGTAGAATCTGCAAGTGAATATTTGGAGCCCTATTTCGCCCTATACTGGAAAAGCAATTATCTTCAAATAAAAACTGCACAGAAGCATTCAGAGAAACTTCTTTGAGATGAATGCATTCATGACACAGAGTTGAAACTTTGTTTTGATTTAGGAGTTTTGAGACAATCTTTCCGTAGAATCTTGAAGTGAATATTTGGAGGGCTTGGAGTTCTGTTTTAGAGAAGGAGATATCTTCATCAAAAACTACACAGAAGCTTTCTGAGAAACTTCTTTGTGATGTGTGCATTCAACTATCGGAGTTGAACCTATCTTATGATTGAGCAGTTTGGAAACACTCTTTGTAGAGTCTGCAAGTGGATATTTACAGAGATTTGAGGCCTATTGTGGAAAAGGAAGTATCTTCACATAAAAACCACACAGAAGCACTCTGAAAAACATCTTTGGGATGTGTGCATTCAACTAACCGTGTTGAAACAATGTTTTGATTGAGCAGCTTAGAATCTCTCTTTTTGTAGGAAATGCAAGTGGATATTTGGAGCCCCATTTCGCCCTATGGTGGAAAACGAAACATACTCACAAAAAAGCTGCAGAGAAGCATTCTGAGAAACTTCTTTGCGATGTTGGCATTCAACTCACAGAGTCGAATCTATCTTTTGATAGAGCAGTTTTGTATCTCTCTTTTTGCAGAATCTGCAAGTGGATATTTGGAAAGCTTTGAGGCCTATTGTGGAAAGGGAAATATCCTCAAATAAAAACTACCCAGAAGCACTCTGTGAAACTTCTTTGTGATGTGTGCATTCAACTCACAGTGTTGAACCTATGTTTTGATTGAGCAGTTTGGAATCTCTCCTTTTGTAGAATCTGCAAGTGAATATTTGGAGCCCTATTTCGCCCTATACTGGAAAAGCAAATATCTTCAAATAAAAACTACACAGAGGCATTCAGAGAAACTTCTCTGTGATGAGTGCATTCATCACACAGAGTTGAACATTTGTTTAGATTTAGCAGTGTTGAGACAATCTTTCCGTAGAATCTTGAAGTGAATATTTGGAGGGCTTTGAGACCTGCTTTGGAGAAGGAGATATCTTCATATAAAAACTACACAGAAGCTTTCTGAGAAACACCCTTGTGAGGTGTGCATTGAAGTCACAGAGTTAAACCTATCTTTTGATTCAGCAGATTTGAATCTCTCTTTTTGCAGAATCTGCGAGTGGATATTTGGAGTGCTTGGAAGCCTGCTGTGGAAAATCAAATATCTTCACAAAAAAAACTACACAGAAGCATTCTGAGAAACTTCTTTGTGATGTGTGCATTGATCTCACAGAGTTGAAAGTTTATTTTGATTGAGCTGTTTTGAAACACTCTTTTTCTAGAATCTGCAAGTGGATAATTGGGGAGATTTGAGGCATATTGTGGAAAAGCAAATATCTTCATATAGAAACTATACAGAAACCTTCTGAGAAACATCTTTGTGATGTGTGCATTCAGCTCACAGAGCTGGACCTAACTTTTGAGTGACCAGTTTTGAATCTCTCTTTTTGTACAATATGCAAGTGGATATTTGGAGCGATTTGAGGCCTACATTTGAAAATCAAATATCTTCCCTTAAAAACTACACAGAAACATTCTCAGAAATTGTTTGTCATGTGTGCTTTCCAATTACCAAGTTGAACCTATCTTGTGATTGAGCAGTTTTGAATCTCTCTTTTTGTGGAATCGGCAAGTGGATATTTTTAGCCCTTTGCGGACTGTGGTGGAAAAGGAATTATCTTCAAATCAATTCTACACAGAAGCATTCAGACAAACTTCTTTGTGATGAGTGCATTGGTCACACAGAATTGAACCTTCCCTTTGATTGAGCAATTCTGAAACACTCTTTTGGAGGGTCTGCAAGTGGACATTTTAGAGCTTTGGGACAACTGTGGAAAAGTAAATATCTTCACATAAAAACTACACGGAAGCATTCTGAGAAACTTCTTTGGAGGTGTGCATTCAACTCACAGAGTTGAACCTATCTTTTCATTGAGCAGTTTTGAATCTCTCATTTTGTAGACTCTGCTCGCAGATATTTGGAGAGCTTTGAGGCCTATTGTGGAAAAGGAAATATCTTCACATAAAAACACACAGAAGCACTCTGAGAAACTTCTCTGTGAGGTGTGCTTTCAACTCACAGAGTTGAACCTATCTTTTGATTGAGAAGTTTTGAATCTCTCTTTTTGTAGAAGCTGCATGTGGATATTTGGAGACGTTTGTGGCCTATGGTAGAAAAGGAAATATCTTCAAATAAAAACTAGACAGACGCATTTTGAGAAAATTCTCTGTGCTGTGTGCATTCATATCACATGGTTGAAACTACCTTTGGATTGAGCAGTTTTGAATCTCACTTTTTGTACCATCTGCAATGGATATTTGGAGCCCTTTCTGGTCTGTGGTGGAAAAGGAACTATCCTCAAATAGAAACTACACAGAAGTACTCTGAGAAACTTCTTTGTGATGTGGGCATTCATCTCACAGAGTTGAACCTTTGGTTTGATTGAGCAGTTTTGAGACAATCTTTCCATAGAATCTGGAAGTGAATATTTGGAGAACTTTGAGATCCATTTTGGAGAAGGAGATATCTTTATATAAAAACTACACAGAAGCATTCTGAGAAACATCCTTGTGAGGTGTGCACTGAAGTCACAGAGTTGAAACTGTCTTTTGATTCAGCAGTTTTGAATCTCTCTTTTTGCAGAATCTGTGAGCGGATATTTGGAGCGCTTTGAGGCCTACTGTGGAAAACCAAATATGTTCACATAAAAACTACACAGAAGCATCCTGAGAAACTTTTTTTGTGATGTGGTCTTTCAGCTAATGGAGTAGAAACTATCTTTTGATTGAGCAGTTTTGAATCTCTCTTTTTGCAGAATCTACGAGTGGATAATTGGAGAACTTTGAGGCGTACTGTGGAAAATCGAATATCTTCGCATAAAAACTACACAGAAGCATTCTGAGAAACTTCTCTGTCATACGTACATTCATCTCACAGGGTTGATCCTATTTCATGATTGAGCAGTTTTGGAACACTCTTTTTGTAGAATCTGCAAGTGAATATTTGGAGCTCTTTGGGGCCTACTGTGGAAAAACAAATATCTTCACATAAAAACTACACAGAAGCATTCTGAGAAACTACTTTGTGATGTGTGCATTCATCCCACAGAGTAGAACCTTTCTTTTGATTGAGCAGTTTCGAAACACTCTTTTGGTGGAATCTGCAAGTGGACATTTGGAAAGCTTTGAGGCCTATTGTGGAAAGGGAAATATCTTCAAATAAAAACCACCCAGAAGTACTCTGTGAAACTTCTTTGCGATGTATGCATTCAACTCACAGTGTTGAACCTATGTTTTGATTGAGCAGTTTGGAATCTCTCTTTCTGTAGAATCTGCAAGTGAATATTTGGAGCCCTATTTCGCCCTATACTGGAAAAGCAATTATCTTCAAATAAAAACTGCACAGAAGCACTCAGAGAAACTTCTTTGAGATGAATGCATTCATGACAGAGAGTTGAAACTTTGTTTTGATTTAGGAGTTTTGAGACAATCTTTCCGTAGAATCTTGAAGTGAATATTTGGAGGGCTTGGAGTTCTGTTTTAGAGAAGAAGATATCTTCATCAAAAACTACACAGAAGCTTTCTGAGAAACTTCTTTGTGATGTGTGCATTCAACTATCGGAGTTGAACCTATCTTATGATTGAGCAGTTTGGAAACACTCTTTGTAGAGTCTGCAAGTGGATATTTACAGAGATTTGAGGCCTATTGTGGAAAAGGAAGTATCTTCACATAAAAACCACACAGAAGCACTCTGAAAAACATCTTTGGGATGTGTGCATTCAACTAACCGTGTTGAAACAATGTTTTGATTGAGCAGCTTAGAATCTCTCTTTTTGTAGGAAATGCAAGTGGATATTTGGAGCCCCATTTCGCCCTATGGTGGAAAACGAAACATACTCACAAAAAAGCTGCAGAGAAGCATTCTGAGAAACTTCTTTGCGATGTTGGCATTCAACTCACAGAGTCGAATCTATCTTTTGATAGAGCAGTTTTGTATCTCTCTTTTTGCAGAATCTGCAAGTGGATATTTGGAAAGCTTTGAGGCCTATTGTGGAAAGGGAAATATCCTCAAATAAAAACTACCCAGAAGCACTCTGTGAAACTTCTTTGTGATGTGTGCATTCAACTCACAGTGTTGAACCTATGTTTTGATTGAGCAGTTTGGAATCTCTCCTTTTGTAGAATCTGCAAGTGAATATTTGGAGCCCTATTTCGCCCTATACTGGAAAAGCAAATATCTTCAAATAAAAACTACACAGAGGCATTCAGAGAAACTTCTCTGTGATGAGTGCATTCATCACACAGAGTTGAACATTTGTTTAGATTTAGCAGTGTTGAGACAATCTTTCCGTAGAATTTTGAAGTGAATATTTGGAGGGCTTTGAGACCTGCTTTGGAGAAGGAGATATCTTCATATAAAAACTACACAGAAGCTTTCTGAGAAACACCCTTGTGAGGTGTGCATTGAAGTCACAGAGTTAAACCTATCTTTTGATTCAGCAGATTTGAATCTCTCTTTTTGCAGAATCTGCGAGTGGATATTTGGAGTGCTTGGAAGCCTGCTGTGGAAAATCAAATATCTTCACAAAAAAAACTACACAGAAGCATTCTGAGAAACTTCTTTGTGATGTGTGCATTGATCTCACAGAGTTGAAAGTTTATTTTGATTGAGCTGTTTTGAAACACTCTTTTTCTAGAATCTGCAAGTGGATAATTGGGGAGATTTGAGGCATATTGTGGAAAAGCAAATATCTTCATATAGAAACTATACAGAAACCTTCTGAGAAACATCTTTGTGATGTGTGCATTCAGCTCACAGAGCTGGACCTAACTTTTGAGTGACCAGTTTTGAATCTCTCTTTTTGTACAATATGCAAGTGGATATTTGGAGCGATTTGAGGCCTACATTTGAAAATCAAATATCTTCCCTTAAAAACTACACAGAAACATTCTCAGAAATTGTTTGTCATGTGTGCTTTCCAATTACCAAGTTGAACCTATCTTGTGATTGAGCAGTTTGGAATCTCTCTTTTTGTGGAATCGGCAAGTGGATATTTTTAGCCCTTTGCGGACTGTGGTGGAAAAGGAATTATCTTCAAATCAATTCTACACAGAAGCATTCAGACAAACTTCTTTGTGATGAGTGCATTGGTCACACAGAATTGAACCTTCCCTTTGATTGAGCAATTCTGAAACACTCTTTTGGAGGGTCTGCAAGTGGACATTTTAGAGCTTTGGGACAACTGTGGAAAAGTAAATATCTTCACATAAAAACTACACGGAAGCATTCTGAGAAACTTCTTTGGAGGTGTGCATTCAACTCACAGAGTTGAACCTATCTTTTCATTGAGCAGTTTTGAATCTCTCATTTTGTAGACTCTGCTCGCAGATATTTGGAGAGCTTTGAGGCCTATTGTGGAAAAGGAAATATCTTCACATAAAAACACACAGAAGCACTCTGAGAAACTTCTTTGTGAGGTGTGCTTTCAACTCACAGAGTTGAACCTATCTTTTGATTGAGAAGTTTTGAATCTCTCTTTTTGTAGAAGCTGCATGTGGATATTTGGAGACGTTTGTGGCCTATGGTAGAAAAGGAAATATCTTCAAATAAAAACTAGACAGACGCATTTTGAGAAAATTCTCTGTGCTGTGTGCATTCATATCACATGGTTGAAACTACCTTTGGATTGAGCAGTTTTGAATCTCACTTTTTGTACCATCTGCAATGGATATTTGGAGCCCTTTCTGGTCTGTGGTGGAAAAGGAACTATCCTCAAATAGAAACTACACAGAAGTACTCTGAGAAACTTCTTTGTGATGTGGGCATTCATCTCACAGAGTTGAACCTTTGGTTTGATTGAGCAGTTTTGAGACAATCTTTCCATAGAATCTGGAAGTGAATATTTGGAGAACTTTGAGATCCATTTTGGAGAAGGAGATATCTTTATATAAAAACTACACAGAAGCATTCTGAGAAACATCCTTGTGAGGTGTGCACTGAAGTCACAGAGTTGAAACTGTCTTTTGATTCAGCAGTTTTGAATCTCTCTTTTTGCAGAATCTGTGAGTGGATATTTGGAGCGCTTTGAGGCCTACTGTGGAAAACCAAATATCTTCACATAAAAACTACACAGAAGCATCCTGAGAAACTTTTTTTGCGATGTGGTCTTTCAGCTAATGGAGTAGAAACTATCTTTTGATTGAGCAGTTTTGAATCTCTCTTTTTGCAGAATCTACGAGTGGATAATTGGAGAACTTTGAGGCGTACTGTGGAAAATCGAATATCTTCGCATAAAAACTACACAGAAGCATTCTGAGAAACTTCTCTGTCATACGTACATTCATCTCACAGGGTTGATCCTATTTCATGATTGAGCAGTTTTGGAACACTCCTTTTGTAGAATCTGTAAGTGAATATTTGGAGCTCCTTGGGGCCTACTGTGGAAAAACCAATATCTTCACATAAAAACTACACAGAAGCATTCTGAGAAACTACTTTGTGATGTGTGCATTCATCCCACAGAGTAGAACCTTTCTTTTGATTGAGCAGTTTCGAAACACTCTTTTGGTGGAATCTGCAAGTGGACATTTGGAAAGCTTTGAGGCCTATTGTGGAAAGGGAAATATCTTCAAATAAAAACCACCCAGAAGTACTCTGTGAAACTTCTTTGCGATGTATGCATTCAACTCACAGTGTTGAACCTATGTTTTGATTGAGCAGTTTGGAATCTCTCTTTCTGTAGAATCTGCAAGTGAATATTTGGAGCCCTATTTCGCCCTATACTGGAAAAGCAATTATCTTCAAATAAAAACTGCACAGAAGCACTCAGAGAAACTTCTTTGTGATGAATGCATTCATCACACAGAGTTGAACCTTTGTTTTGATTTAGCAGTTTGAGACAATCTTTCCGTAGAATCTTGAAGTGAATATTTGGAGGGCTTGGAGTTCTGTTTTAGAGAAGAAGATATCTTCATCAAAAACTACACAGAAGCTTTCTGAGAAACTTCTTTGTGATGTGTGCATTCAACTATCGGAGTTGAACCTATCTTATGATTGAGGAGTTTGGAAACACTCTTTGTAGAGTCTGCAAGTGGATATTTACAGAGATTTGAGGCCTATTGTGGAAAAGGAAGTATCTTCACATAAAAACCACACAGAAGCACTCTGAAAAACATCTTTGGGATGTGTGCATTCAACTAACCGTGTTGAAACAATGTTTTGATTGAGCAGCTTAGAATCTCTCTTTTTGTAGGAAATGCAAGTGGATATTTGGAGCCCCATTTCGCCCTATGGTGGAAAACGAAACATACTCACAAAAAAGCTGCAGAGAAGCATTCTGAGAAACTTCTTTGCGATGTTGGCATTCAACTCACAGAGTCGAATCTATCTTTTGATAGAGCAGTTTTGTATCTCTCTTTTTGCAGAATCTGCAAGTGAATATTTGGAAAGCTTTGAGGCCTATTGTGGAAAGGGAAATATCCTCAAATAAAAACTACCCAGAAGCACTCTGTGAAACTTCTTTGTGATGTGTGCATTCAACTCACAAGTGTTGAACCTATGTTTTGATTGAGCAGTTTGGAATCTCTCCTTTTGTAGAATCTGCAAGTGAATATTTGGAGCCCTATTTCGCCCTATACTGGAAAAGCAAATATCTTCAAATAAAAACTACACAGAGGCATTCAGAGAAACTTCTCTGTGATGAGTGCATTCATCACACAGAGTTGAACATTTGTTTAGATTTAGCAGTGTTGAGACAATCTTTCCGTAGAATCTTGAAGTGAATATTTGGAGGGCTTTGAGACCTGCTTTGGAGAAGGAGATATCTTCATATAAAAACTACACAGAAGCTTTCTGAGAAACACCCTTGTGAGGTGTGCATTGAAGTCACAGAGTTAAACCTATCTTTTGATTCAGCAGATTTGAATCTCTCTTTTTGCAGAATCTGCGAGTGGATATTTGGAGTGCTTGGAAGCCTGCTGTGGAAAATCAAATATCTTCACAAAAAAAACTACACAGAAGCATTCTGAGAAACTTCTTTGTGATGTGTGCATTGATCTCACAGAGTTGAAAGTTTATTTGGATTGAGCTGTTTTGAAACACTCTTTTTCTAGAATCTGCAAGTGGATAATTGGGGAGATTTGAGGCATATTGTGGAAAAGCAAATATCTTCATATAGAAACTATACAGAAACCTTCTGAGAAACATCTTTGTGATGTGTGCATTCAGCTCACAGAGCTGGACCTAACTTTTGAGTGACCAGTTTTGAATCTCTCTTTTTGTACAATATGCAAGTGGATATTTGGAGCGATTTGAGGCCTACATTTGAAAATCAAATATCTTCCCTTAAAAACTACACAGAAACATTCTCAGAAATTGTTTGTCATGTGTGCTTTCCAATTACCAAGTTGAACCTATCTTGTGATTGAGCAGTTTTGAATCTCTCTTTTTGTGGAATCGGCAAGTGGATATTTTTAGCCCTTTGCGGACTGTGGTGGAAAAGGAATTATCTTCAAATCAATTCTACACAGAAGCATTCAGACAAACTTCTTTGTGATGAGTGCATTGGTCACACAGAATTGAACCTTCCCTTTGATTGAGCAATTCTGAAACACTCTTTTGGAGGGTCTGCAAGTGGATATTTTAGAGCTTTGGGACAACTGTGGAAAAGTAAATATCTTCACATAAAAACTACACGGAAGCATTCTGAGAAACTTCTTTGGAGGTGTGCATTCAACTCACAGAGTTGAACCTATCTTTTCATTGAGCAGTTTTGAATCTCTCATTTTGTAGACTCTGCTCGCAGATATTTGGAGAGCTTTGAGGCCTATTGTGGAAAAGGAAATATCTTCACATAAAAACACACAGAAGCACTCTGAGAAACTTCTTTGTGAGGTGTGCTTTCAACTCACAGAGTTGAACCTATCTTTTGATTGAGAAGTTTTGAATCTCTCTTTTTGTAGAAGCTGCATGTGGATATTTGGAGACGTTTGTGGCCTATGGTAGAAAAGGAAATATCTTCAAATAAAAACTAGACAGACGCATTTTGAGAAAATTCTCTGTGCTGTGTGCATTCATATCACATGGTTGAAACTACCTTTGGATTGAGCAGTTTTGAATCTCACTTTTTGTACCATCTGCAATGGATATATGGAGCCCTTTCTGGTCTGTGGTGGAAAAGGAACTATCCTCAAATAGAAACTACACAGAAGTACTCTGAGAAACTTCTTTGTGATGTGGGCATTCATCTCACAGAGTTGAACCTTTGGTTTGATTGAGCAGTTTTGAGACAATCTTTCCATAGAATCTGGAAGTGAATATTTGGAGAACTTTGAGATCCATTTTGGAGAAGGAGATATCTTTATATAAAAACTACACAGAAGCATTCTGAGAAACATCCTTGTGAGGTGTGCACTGAAGTCACAGAGTTGAAACTGTCTTTTGATTCAGCAGTTTTGAATCTCTCTTTTTGCAGAGTCTGTGAGCGGATATTTGGAGCGCTTTGAGGCCTACTGTGGAAAACCAATATATGTTCACATAAAAACTACACAGAAGCATCCTGAGAAACTTTTTTTGTGATGTGGTCTTTCAGCTAATGGAGTAGAAACTATCTTTTGATTGAGCAGTTTTGAATCTCTCTTTTTGCAGAATCTACGAGTGGATAATTGGAGAACTTTGAGGCGTACTGTGGAAAATCGAATATCTTCGCATAAAAACTACACAGAAGCATTCTGAGAAACTTCTCTGTCATACGTACATTCATCTCACAGGGTTGATCCTATTTCATGATTGAGCAGTTTTGGAACACTCTTTTTGTAGAATCTGCAAGTGAATATTTGGAGCTCTTTGGGGCCTACTGTGGAAAAACAAATATCTTCACATAAAAACTACACAGAAGCATTCTGAGAAACTACTTTGTGATGTGTGCATTCATCCCACAGAGTAGAACCTTTCTTTTGATTGAGCAGTTTCGAAACACTCTTTTGGTGGAATCTGCAAGTGGACATTTGGAAAGCTTTGAGGCCTAGTGTGGAAAGGGAAATATCTTCAAATAAAAACCACCCAGAAGTACTCTGTGAAACTTCTTTGCGATGTATGCATTCAACTCACAGTGTTGAACCTATGTTTTGATTGAGCAGTTTGGAATCTCTCTTTCTGTAGAATCTGCAAGTGAATATTTGGAGCCCTATTTCGCCCTATACTGGAAAAGCAATTATCTTCAAATAAAAACTGCACAGAAGCATTCAGAGAAAGTTCTTTGAGATGAATGCATTCATGACACAGAGTTGAAACTTTGTTTTGATTTAGGAGTTTTGAGACAATCTTTCCGTAGAATCTTGAAGTGAATATTTGGAGGGCTTGGAGTTCTGTTTTAGAGAAGGAGATATCTTCATCAAAAACTACACAGAAGCTTTCTGAGAAACTTCTTTGTGATGTGTGCATTCAACTATCGGAGTTGAACCTATCTTATGATTGAGCAGTTTGGAAACACTCTTTGTAGAGTCTGCAAGTGGATATTTACAGAGATTTGAGGCCTATTGTGGAAAAGGAAGTATCTTCACATAAAAACCACACAGAAGCACTCTGAAAAACATCTTTGGGATGTGTGCATTCAACTAACCGTGTTGAAACAATGTTTTGATTGAGCAGCTTAGAATCTCTCTTTTTGTAGGAAATGCAAGTGGATATTTGGAGCCCCATTTCGCCCTATGGTGGAAAAGGAAACATACTCACAAAAAAGCTGCAGAGAAGCATTCTGAGAAACTTCTTTGCGATGTTGGCATTCAACTCACAGAGTCGAATCTATCTTTTGATAGAGCAGTTTTGTATCTCTCTTTTTGCAGAATCTGCAAGTGGATATTTGGAAAGCTTTGAGGCCTATTGTGGAAAGGGAAATATCCTCAAATAAAAACTACCCAGAAGCACTCTGTGAAACTTCTTTGTGATGTGTGCATTCAACTCACAGTGTTGAACCTATGTTTTGATTGAGCAGTTTGGAATCTCTCCTTTTGTAGAATCTGCAAGTGAATATTTGGAGCCCTATTTCGCCCTATACTGGAAAAGCAAATATCTTCAAATAAAAACTACACAGAGGCATTCAGAGAAACTTCTCTGTGATGAGTGCATTCATCACACAGAGTTGAACATTTGTTTAGATTTAGCAGTGTTGAGACAATCTTTCCGTAGAATCTTGAAGTGAATATTTGGAGGGCTTTGAGACCTGCTTTGGAGAAGGAGATATCTTCATATAAAAACTACACAGAAGCTTTCTGAGAAACACCCTTGTGAGGTGTGCATTGAAGTCACAGAGTTAAACCTATCTTTTGATTCAGCAGATTTGAATCTCTCTTTTTGCAGAATCTGCGAGTGGATATTTGGAGTGCTTGGAAGCCTGCTGTGGAAAATCAAATATCTTCACAAAAAAAACTACACAGAAGCATTCTGAGAAACTTCTTTGTGATGTGTGCATTGATCTCACAGAGTTGAAAGTTTATTTTGATTGAGCTGTTTTGAAACACTCTTTTTCTAGAATCTGCAAGTGGATAATTGGGGAGATTTGAGGCATATTGTGGAAAAGCCAATATCTTCATATAGAAACTATACAGAAACCTTCTGAGAAACATCTTTGTGATGTGTGCATTCAGCTCACAGAGCTGGACCTAACTTTTGAGTGACCAGTTTTGAATCTCTCTTTTTGTACAATATGCAAGTGGATATTTGGAGCGATTTGAGGCCTACATTTGAAAATCAAATATCTTCCCTTAAAAACTACACAGAAACATTCTCAGAAATTGTTTGTCATGTGTGCTTTCCAATTACCA
This sequence comes from Homo sapiens, assembly GCF_000001405.40. NCBI lineage: Eukaryota > Metazoa > Chordata > Mammalia > Primates > Hominidae > Homo > Homo sapiens. The sequence continues at coordinate 17,797,909 of NC_000015.10, forward strand.
AGTTGAACCTATCTTGTGATTGAGCAGTTTTGAATCTCTCTTTTTGTGGAATCGGCAAGTGGATATTTTTAGCCCTTTGCGGACTGTGGTGGAAAAGGAATTATCTTCAAATCAATTCTACACAGAAGCATTCAGACAAACTTCTTTGTGATGAGTGCATTGGTCACACAGAATTGAACCTTCCCTTTGATTGAGCAATTCTGAAACACTCTTTTGGAGGGTCTGCAAGTGGACATTTTAGAGCTTTGGGACAACTGTGGAAAAGTAAATATCTTCACATAAAAACTACACGGAAGCATTCTGAGAAACTTCTTTGGAGGTGTGCATTCAACTCACAGAGTTGAACCTATCTTTTCATTGAGCAGTTTTGAATCTCTCATTTTGTAGACTCTGCTCGCAGATATTTGGAGAGCTTTGAGGCCTATTGTGGAAAAGGAAATATCTTCACATAAAAACACACAGAAGCACTCTGAGAAACTTCTCTGTGAGGTGTGCTTTCAACTCACAGAGTTGAACCTATCTTTTGATTGAGAAGTTTTGAATCTCTCTTTTTGTAGAAGCTGCATGTGGATATTTGGAGACGTTTGTGGCCTATGGTAGAAAAGGAAATATCTTCAAATAAAAACTAGACAGACGCATTTTGAGAAAATTCTCTGTGCTGTGTGCATTCATATCACATGGTTGAAACTACCTTTGGATTGAGCAGTTTTGAATCTCACTTTTTGTACCATCTGCAATGGATATTTGGAGCCCTTTCTGGTCTGTGGTGGAAAAGGAACTATCCTCAAATAGAAACTACACAGAAGTACTCTGAGAAACTTCTTTGTGATGTGGGCATTCATCTCACAGAGTTGAACCTTTGGTTTGATTGAGCAGTTTTGAGACAATCTTTCCATAGAATCTGGAAGTGAATATTTGGAGAACTTTGAGATCCATTTTGGAGAAGGAGATATCTTTATATGAAAACTACACAGAAGCATTCTGAGAAACATCCTTGTGAGGTGTGCACTGAAGTCACAGAGTTGAAACTGTCTTTTGATTCAGCAGTTTTGAATCTCTCTTTTTGCAGAATCTGTGAGTGGATATTTGGAGCGCTTTGAGGCCTACTGTGGAAAACCAAATATCTTCACATAAAAACTACACAGAAGCATCCTGAGAAACTTTTTTTGTGATGTGGTCTTTCAGCTAATGGAGTAGAAACTATCTTTTGATTGAGCAGTTTTGAATCTCTCTTTTTGCAGAATCTACGAGTGGATAATTGGAGAACTTTGAGGCGTACTGTGGAAAATCGAATATCTTCGCATAAAAACTACACAGAAGCATTCTGAGAAACTTCTCTGTCATACGTACATTCATCTCACAGGGTTGATCCTATTTCATGATTGAGCAGTTCTGGAACACTCTTTTTGTAGAATCTGCAAGTGAATATTTGAAGCTCTTTGGGGCCTACTGTGGAAAAACAAATATCTTCACATAAAAACTACACAGAAGCATTCTGAGAAACTACTTTGTGATGTGTGCATTCATCCCACAGAGTAGAACCTTTCTTTTGATTGAGCAGTTTCGAAACACTCTTTTGGTGGAATCTGCAAGTGGACATTTGGAAAGCTTTGAGGCCTATTGTGGAAAGGGAAATATCTTCAAATAAAAACCACCCAGAAGTACTCTGTGAAACTTCTTTGCGATGTATGCATTCAACTCACAGTGTTGAACCTATGTTTTGATTGAGCAGTTTGGAATCTCTCTTTCTGTAGAATCTGCAAGTGAATATTTGGAGCCCTATTTCGCCCTATACTGGAAAAGCAATTATCTTCAAATAAAAACTGCACAGAAGCATTCAGAGAAACTTCTTTGAGATGAATGCATTCATGACACAGAGTTGAAACTTTGTTTTGATTTAGGAGTTTTGAGACAATCTTTCCGTAGAATCTTGAAGTGAATATTTGGAGGGCTTGGAGTTCTGTTTTAGAGAAGGAGATATCTTCATCAAAAACTACACAGAAGCTTTCTGAGAAACTTCTTTGTGATGTGTGCATTCAACTATCGGAGTTGAACCTATCTTATGATTGAGCAGTTTGGAAACACTCTTTGTAGAGTCTGCAAGTGGATATTTACAGAGATTTGAGGCCTATTGTGGAAAAGGAAGTATCTTCACATAAAAACCACACAGAAGCACTCTGAAAAACATCTTTGGGATGTGTGCATTCAACTAACCGTGTTGAAACAATGTTTTGATTGAGCAGCTTAGAATCTCTCTTTTTGTAGGAAATGCAAGTGTATATTTGGAGCCCCATTTCGCCCTATGGTGGAAAACGAAACATACTCACAAAAAAGCTGCAGAGAAGCATTCTGAGAAACTTCTTTGCGATGTTGGCATTCAACTCACAGAGTCGAATCTATCTTTTGATAGAGCAGTTTTGTATCTCTCTTTTTGCAGAATCTGCAAGTGGATATTTGGAAAGCTTTGAGGCCTATTGTGGAAAGGGAAATATCCTCAAATAAAAACTACCCAGAAGCACTCTGTGAAACTTCTTTGTGATGTGTGCATTCAACTCACAGTGTTGAACCTATGTTTTGATTGAGCAGTTTGGAATCTCTCCTTTTGTAGAATCTGCAAGTGAATATTTGGAGCCCTATTTCGCCCTATACTGGAAAAGCAAATATCTTCAAATAAAAACTACACAGAGGCCTTCAGAGAAACTTCTCTGTGATGAGTGCATTCATCACACAGAGTTGAACATTTGTTTAGATTTAGCAGTGTTGAGACAATCTTTCCGTAGAATCTTGAAGTGAATATTTGGAGGGCTTTGAGACCTGCTTTGGAGAAGGAGATATCTTCATATAAAAACTACACAGAAGCTTTCTGAGAAACACCCTTGAGAGGTGTGCATTGAAGTCACAGAGTTAAACCTATCTTTTGATTCAGCAGATTTGAATCTCTCTTTTTGCAGAATCTGCGAGTGGATATTTGGAGTGCTTGGAAGCCTGCTGTGGAAAATCAAATATCTTCACAAAAAAAAACTACACAGAAGCATTCTGAGAAACTTCTTTGTGATGTGTGCATTGATCTCACAGAGTTGAAAGTTTATTTTGATTGAGCTGTTTTGAAACACTCTTTTTCTAGAATCTGCAAGTGGATAATTGGGGAGATTTGAGGCATATTGTGGAAAAGCAAATATCTTCATATAGAAACTATACAGAAACCTTCTGAGAAACATCTTTGTGATGTGTGCATTCAGCTCACAGAGCTGGACCTAACTTTTGAGTGACCAGTTTTGAATCTCTCTTTTTGTACAATATGCAAGTGGATATTTGGAGCGATTTGAGGCCTACATTTGAAAATCAAATATCTTCCCTTAAAAACTACACAGAAACATTCTCAGAAATTGTTTGTCATGTGTGCTTTCCAATTACCAAGTTGAACCTATCTTGTGATTGAGCAGTTTTGAATCTCTCTTTTTGTGGAATCGGCAAGTGGATATTTTTAGCCCTTTGCGGACTGTGGTGGAAAAGGAATTATCTTCAAATCAATTCTACACAGAAGCATTCAGACAAACTTCTTTGTGATGAGTGCATTGGTCACACAGAATTGAACCTTCCCTTTGATTGAGCAATTCTGAAACACTCTTTTGGAGGGTCTGCAAGTGGATATTTTAGAGCTTTGGGACAACTGTGGAAAAGTAAATATCTTCACATAAAAACTACACGGAAGCATTCTGAGAAACTTCTTTGGAGGTGTGCATTCAACTCACAGAGTTGAACCTATCTTTTCATTGAGCAGTTTTGAATCTCTCATTTTGTAGACTCTGCTCGCAGATATTTGGAGAGCTTTGAGGCCTATTGTGGAAAAGGAAATATCTTCACATAAAAACACACAGAAGCACTCTGAGAAACTTCTTTGTGAGGTGTGCTTTCAACTCACAGAGTTGAACCTATCTTTTGATTGAGAAGTTTTGAATCTCTCTTTTTGTAGAAGCTGCATGTGGATATTTGGAGACGTTTGTGGCCTATGGTAGAAAAGGAAATATCTTCAAATAAAAACTAGACAGACGCATTTTGAGAAAATTCTCTGTGCTGTGTGCATTCATATCACATGGTTGAAACTACCTTTGGATTGAGCAGTTTTGAATCTCACTTTTTGTACCATCTGCAATGGATATTTGGAGCCCTTTCTGGTCTGTGGTGGAAAAGGAACTATCCTCAAATAGAAACTACACAGAAGTACTCTGAGAAACTTCTTTGTGATGTGGGCATTCATCTCACAGAGTTGAACCTTTGGTTTGATTGAGCAGTTTTGAGACAATCTTTCCATAGAATCTGGAAGTGAATATTTGGAGAACTTTGAGATCCATTTTGGAGAAGGAGATATCTTTATATGAAAACTACACAGAAGCATTCTGAGAAACATCCTTGTGAGGTGTGCACTGAAGTCACAGAGTTGAAACTGTCTTTTGATTCAGCAGTTTTGAATCTCTCTTTTTGCAGAATCTGTGAGTGGATATTTGGAGCGCTTTGAGGCCTACTGTGGAAAACCAAATATCTTCACATAAAAACTACACAGAAGCATCCTGAGAAACTTTTTTTGTGATGTGGTCTTTCAGCTAATGGAGTAGAAACTATCTTTTGATTGAGCAGTTTTGAATCTCTCTTTTTGCAGAATCTACGAGTGGATAATTGGAGAACTTTGAGGCGTACTGTGGAAAATCGAATATCTTCGCATAAAAACTACACAGAAGCATTCTGAGAAACTTCTCTGTCATACGTACATTCATCTCACAGGGTTGATCCTATTTCATGATTGAGCAGTTTTGGAACACTCTTTTTGTAGAATCTGCAAGTGAATATTTGGAGCTCTTTGGGGCCTACTGTGGAAAAACAAATATCTTCACATAAAAACTACACAGAAGCATTCTGAGAAACTACTTTGTGATGTGTGCATTCATCCCACAGAGTAGAACCTTTCTTTTGATTGAGCAGTTTCGAAACACTCTTTTGGTGGAATCTGCAAGTGGACATTTGGAAAGCTTTGAGGCCTATTGTGGAAAGGGAAATATCTTCAAATAAAAACCACCCAGAAGTACTCTGTGAAACTTCTTTGCGATGTATGCATTCAACTCACAGTGTTGAACCTATGTTTTGATTGAGCAGTTTGGAATCTCTCTTTCTGTAGAATCTGCAAGTGAATATTTGGAGCCCTATTTCGCCCTATACTGGAAAAGCAATTATCTTCAAATAAAAACTGCACAGAAGCACTCAGAGAAACTTCTTTGTGATGAATGCATTCATCACACAGAGTTGAACCTTTGTTTTGATTTAGCAGTTTGAGACAATCTTTCCGTAGAATCTTGAAGTGAATATTTGGAGGGCTTGGAGTTCTGTTTTAGAGAAGAAGATATCTTCATCAAAAACTACACAGAAGCTTTCTGAGAAACTTCTTTGTGATGTGTGCATTCAACTATCGGAGTTGAACCTATCTTATGATTGAGGAGTTTGGAAACACTCTTTGTAGAGTCTGCAAGTGGATATTTACAGAGATTTGAGGCCTATTGTGGAAAAGGAAGTATCTTCACATAAAAACCACACAGAAGCACTCTGAAAATCATCTTTGGGATGTGTGCATTCAACTAACCGTGTTGAAACAATGTTTTGATTGAGCAGCTTAGAATCTCTCTTTTTGTAGGAAATGCAAGTGGATATTTGGAGCCCCATTTCGCCCTATGGTGGAAAACGAAACATACTCACAAAAAAGCTGCAGAGAAGCATTCTGAGAAACTTCTTTGCGATGTTGGCATTCAACTCACAGAGTCGAATCTATCTTTTGATAGAGCAGTTTTGTATCTCTCTTTTTGCAGAATCTGCAAGTGGATATTTGGAAAGCTTTGAGGCCTATTGTGGAAAGGGAAATATCCTCAAATAAAAACTACCCAGAAGCACTCTGTGAAACTTCTTTGTGATGTGTGCATTCAACTCACAGTGTTGAACCTATGTTTTGATTGAGCAGTTTGGAATCTCTCCTTTTGTAGAATCTGCAAGTGAATATTTGGAGCCCTATTTCGCCCTATACTGGAAAAGCAAATATCTTCAAATAAAAACTACACAGAGGCATTCAGAGAAACTTCTCTGTGATGAGTGCATTCATCACACAGAGTTGAACATTTGTTTAGATTTAGCAGTGTTGAGACAATCTTTCCGTAGAATCTTGAAGTGAATATTTGGAGGGCTTTGAGACCTGCTTTGGAGAAGGAGATATCTTCATATAAAAACTACACAGAAGCTTTCTGAGAAACACCCTTGTGAGGTGTGCATTGAAGTCACAGAGTTAAACCTATCTTTTGATTCAGCAGATTTGAATCTCTCTTTTTGCAGAATCTGCGAGTGGATATTTGGAGTGCTTGGAAGCCTGCTGTGGAAAATCAAATATCTTCACAAAAAAAACTACACAGAAGCATTCTGAGAAACTTCTTTGTGATGTGTGCATTGATCTCACAGAGTTGAAAGTTTATTTTGATTGAGCTGTTTTGAAACACTCTTTTTCTAGAATCTGCAAGTGGATAATTGGGGAGATTTGAGGCATATTGTGGAAAAGCAAATATCTTCATATAAAAACTATACAGAAACCTTCTGAGAAACATCTTTGTGATGTGTGCATTCAGCTCACAGAGCTGGACCTAACTTTTGAGTGACCAGTTTTGAATCTCTCTTTTTGTACAATATGCAAGTGGATATTTGGAGCGATTTGAGGCCTACATTTGAAAATCAAATATCTTCCCTTAAAAACTACACAGAAACATTCTCAGAAATTGTTTGTCATGTGTGCTTTCCAATTACCAAGTTGAACCTATCTTGTGATTGAACAGTTTTGAATCTCTCTTTTTGTGGAATCGGCAAGTGGATATTTTTAGCCCTTTGCGGACTGTGGTGGAAAAGGAATTATCTTCAAATCAATTCTACACAGAAGCATTCAGACAAACTTCTTTGTGATGAGTGCATTGGTCACACAGAATTGAACCTTCCCTTTGATTGAGCAATTCTGAAACACTCTTTTGGAGGGTCTGCAAGTGGACATTTTAGAGCTTTGGGACAACTGTGGAAAAGTAAATATCTTCACATAAAAACTACACGGAAGCATTCTGAGAAACTTCTTTGGAGGTGTGCATTCAACTCACAGAGTTGAACCTATCTTTTCATTGAGCAGTTTTGAATCTCTCATTTTGTAGACTCTGCTCGCAGATATTTGGAGAGCTTTGAGGCCTATTGTGGAAAAGGAAATATCTTCACATAAAAACACACAGAAGCACTCTGAGAAACTTCTCTGTGAGGTGTGCTTTCAACTCACAGAGTTGAACCTATCTTTTGATTGAGAAGTTTTGAATCTCTCTTTTTGTAGAAGCTGCATGTGGATATTTGGAGACGTTTGTGGCCTATGGTAGAAAAGGAAATATCTTCAAATAAAAACTAGGCAGACGCATTTTGAGAAAATTCTCTGTGCTGTGTGCATTCATATCACATGGTTGAAACTACCTTTGGATTGAGCAGTTTTGAATCTCACTTTTTGTACCATCTGCAATGGATATTTGGAGCCCTTTCTGGTCTGTGGTGGAAAAGGAACTATCCTCAAATAGAAACTACACAGAAGTACTCTGAGAAACTTCTTTGTGATGTGGGCATTCATCTCACAGAGTTGAACCTTTGGTTTGATTGAGCAGTTTTGAGACAATCTTTCCATAGAATCTGGAAGTGAATATTTGGAGAACTTTGAGATCCATTTTGGAGAAGGAGATATCTTTATATGAAAACTACACAGAAGCATTCTGAGAAACATCCTTGTGAGGTGTGCACTGAAGTCACAGAGTTGAAACTGTCTTTTGATTCAGCAGTTTTGAATCTCTCTTTTTGCAGAATCTGTGAGTGGATATTTGGAGCGCTTTGAGGCCTACTGTGGAAAACCAAATATCTTCACATAAAAACTACACAGAAGCATCCTGAGAAACTTTTTTTGTGATGTGGTCTTTCAGCTAATGGAGTAGAAACTATCTTTTGATTGAGCAGTTTTGAATCTCTCTTTTTGCAGAATCTACGAGTGGATAATTGGAGAACTTTGAGGCGTACTGTGGAAAATCGAATATCTTCGCATAAAAACTACACAGAAGCATTCTGAGAAACTTCTCTGTCATACGTACATTCATCTCACAGGGTTGATCCTATTTCATGATTGAGCAGTTTTGGAACACTCTTTTTGTAGAATCTGCAAGTGAATATTTGGAGCTCTTTGGGGCCTACTGTGGAAAAACAAATATCTTCACATAAAAACTACACAGAAGCATTCTGAGAAACTACTTTGTGATGTGTGCATTCATCCCACAGAGTAGAACCTTTCTTTTGATTGAGCAGTTTCGAAACACTCTTTTGGTGGAATCTGCAAGTGGACATTTGGAAAGCTTTGAGGCCTATTGTGGAAAGGGAAATATCTTCAAATAAAAACCACCCAGAAGTACTCTGTGAAACTTCTTTGCGATGTATGCATTCAACTCACAGTGTTGAACCTATGTTTTGATTGAGCAGTTTGGAATCTCTCTTTCTGTAGAATCTGCAAGTGAATATTTGGAGCCCTATTTCGCCCTATACTGGAAAAGCAATTATCTTCAAATAAAAACTGCACAGAAGCACTCAGAGAAACTTCTTTGAGATGAATGCGTTCATGACACAGAGTTGAAACTTTGTTTTGATTTAGGAGTTTTGAGACAATCTTTCCGTAGAATCTTGAAGTGAATATTTGGAGGGCTTGGAGTTCTGTTTTAGAGAAGGAGATATCTTCATCAAAAACTACACAGAAGCTTTCTGAGAAACTTCTTTGTGATGTGTGCATTCAACTATCGGAGTTGAACCTATCTTATGATTGAGGAGTTTGGAAACACTCTTTGTAGAGTCTGCAAGTGGATATTTACAGAGATTTGAGGCCTATTGTGGAAAAGGAAGTATCTTCACATAAAAACCACACAGAAGCACTCTGAAAAACATCTTTGGGATGTGTGCATTCAACTAACCGTGTTGAAACAATGTTTTGATTGAGCAGCTTAGAATCTCTCTTTTTGTAGGAAATGCAAGTGGATATTTGGAGCCCCATTTCGCCCTATGGTGGAAAACGAAACATACTCACAAAAAAGCTGCAGAGAAGCATTCTGAGAAACTTCTTTGCGATGTTGGCATTCAACTCACAGAGTCGAATCTATCTTTTGATAGAGCAGTTTTGTATCTCTCTTTTTGCAGAATCTGCAAGTGAATATTTGGAAAGCTTTGAGGCCTATTGTGGAAAGGGAAATATCCTCAAATAAAAACTACCCAGAAGCACTCTGTGAAACTTCTTTGTGATGTGTGCATTCAACTCACAAGTGTTGAACCTATGTTTTGATTGAGCAGTTTGGAATCTCTCCTTTTGTAGAATCTGCAAGTGAATATTTGGAGCCCTATTTCGCCCTATACTGGAAAAGCAAATATCTTCAAATAAAAACTACACAGAGGCATTCAGAGAAACTTCTCTGTGATGAGTGCATTCATCACACAGAGTTGAACATTTGTTTAGATTTAGCAGTGTTGAGACAATCTTTCCGTAGAATCTTGAAGTGAATATTTGGAGGGCTTTGAGACCTGCTTTGGAGAAGGAGATATCTTCATATAAAAACTACACAGAAGCTTTCTGAGAAACACCCTTGTGAGGTGTGCATTGAAGTCACAGAGTTAAACCTATCTTTTGATTCAGCAGATTTGAATCTCTCTTTTTGCAGAATCTGCGAGTGGATATTTGGAGTGCTTGGAAGCCTGCTGTGGAAAATCAAATATCTTCACAAAAAAAACTACACAGAAGCATTCTGAGAAACTTCTTTGTGATGTGTGCATTGATCTCACAGAGTTGAAAGTTTATTTTGATTGAGCTGTTTTGAAACACTCTTTTTCTAGAATCTGCAAGTGGATAATTGGGGAGATTTGAGGCATATTGTGGAAAAGCAAATATCTTCATATAGAAACTATACAGAAACCTTCTGAGAAACATCTTTGTGATGTGTGCATTCAGCTCACAGAGCTGGACCTAACTTTTGAGTGACCAGTTTTGAATCTCTCTTTTTGTACAATATGCAAGTGGATATTTGGAGCGATTTGAGGCCTACATTTGAAAATCAAATATCTTCCCTTAAAAACTACACAGAAACATTCTCAGAAATTGTTTGTCATGTGTGCTTTCCAATTACCAAGTTGAACCTATCTTGTGATTGAGCAGTTTTGAATCTCTCTTTTTGTGGAATCGGCAAGTGGATATTTTTAGCCCTTTGCGGACTGTGGTGGAAAAGGAATTATCTTCAAATCAATTCTACACAGAAGCATTCAGACAAACTTCTTTGTGATGAGTGCATTGGTCACACAGAATTGAACCTTCCCTTTGATTGAGCAATTCTGAAACACTCTTTTGGAGGGTCTGCAAGTGGATATTTTAGAGCTTTGGGACAACTGTGGAAAAGTAAATATCTTCACATAAAAACTACACGGAAGCATTCTGAGAAACTTCTTTGGAGGTGTGCATTCAACTCACAGAGTTGAACCTATCTTTTCATTGAGCAGTTTTGAATCTCTCATTTTGTAGACTCTGCTCGCAGATATTTGGAGAGCTTTGAGGCCTATTGTGGAAAAGGAAATATCTTCACATAAAAACACACAGAAGCACTCTGAGAAACTTCTTTGTGAGGTGTGCTTTCAACTCACAGAGTTGAACCTATCTTTTGATTGAGAAGTTTTGAATCTCTCTTTTTGTAGAAGCTGCATGTGGATATTTGGAGACGTTTGTGGCCTATGGTAGAAAAGGAAATATCTTCAAATAAAAACTAGACAGACGCATTTTGAGAAAATTCTCTGTGCTGTGTGCATTCATATCACATGGTTGAAACTACCTTTGGATTGAGCAGTTTTGAATCCCACTTTTTGTACCATCTGCAATGGATATTTGGAGCCCTTTCTGGTCTGTGGTGGAAAAGGAACTATCCTCAAATAGAAACTACACAGAAGTACTCTGAGAAACTTCTTTGTGATGTGGGCATTCATCTCACAGAGTTGAACCTTTGGTTTGATTGAGCAGTTTTGAGACAATCTTTCCATAGAATCTGGAAGTGAATATTTGGAGAACTTTGAGATCCATTTTGGAGAAGGAGATATCTTTATATGAAAACTACACAGAAGCATTCTGAGAAACATCCTTGTGAGGTGTGCACTGAAGTCACAGAGTTGAAACTGTCTTTTGATTCAGCAGTTTTGAATCTCTCTTTTTGCAGAATCTGTGAGTGGATATTTGGAGCGCTTTGAGGCCTACTGTGGAAAACCAAATATCTTCACATAAAAACTACACAGAAGCATCCTGAGAAACTTTTTTTGTGATGTGGTCTTTCAGCTAATGGAGTAGAAACTATCTTTTGATTGAGCAGTTTTGAGTCTCTCTTTTTGCAGGATCTACGAGTGGATAATTGGAGAACTTTGAGGCGTACTGTGGAAAATCGAATATCTTCGCATAAAAACTACACAGAAGCATTCTGAGAAACTTCTCTGTCATACGTACATTCATCTCACAGGGTTGATCCTATTTCATGATTGAGCAGTTTTGGAACACTCTTTTTGTAGAATCTGCAAGTGAATATTTGGAGCTCTTTGGGGCCTACTGTGGAAAAACAAATATCTTCACATAAAAACTACACAGAAGCATTCTGGGAAACTACTTTGTGATGTGTGCATTCATCCCACAGAGTAGAACCTTTCTTTTGATTGAGCAGTTTCGAAACACTCTTTTGGTGGAATCTGCAAGTGGACATTTGGAAAGCTTTGAGGCCTATTGTGGAAAGGGAAATATCTTCAAATAAAAACCACCCAGAAGTACTCTGTGAAACTTCTTTGCGATGTATGCATTCAACTCACAGTGTTGAACCTATGTTTTGATTGAGCAGTTTGGAATCTCTCTTTCTGTAGAATCTGCAAGTGAATATTTGGAGCCCTATTTCGCCCTATACTGGAAAAGCAATTATCTTCAAATAAAAACTGCACAGAAGCATTCAGAGAAACTTCTTTGAGATGAATGCATTCATGACACAGAGTTGAAACTTTGTTTTGATTTAGGAGTTTTGAGACAATCTTTCCGTAGAATCTTGAAGTGAATATTTGGAGGGCTTGGAGTTCTGTTTTAGAGAAGAAGATATCTTCATCAAAAACTACACAGAAGCTTTCTGAGAAACTTCTTTGTGATGTGTGCATTCAACTATCGGAGTTGAACCTATCTTATGATTGAGCAGTTTGGAAACACTCTTTGTAGAGTCTGCAAGTGGATATTTACAGAGATTTGAGGCCTATTGTGGAAAAGGAAGTATCTTCACATAAAAACCACACAGAAGCACTCTGAAAAACATCTTTGGGATGTGTGCATTCAACTAACCGTGTTGAAACAATGTTTTGATTGAGCAGCTTAGAATCTCTCTTTTTGTAGGAAATGCAAGTGGATATTTGGAGCCCCATTTCGCCCTATGGTGGAAAACGAAACATACTCACAAAAAAGCTGCAGAGAAGCATTCTGAGAAACTTCTTTGCGATGTTGGCATTCAACTCACAGAGTCGAATCTATCTTTTGATAGAGCAGTTTTGTATCTCTCTTTTTGCAGAATCTGCAAGTGGATATTTGGAAAGCTTTGAGGCCTATTGTGGAAAGGGAAATATCCTCAAATAAAAACTACCCAGAAGCACTCTGTGAAACTTCTTTGTGATGTGTGCATTCAACTCACAGTGTTGAACCTATGTTTTGATTGAGCAGTTTGGAATCTCTCCTTTTGTAGAATCTGCAAGTGAATATTTGGAGCCCTATTTCGCCCTATACTGGAAAAGCAAATATCTTCAAATAAAAACTACACAGAGGCATTCAGAGAAACTACTCTGTGATGAGTGCATTCATCACACAGAGTTGAACATTTGTTTAGATTTAGCAGTGTTGAGACAATCTTTCCGTAGAATCTTGAAGTGAATATTTGGAGGGCTTTGAGACCTGCTTTGGAGAAGGAGATATCTTCATATAAAAACTACACAGAAGCTTTCTGAGAAACACCCTTGTGAGGTGTGCATTGAAGTCACAGAGTTAAACCTATCTTTTGATTCAGCAGATTTGAATCTCTCTTTTTGCAGAATCTGCGAGTGGATATTTGGAGTGCTTGGAAGCCTGCTGTGGAAAATCAAATATCTTCACAAAAAAAACTACACAGAAGCATTCTGAGAAACTTCTTTGTGATGTGTGCATTGATCTCACAGAGTTGAAAGTTTATTTTGATTGAGCTGTTTTGAAACACTCTTTTTCTAGAATCTGCAAGTGGATAATTGGGGAGATTTGAGGCATATTGTGGAAAAGCAAATATCTTCATATAAAAACTATACAGAAACCTTCTGAGAAACATCTTTGTGATGTGTGCATTCAGCTCACAGAGCTGGACCTAACTTTGGAGTGACCAGTTTTGAATCTCTCTTTTTGTACAATATGCAAGTGGATATTTGGAGCGATTTGAGGCCTACATTTGAAAATCAAATATCTTCCCTTAAAAACTACACAGAAACATTCTCAGAAATTGTTTGTCATGTGTGCTTTCCAATTACCAAGTTGAACCTATCTTGTGATTGAGCAGTTTTGAATCTCTCTTTTTGTGGAATCGGCAAGTGGATATTTTTAGCCCTTTGCGGACTGTGGTGGAAAAGGAATTATCTTCAAATCAATTCTACACAGAAGCATTCAGACAAACTTCTTTGTGATGAGTGCATTGGTCACACAGAATTGAACCTTCCCTTTGATTGAGCAATTCTGAAACACTCTTTTGGAGGGTATGCAAGTGGACATTTTAGAGCTTTGGGACAACTGTGGAAAAGTAAATATCTTCACATAAAAACTACACGGAAGCATTCTGAGAAACTTCTTTGGAGGTGTGCATTCAACTCACAGAGTTGAACCTATCTTTTCATTGAGCAGTTTTGAATCTCTCATTTTGTAGACTCTGCTCGCAGATATTTGGAGAGCTTTGAGGCCTATTGTGGAAAAGGAAATATCTTCACATAAAAACACACAGAAGCACTCTGAGAAACTTCTCTGTGAGGTGTGCTTTCAACTCACAGAGTTGAACCTATCTTTTGATTGAGAAGTTTTGAATCTCTCTTTTTGTAGAAGCTGCATGTGGATATTTGGAGACGTTTGTGGCCTATGGTAGAAAAGGAAATATCTTCAAATAAAAACTAGGCAGACGCATTTTGAGAAAATTCTCTGTGCTGTGTGCATTCATATCACATGGTTGAAACTACCTTTGGATTGAGCAGTTTTGAATCTCACTTTTTGTACCATCTGCAATGGATATTTGGAGCCCTTTCTGGTCTGTGGTGGAAAAGGAACTATCCTCAAATAGAAACTACACAGAAGTACTCTGAGAAACTTCTTTGTGATGTGGGCATTCATCTCACAGAGTTGAACCTTTGGTTTGATTGAGCAGTTTTGAGACAATCTTTCCATAGAATCTGGAAGTGAATATTTGGAGAACTTTGAGATCCATTTTGGAGAAGGAGATATCTTTTTATAAAAACTACACAGAAGCATTCTGAGAAACATCCTTGTGAGGTGTGCACTGAAGTCACAGAGTTGAAACTGTCTTTTGATTCAGCAGTTTTGAATCTCTCTTTTTGCAGAATCTGTGAGTGGATATTTGGAGCGCTTTGAGGCCTACTGTGGAAAACCAAATATCTTCACATAAAAACTACACAGAAGCATCCTGAGAAACTTTTTTTGTGATGTGGTCTTTCAGCTAATGGAGTAGAAACTATCTTTTGATTGAGCAGTTTTGAATCTCTCTTTTTGCAGAATCTACGAGTGGATAATTGGAGAACTTTGAGGCGTACTGTGGAAAATCGAATATCTTCGCATAAAAACTACACAGAAGCATTCTGAGAAACTTCTCTGTCATACGTACATTCATCTCACAGGGTTGATCCTATTTCATGATTGAGCAGTTTTGGAACACTCTTTTTGTAGAATCTGCAAGTGAATATTTGGAGCTCTTTGGGGCCTACTGTGGAAAAACAAATATCTTCACATAAAAACTACACAGAAGCATTCTGAGAAACTACTTTGTGATGTGTGCATTCATCCCACAGAGTAGAACCTTTCTTTTGATTGAGCAGTTTCGAAACACGCTTTTGGTGGAATCTGCAAGTGGACATTTGGAAAGCTTTGAGGCCTATTGTGGAAAGGGAAATATCTTCAAATAAAAACCACCCAGAAGTACTCTGTGAAACTTCTTTGCGATGTATGCATTCAACTCACAGTGTTGAACCTATGTTTTGATTGAGCAGTTTGGAATCTCTCTTTCTGTAGAATCTGCAAGTGAATATTTGGAGCCCTATTTCGCCCTATACTGGAAAAGCAATTATCTTCAAATAAAAACTGCACAGAAGCATTCAGAGAAAGTTCTTTGAGATGAATGCATTCATGACACAGAGTTGAAACTTTGTTTTGATTTAGGAGTTTTGAGACAATCTTTCCGTAGAATCTTGAAGTGAATATTTGGAGGGCTTGGAGTTCTGTTTTAGAGAAGGAGATATCTTCATCAAAAACTACACAGAAGCTTTCTGAGAAACTTCTTTGTGATGTGTGCATTCAACTATCGGAGTTGAACCTATCTTATGATTGAGCAGTTTGGAAACACTCTTTGTAGAGTCTGCAAGTGGATATTTACAGAGATTTGAGGCCTATTGTGGAAAAGGAAGTATCTTCACATAAAAACCACACAGAAGCACTCTGAAAAACATCTTTGGGATGTGTGCATTCAACTAACCGTGTTGAAACAATGTTTTGATTGAGCAGCTTAGAATCTCTCTTTTTGTAGGAAATGCAAGTGGATATTTGGAGCCCCATTTCGCCCTATGGTGGAAAACGAAACATACTCACAAAAAAGCTGCAGAGAAGCATTCTGAGAAACTTCTTTGCGATGTTGGCATTCAACTCACAGAGTCGAATCTATCTTTTGATAGAGCAGTTTTGTATCTCTCTTTTTGCAGAATCTGCAAGTGGATATTTGGAAAGCTTTGAGGCCTATTGTGGAAAGGGAAATATCCTCAAATAAAAACTACCCAGAAGCACTCTGTGAAACTTCTTTGTGATGTGTGCATTCAACTCACAGTGTTGAACCTATGTTTTGATTGAGCAGTTTGGAATCTCTCCTTTTGTAGAATCTGCAAGTGAATATTTGGAGCCCTATTTCGCCCTATACTGGAAAAGCAAATATCTTCAAATAAAAACTACACAGAGGCATTCAGAGAAACTTCTCTGTGATGAGTGCATTCATCACACAGAGTTGAACATTTGTTTAGATTTAGCAGTGTTGAGACAATCTTTCCGTAGAATCTTGAAGTGAATATTTGGAGGGCTTTGAGACCTGCTTTGGAGAAGGAGATATCTTCATATAAAAACTACACAGAAGCTTTCTGAGAAACACCCTTGTGAGGTGTGCATTGAAGTCACAGAGTTAAACCTATCTTTTGATTCAGCAGATTTGAATCTCTCTTTTTGCAGAATCTGCGAGTGGATATTTGGAGTGCTTGGAAGCCTGCTGTGGAAAATCAAATATCTTCACAAAAAAAACTACACAGAAGCATTCTGAGAAACTTCTTTGTGATGTGTGCATTGATCTCACAGAGTTGAAAGTTTATTTTGATTGAGCTGTTTTGAAACACTCTTTTTCTAGAATCTGCAAGTGGATAATTGGGGAGATTTGAGGCATATTGTGGAAAAGCAAATATCTTCATATAAAAACTATACAGAAACCTTCTGAGAAACATCTTTGTGATGTGTGCATTCAGCTCACAGAGCTGGACCTAACTTTTGAGTGACCAGTTTTGAATCTCTCTTTTTGTACAATATGCAAGTGGATATTTGGAGCGATTTGAGGCCTACATTTGAAAATCAAATATCTTCCCTTAAAAACTACACAGAAACATTCTCAGAAATTGTTTGTCATGTGTGCTTTCCAATTACCAAGTTGAACCTATCTTGTGATTGAGCAGTTTTGAATCTCTCTTTTTGTGGAATCGGCAAGTGGATATTTTTAGCCCTTTGCGGACTGTGGTGGAAAAGGAATTATCTTCAAATCAATTCTACACAGAAGCATTCAGACAAACTTCTTTGTGATGAGTGCATTGGTCACACAGAATTGAACCTTCCCTTTGATTGAGCAATTCTGAAACACTCTTTTGGAGGGTCTGCAAGTGGATATTTTAGAGCTTTGGGACAACTGTGGAAAAGTAAATATCTTCACATAAAAACTACACAGAAGCATTCTGAGAAACTTCTTTGGAGGTGTGCATTCAACACACAGAGTTGAACCTATCTTTTCATTGAGCAGTTTTGAATCTCTCATTTTGTAGACTCTGCTCGCAGATATTTGGAGAGCTTTGAGGCCTATTGTGGAAAAGGAAATATCTTCACATAAAAACACACAGAAGCACTCTGAGAAACTTCTTTGTGAGGTGTGCTTTCAACTCACAGAGTTGAACCTATCTTTTGATTGAGAAGTTTTGAATCTCTCTTTTTGTAGAAGCTGCATGTGGATATTTGGAGACGTTTGTGGCCTATGGTAGAAAAGGAAATATCTTCAAATAAAAACTAGACAGACGCATTTTGAGAAAATTCTCTGTGCTGTGTGCATTCATATCACATGGTTGAAACTACCTTTGGATTGAGCAGTTTTGAATCTCACTTTTTGTACCATCTGCAATGGATATTTGGAGCCCTTTCTGGTCTGTGGTGGAAAAGGAACTATCCTCAAATAGAAACTACACAGAAGTACTCTGAGAAACTTCTTTGTGATGTGGGCATTCATCTCACAGAGTTGAACCTTTGGTTTGATTGAGCAGTTTTGAGACAATCTTTCCATAGAATCTGGAAGTGAATATTTGGAGAACTTTGAGATCCATTTTGGAGAAGGAGATATCTTTATATGAAAACTACACAGAAGCATTCTGAGAAACATCCTTGTGAGGTGTGCACTGAAGTCACAGAGTTGAAACTGTCTTTTGATTCAGCAGTTTTGAATCTCTCTTTTTGCAGAATCTGTGAGTGGATATTTGGAGCGCTTTGAGGCCTACTGTGGAAAACCAAATATCTTCACATAAAAACTACACAGAAGCATCCTGAGAAACTTTTTTTGTGATGTGGTCTTTCAGCTAATGGAGTAGAAACTATCTTTTGATTGAGCAGTTTTGAGTCTCTCTTTTTGCAGGATCTACGAGTGGATAATTGGAGAACTTTGAGGCGTACTGTGGAAAATCGAATATCTTCGCATAAAAACTACACAGAAGCATTCTGAGAAACTTCTCTGTCATACGTACATTCATCTCACAGGGTTGATCCTATTTCATGATTGAGCAGTTTTGGAACACTCTTTTTGTAGAATCTGCAAGTGAATATTTGGAGCTCTTTGGGGCCTACTGTGGAAAAACAAATATCTTCACATAAAAACTACACAGAAGCATTCTGGGAAACTACTTTGTGATGTGTGCATTCATCCCACAGAGTAGAACCTTTCTTTTGATTGAGCAGTTTCGAAACACTCTTTTGGTGGAATCTGCAAGTGGACATTTGGAAAGCTTTGAGGCCTATTGTGGAAAGGGAAATATCTTCAAATAAAAACCACCCAGAAGTACTCTGTGAAACTTCTTTGCGATGTATGCATTCAACTCACAGTGTTGAACCTATGTTTTGATTGAGCAGTTTGGAATCTCTCTTTCTGTAGAATCTGCAAGTGAATATTTGGAGCCCTATTTCGCCCTATACTGGAAAAGCAATTATCTTCAAATAAAAACTGCACAGAAGCATTCAGAGAAAGTTCTTTGAGATGAATGCATTCATGACACAGAGTTGAAACTTTGTTTTGATTTAGGAGTTTTGAGACAATCTTTCCGTAGAATCTTGAAGTGAATATTTGGAGGGCTTGGAGTTCTGTTTTAGAGAAGGAGATATCTTCATCAAAAACTACACAGAAGCTTTCTGAGAAACTTCTTTGTGATGTGTGCATTCAACTATCGGAGTTGAACCTATCTTATGATTGAGGAGTTTGGAAACACTCTTTGTAGAGTCTGCAAGTGGATATTTACAGAGATTTGAGGCCTATTGTGGAAAAGGAAGTATCTTCACATAAAAACCACACAGAAGCACTCTGAAAAACATCTTTGGGATGTGTGCATTCAACTAACCGTGTTGAAACAATGTTTTGATTGAGCAGCTTAGAATCTCTCTTTTTGTAGGAAATGCAAGTGGATATTTGGAGCCCCATTTCGCCCTATGGTGGAAAACGAAACATACTCACAAAAAAGCTGCAGAGAAGCATTCTGAGCAAACTTCTTTGCGATGTTGGCATTCAACTCACAGAGTCGAATCTATCTTTTGATAGAGCAGTTTTGTATCTCTCTTTTTGCAGAATCTGCAAGTGGATATTTGGAAAGCTTTGAGGCCTATTGTGGAAAGGGAAATATCCTCAAATAAAAACTACCCAGAAGCACTCTGTGAAACTTCTTTGTGATGTGTGCATTCAACTCACAGTGTTGAACCTATGTTTTGATTGAGCAGTTTGGAATCTCTCCTTTTGTAGAATCTGCAAGTGAATATTTGGAGCCCTATTTCGCCCTATACTGGAAAAGCAAATATCTTCAAATAAAAACTACACAGAGGCATTCAGAGAAACTTCTCTGTGATGAGTGCATTCATCACACAGAAGTTGAACATTTGTTTAGATTTAGCAGTGTTGAGACAATCTTTCCGTAGAATCTTGAAGTGAATATTTGGAGGGCTTTGAGACCTGCTTTGGAGAAGGAGATATCTTCATATAAAAACTACACAGAAGCTTTCTGAGAAACACCCTTGTGAGGTGTGCATTGAAGTCACAGAGTTAAACCTATCTTTTGATTCAGCAGATTTGAATCTCTCTTTTTGCAGAATCTGCGAGTGGATATTTGGAGTGCTTGGAAGCCTGCTGTGGAAAATCAAATATCTTCACAAAAAAAACTACACAGAAGCATTCTGAGAAACTTCTTTGTGATGTGTGCATTGATCTCACAGAGTTGAAAGTTTATTTTGATTGAGCTGTTTTGAAACACTCTTTTTCTAGAATCTGCAAGTGGATAATTGGGGAGATTTGAGGCATATTGTGGAAAAGCCAATATCTTCATATAGAAACTATACAGAAACCTTCTGAGAAACATCTTTGTGATGTGTGCATTCAGCTCACAGAGCTGGACCTAACTTTTGAGTGACCAGTTTTGAATCTCTCTTTTTGTACAATATGCAAGTGGATATTTGGAGCGATTTGAGGCCTACATTTGAAAATCAAATATCTTCCCTTAAAAACTACACAGAAACATTCTCAGAAATTGTTTGTCATGTGTGCTTTCCAATTACCAAGTTGAACCTATCTTGTGATTGAGCAGTTTTGAATCTCTCTTTTTGTGGAATCGGCAAGTGGATATTTTTAGCCCTTTGCGGACTGTGGTGGAAAAGGAATTATCTTCAAATCAATTCTACACAGAAGCATTCAGACAAACTTCTTTGTGATGAGTGCATTGGTCACACAGAATTGAACCTTCCCTTTGATTGAGCAATTCTGAAACACTCTTTTGGAGGGTCTGCAAGTGGACATTTTAGAGCTTTGGGACAACTGTGGAAAAGTAAATATCTTCACATAAAAACTACACGGAAGCATTCTGAGAAACTTCTTTGGAGGTGTGCATTCAACTCACAGAGTTGAACCTATCTTTTCATTGAGCAGTTTTGAATCTCTCATTTTGTAGACTCTGCTCGCAGATATTTGGAGAGCTTTGAGGCCTATTGTGGAAAAGGAAATATCTTCACATAAAAACACACAGAAGCACTCTGAGAAACTTCTTTGTGAGGTGTGCTTTCAACTCACAGAGTTGAACCTATCTTTTGATTGAGAAGTTTTGAATCTCTCTTTTTGTAGAAGCTGCATGTGGATATTTGGAGACGTTTGTGGCCTATGGTAGAAAAGGAAATATCTTCAAATAAAAACTAGACAGACGCATTTTGAGAAAATTCTCTGTGCTGTGTGCATTCATATCACATGGTTGAAACTACCTTTGGATTGAGCAGTTTTGAATCTCACTTTTTGTACCATCTGCAATGGATATTTGGAGCCCTTTCTGGTCTGTGGTGGAAAAGGAACTATCCTCAAATAGAAACTACACAGAAGTACTCTGAGAAACTTCTTTGTGATGTGGGCATTCATCTCACAGAGTTGAACCTTTGGTTTGATTGAGCAGTTTTGAGACAATCTTTCCATAGAATCTGGAAGTGAATATTTGGAGAACTTTGAGATCCATTTTGGAGAAGGAGATATCTTTATATGAAAACTACACAGAAGCATTCTGAGAAACATCCTTGTGAGGTGTGCACTGAAGTCACAGAGTTGAAACTGTCTTTTGATTCAGCAGTTTTGAATCTCTCTTTTTGCAGAGTCTGTGAGCGGATATTTGGAGCGCTTTGAGGCCTACTGTGGAAAACCAAATATGTTCACATAAAAACTACACAGAAGCATCCTGAGAAACTTTTTTTGTGATGTGGTCTTTCAGCTAATGGAGTAGAAACTATCTTTTGATTGAGCAGTTTTGAATCTCTCTTTTTGCAGAATCTACGAGTGGATAATTGGAGAACTTTGAGGCGTACTGTGGAAAATCGAATATCTTCGCATAAAAACTACACAGAAGCATTCTGAGAAACTTCTCTGTCATACCGTACATTCATCTCACAGGGTTGATCCTATTTCATGATTGAGCAGTTTTGGAACACTCTTTTTGTAGAATCTGCAAGTGAATATTTGGAGCTCTTTGGGGCCTACTGTGGAAAAACAAATATCTTCACATAAAAACTACACAGAAGCATTCTGAGAAACTACTTTGTGATGTGTGCATTCATCCCACAGAGTAGAACCTTTCTTTTGATTGAGCAGTTTCGAAACACTCTTTTGGTGGAATCTGCAAGTGGACATTTGGAAAGCTTTGAGGCCTATTGTGGAAAGGGAAATATCTTCAAATAAAAACCACCCAGAAGTACTCTGTGAAACTTCTTTGCGATGTATGCATTCAACTCACAGTGTTGAACCTATGTTTTGATTGAGCAGTTTGGAATCTCTCTTTCTGTAGAATCTGCAAGTGAATATTTGGAGCCCTATTTCGCCCTATACTGGAAAAGCAATTATCTTCAAATAAAAACTGCACAGAAGCATTCAGAGAAACTTCTTTGAGATGAATGCATTCATGACACAGAGTTGAAACTTTGTTTTGATTTAGGAGTTTTGAGACAATCTTTCCGTAGAATCTTGAAGTGAATATTTGGAGGGCTTGGAGTTCTGTTTTAGAGAAGAAGATATCTTCATCAAAAACTACACAGAAGCTTTCCGAGAAACTTCTTTGTGATGTGTGCATTCAACTATCGGAGTTGAACCTATCTTATGATTGAGGAGTTTGGAAACACTCTTTGTAGAGTCTGCAAGTGGATATTTACAGAGATTTGAGGCCTATTGTGGAAAAGGAAGTATCTTCACATAAAAACCACACAGAAGCACTCTGAAAAACATCTTTGGGATGTGTGCATTCAACTAACCGTGTTGAAACAATGTTTTGATTGAGCAGCTTAGAATCTCTCTTTTTGTAGGAAATGCAAGTGGATATTTGGAGCCCCATTTCGCCCTATGGTGGAAAACGAAACATACTCACAAAAAAGCTGCAGAGAAGCATTCTGAGAAACTTCTTTGCGATGTTGGCATTCAACTCACAGAGTCGAATCTATCTTTTGATAGAGCAGTTTTGTATCTCTCTTTTTGCAGAATCTGCAAGTGAATATTTGGAAAGCTTTGAGGCCTATTGTGGAAAGGGAAATATCCTCAAATAAAAACTACCCAGAAGCACTCTGTGAAACTTCTTTGTGATGTGTGCATTCAACTCACAAGTGTTGAACCTATGTTTTGATTGAGCAGTTTGGAATCTCTCCTTTTGTAGAATCTGCAAGTGAATATTTGGAGCCCTATTTCGCCCTATACTGGAAAAGCAAATATCTTCAAATAAAAACTACACAGAGGCATTCAGAGAAACTTCTCTGTGATGAGTGCATTCATCACACAGAGTTGAACATTTGTTTAGATTTAGCAGTGTTGAGACAATCTTTCCGTAGAATCTTGAAGTGAATATTTGGAGGGCTTTGAGACCTGCTTTGGAGAAGGAGATATCTTCATATAAAAACTACACAGAAGCTTTCTGAGAAACACCCTTGTGAGGTGTGCTTTGAAGTCACAGAGTTAAACCTATCTTTTGATTCAGCAGATTTGAATCTCTCTTTTTGCAGAATCTGCGAGTGGATATTTGGAGTGCTTGGAAGCCTGCTGTGGAAAATCAAATATCTTCACAAAAAAAACTACACAGAAGCATTCTGAGAAACTTCTTTGTGATGTGTGCATTGATCTCACAGAGTTGAAAGTTTATTTTGATTGAGCTGTTTTGAAACACTCTTTTTCTAGAATCTGCAAGTGGATAATTGGGGAGATTTGAGGCATATTGTGGAAAAGCAAATATCTTCATATAGAAACTATACAGAAACCTTCTGAGAAACATCTTTGTGATGTGTGCATTCAGCTCACAGAGCTGGACCTAACTTTTGAGTGACCAGTTTTGAATCTCTCTTTTTGTACAATATGCAAGTGGATATTTGGAGCGATTTGAGGCCTACATTTGAAAATCAAATATCTTCCCTTAAAAACTACACAGAAACATTCTCAGAAATTGTTTGTCATGTGTGCTTTCCAATTACCAAGTTGAACCTATCTTGTGATTGAGCAGTTTTGAATCTCTCTTTTTGTGGAATCGGCAAGTGGATATTTTTAGCCCTTTGCGGACTGTGGTGGAAAAGGAATTATCTTCAAATCAATTCTACACAGAAGCATTCAGACAAACTTCTTTGTGATGAGTGCATTGGTCACACAGAATTGAACCTTCCCTTTGATTGAGCAATTCTGAAACACTCTTTTGGAGGGTCTGCAAGTGGATATTTTAGAGCTTTGGGACAACTGTGGAAAAGTAAATATCTTCACATAAAAACTACACGGAAGCATTCTGAGAAACTTCTTTGGAGGTGTGCATTCAACTCACAGAGTTGAACCTATCTTTTCATTGAGCAGTTTTGAATCTCTCATTTTGTAGACTCTGCTCGCAGATATTTGGAGAGCTTTGAGGCCTATTGTGGAAAAGGAAATATCTTCACATAAAAACACACAGAAGCACTCTGAGAAACTTCTTTGTGAGGTGTGCTTTCAACTCACAGAGTTGAACCTATCTTTTGATTGAGAAGTTTTGAATCTCTCTTTTTGTAGAAGCTGCATGTGGATATTTGGAGACGTTTGTGGCCTATGGTAGAAAAGGAAATATCTTCAAATAAAAACTAGACAGACGCATTTTGAGAAAATTCTCTGTGCTGTGTGCATTCATATCACATGGTTGAAACTACCTTTGGATTGAGCAGTTTTGAATCTCACTTTTTGTACCATCTGCAATGGATATTTGGAGCCCTTTCTGGTCTGTGGTGGAAAAGGAACTATCCTCAAATAGAAACTACACAGAAGTACTCTGAGAAACTTCTTTGTGATGTGGGCATTCATCTCACAGAGTTGAACCTTTGGTTTGATTGAGCAGTTTTGAGACAATCTTTCCATAGAATCTGGAAGTGAATATTTGGAGAACTTTGAGATCCATTTTGGAGAAGGAGATATCTTTATATGAAAACTACACAGAAGCATTCTGAGAAACATCCTTGTGAGGTGTGCACTGAAGTCACAGAGTTGAAACTGTCTTTTGATTCAGCAGTTTTGAATCTCTCTTTTTGCAGAATCTGTGAGCGGATATTTGGAGCGCTTTGAGGCCTACTGTGGAAAACCAAATATGTTCACATAAAAACTACACAGAAGCATCCTGAGAAACTTTTTTTGTGATGTGGTCTTTCAGCTAATGGAGTAGAAACTATCTTTTGATTGAGCAGTTTTGAATCTCTCTTTTTGCAGAATCTACGAGTGGATAATTGGAGAACTTTGAGGCGTACTGTGGAAAATCGAATATCTTCGCATAAAAACTACACAGAAGCATTCTGAGAAACTTCTCTGTCATACGTACATTCATCTCACAGGGTTGATCCTATTTCATGATTGAGCAGTTCTGGAACACTCTTTTTGTAGAATCTGCAAGTGAATATTTGGAGCTCTTTGGGGCCTACTGTGGAAAAACAAATATCTTCACATAAAAACTACACAGAAGCATTCTGAGAAACTACTTTGTGATGTGTGCATTCATCCCACAGAGTAGAACCTTTCTTTTGATTGAGCAGTTTCGAAACACTCTTTTGGTGGAATCTGCAAGTGGACATTTGGAAAGCTTTGAGGCCTATTGTGGAAAGGGAAATATCTTCAAATAAAAACCACCCAGAAGTACTCTGTGAAACTTCTTTGCGATGTATGCATTCAACTCACAGTGTTGAACCTATGTTTTGATTGAGCAGTTTGGAATCTCTCTTTCTGTAGAATCTGCAAGTGAATATTTGGAGCCCTATTTCGCCCTATACTGGAAAAGCAATTATCTTCAAATAAAAACTGCACAGAAGCATTCAGAGAAAGTTCTTTGAGATGAATGCATTCATGACACAGAGTTGAAACTTTGTTTTGATTTAGGAGTTTTGAGACAATCTTTCTGTAGAATCTTGAAGTGAATATTTGGAGGGCTTGGAGTTCTGTTTTAGAGAAGGAGATATCTTCATCAAAAACTACACAGAAGCTTTCTGAGAAACTTCTTTGTGATGTGTGCATTCAACTATCGGAGTTGAACCTATCTTATGATTGAGGAGTTTGGAAACACTCTTTGTAGAGTCTGCAAGTGGATATTTACAGAGATTTGAGGCCTATTGTGGAAAAGGAAGTATCTTCACATAAAAACCACACAGAAGCACTCTGAAAAACATCTTTGGGATGTGTGCATTCAACTAACCGTGTTGAAACAATGTTTTGATTGAGCAGCTTAGAATCTCTCTTTTTGTAGGAAATGCAAGTGGATATTTGGAGCCCCATTTCGCCCTATGGTGGAAAACGAAACATACTCACAAAAAAGCTGCAGAGAAGCATTCTGAGAAACTTCTTTGCGATGTTGGCATTCAACTCACAGAGTCGAATCTATCTTTTGATAGAGCAGTTTTGTATCTCTCTTTTTGCAGAATCTGCAAGTGGATATTTGGAAAGCTTTGAGGCCTATTGTGGAAAGGGAAATATCCTCAAATAAAAACTACCCAGAAGCACTCTGTGAAACTTCTTTGTGATGTGTGCATTCAACTCACAGTGTTGAACCTATGTTTTGATTGAGCAGTTTGGAATCTCTCCTTTTGTAGAATCTGCAAGTGAATATTTGGAGCCCTATTTCGCCCTATACTGGAAAAGCAAATATCTTCAAATAAAAACTACACAGAGGCATTCAGAGAAACTTCTCTGTGATGAGTGCATTCATCACACAGAGTTGAACATTTGTTTAGATTTAGCAGTGTTGAGACAATCTTTCCGTAGAATCTTGAAGTGAATATTTGGAGGGCTTTGAGACCTGCTTTGGAGAAGGAGATATCTTCATATAAAAACTACACAGAAGCTTTCTGAGAAACACCCTTGTGAGGTGTGCATTGAAGTCACAGAGTTAAACCTATCTTTTGATTCAGCAGATTTGAATCTCTCTTTTTGCAGAATCTGCGAGTGGATATTTGGAGTGCTTGGAAGCCTGCTGTGGAAAATCAAATATCTTCACAAAAAAAACTACACAGAAGCATTCTGAGAAACTTCTTTGTGATGTGTGCATTGATCTCACAGAGTTGAAAGTTTATTTTGATTGAGCTGTTTTGAAACACTCTTTTTCTAGAATCTGCAAGTGGATAATTGGGGAGATTTGAGGCATATTGTGGAAAAGCCAATATCTTCATATAGAAACTATACAGAAACCTTCTGAGAAACATCTTTGTGATGTGTGCATTCAGCTCACAGAGCTGGACCTAACTTTTGAGTGACCAGTTTTGAATCTCTCTTTTTGTACAATATGCAAGTGGATATTTGGAGCGATTTGAGGCCTACATTTGAAAATCAAATATCTTCCTTTAAAAACTACACAGAAACATTCTCAGAAATTGTTTGTCATGTGTGCTTTCCAATTACCAAGTTGAACCTATCTTGTGATTGAGCAGTTTTGAATCTCTCTTTTTGTGGAATCGGCAAGTGGATATTTTTAGCCCTTTGCGGACTGTGGTGGAAAAGGAATTATCTTCAAATCAATTCTACACAGAAGCATTCAGACAAACTTCTTTGTGATGAGTGCATTGGTCACACAGAATTGAACCTTCCCTTTGATTGAGCAATTCTGAAACACTCTTTTGGAGGGTCTGCAAGTGGACATTTTAGAGCTTTGGGACAACTGTGGAAAAGTAAATATCTTCACATAAAAACTACACGGGAAGCATTCTGAGAAACTTCTTTGGAGGTGTGCATTCAACTCACAGAGTTGAACCTATCTTTTCATTGAGCAGTTTTGAATCTCTCATTTTGTAGACTCTGCTCGCAGATATTTGGAGAGCTTTGAGGCCTATTGTGGAAAAGGAAATATCTTCACATAAAAACACACAGAAGCACTCTGAGAAACTTCTCTGTGAGGTGTGCTTTCAACTCACAGAGTTGAACCTATCTTTTGATTGAGAAGTTTTGAATCTCTCTTTTTGTAGAAGCTGCATGTGGATATTTGGAGACGTTTGTGGCCTATGGTAGAAAAGGAAATATCTTCAAATAAAAACTAGACAGACGCATTTTGAGAAAATTCTCTGTGCTGTGTGCATTCATATCACATGGTTGAAACTACCTTTGGATTGAGCAGTTTTGAATCTCACTTTTTGTACCATCTGCAATGGATATTTGGAGCCCTTTCTGGTCTGTGGTGGAAAAGGAACTATCCTCAAATAGAAACTACACAGAAGTACTCTGAGAAACTTCTTTGTGATGTGGGCATTCATCTCACAGAGTTGAACCTTTGGTTTGATTGAGCAGTTTTGAGACAATCTTTCCATAGAATCTGGAAGTGAATATTTGGAGAACTTTGAGATCCATTTTGGAGAAGGAGATATCTTTATATAAAAACTACACAGAAGCATTCTGAGAAACATCCTTGTGAGGTGTGCACTGAAGTCACAGAGTTGAAACTGTCTTTTGATTCAGCAGTTTTGAATCTCTCTTTTTGCAGAGTCTGTGAGCGGATATTTGGAGCGCTTTGAGGCCTACTGTGGAAAACCAAATATGTTCACATAAAAACTACACAGAAGCATCCTGAGAAACTTTTTTTGTGATGTGGTCTTTCAGCTAATGGAGTAGAAACTATCTTTTGATTGAGCAGTTTTGAATCTCTCTTTTTGCAGAATCTACGAGTGGATAATTGGAGAACTTTGAGGCGTACTGTGGAAAATCGAATATCTTCGCATAAAAACTACACAGAAGCATTCTGAGAAACTTCTCTGTCATACGTACATTCATCACACAGGGTTGATCCTATTTCATGATTGAGCAGTTTTGGAACACTCTTTTTGTAGAATCTGCAAGTGAATATTTGGAGCTCTTTGGGGCCTACTGTGGAAAAACAAATATCTTCACATAAAAACTACACAGAAGCATTCTGAGAAACTACTTTGTGATGTGTGCATTCATCCCACAGAGTAGAACCTTTCTTTTGATTGAGCAGTTTCGAAACACGCTTTTGGTGGAATCTGCAAGTGGACATTTGGAAAGCTTTGAGGCCTATTGTGGAAAGGGAAATATCTTCAAATAAAAACCACCCAGAAGTACTCTGTGAAACTTCTTTGCGATGTATGCATTCAACTCACAGTGTTGAACCTATGTTTTGATTGAGCAGTTTGGAATCTCTCTTTCTGTAGAATCTGCAAGTGAATATTTGGAGCCCTATTTCGCCCTATACTGGAAAAGCAATTATCTTCAAATAAAAACTGCACAGAAGCATTCAGAGAAACTTCTTTGACATGAATGCATTCATTACACAGAGTTGAAACTTTGTTTTGATTTAGGAGTTTTGAGACAATCTTTCCGTAGAATCTTGAAGTGAATATTTGGAGGGCTTGGAGTTCTGTTTTAGAGAAGGAGATATCTTCATCAAAAACTACACAGAAGCTTTCTGAGAAACTTCTTTGTGATGTGTGCATTCAACTATCGGAGTTGAACCTATCTTATGATTGAGCAGTTTGGAAACACTCTTTGTAGAGTCTGCAAGTGGATATTTACAGAGATTTGAGGCCTATTGTGGAAAAGGAAGTATCTTCACATAAAAACCACACAGAAGCACTCTGAGAAACATCTTTGGGATGTGTGCATTCAACTAACCGTGTTGAAACAATGTTTTGATTGAGCAGCTTAGAATCTCTCTTTTTGTAGGAAATGCAAGTGGATATTTGGAGCCCCATTTCGCCCTATGGTGGAAAACGAAACATACTCACAAAAAAGCTGCAGAGAAGCATTCTGAGAAACTTCTTTGCGATGTTGGCATTCAACTCACAGAGTCGAATCTATCTTTTGATAGAGCAGTTTTGTATCTCTCTTTTTGCAGAATCTGCAAGTGGATATTTGGAAAGCTTTGAGGCCTATTGTGGAAAGGGAAATATCCTCAAATAAAAACTACCCAGAAGCACTCTGTGAAACTTCTTTGTGATGTGTGCATTCAACTCACAGTGTTGAACCTATGTTTTGATTGAGCAGTTTGGAATCTCTCCTTTTGTAGAATCTGCAAGTGAATATTTGGAGCCCTATTTCGCCCTATACTGGAAAAGCAAATATCTTCAAATAAAAACTACACAGAGGCATTCAGAGAAACTTCTCTGTGATGAGTGCATTCATCACACAGAGTTGAACATTTGTTTAGATTTAGCAGTGTTGAGACAATCTTTCCGTAGAATCTTGAAGTGAATATTTGGAGGGCTTTGAGACCTGCTTTGGAGAAGGAGATATCTTCATATAAAAACTACACAGAAGCTTTCTGAGAAACACCCTTGTGAGGTGTGCATTGAAGTCACAGAGTTAAACCTATCTTTTGATTCAGCAGATTTGAATCTCTCTTTTTGCAGAATCTGCGAGTGGATATTTGGAGTGCTTGGAAGCCTGCTGTGGAAAATCAAATATCTTCACAAAAAAAACTACACAGAAGCATTCTGAGAAACTTCTTTGTGATGTGTGCATTGATCTCACAGAGTTGAAAGTTTATTTTGATTGAGCTGTTTTGAAACACTCTTTTTCTAGAATCTGCAAGTGGATAATTGGGGAGATTTGAGGCATATTGTGGAAAAGCAAATATCTTCATATAGAAACTATACAGAAACCTTCTGAGAAACATCTTTGTGATGTGTGCATTCAGCTCACAGAGCTGGACCTAACTTTTGAGTGACCAGTTTTGAATCTCTCTTTTTGTACAATATGCAAGTGGATATTTGGAGCGATTTGAGGCCTACATTTGAAAATCAAATATCTTCCCTTAAAAACTACACAGAAACATTCTCAGAAATTGTTTGTCATGTGTGCTTTCCAATTACCAAGTTGAACCTATCTTGTGATTGAGCAGTTTTGAATCTCTCTTTTTGTGGAATCGGCAAGTGGATATTTTTAGCCCTTTGCGGACTGTGGTGGAAAAGGAATTATCTTCAAATCAATTCTACACAGAAGCATTCAGACAAACTTCTTTGTGATGAGTGCATTGGTCACACAGAATTGAACCTTCCCTTTGATTGAGCAATTCTGAAACACTCTTTTGGAGGGTCTGCAAGTGGATATTTTAGAGCTTTGGGACAACTGTGGAAAAGTAAATATCTTCACATAAAAACTACACGGAAGCATTCTGAGAAACTTCTTTGGAGGTGTGCATTCAACTCACAGAGTTGAACCTATCTTTTCATTGAGCAGTTTTGAATCTCTCATTTTGTAGACTCTGCTCGCAGATATTTGGAGAGCTTTGAGGCCTATTGTGGAAAAGGAAATATCTTCACATAAAAACACACAGAAGCACTCTGAGAAACTTCTTTGTGAGGTGTGCTTTCAACTCACAGAGTTGAACCTTTCTTTTGATTGAGAAGTTTTGAATCTCTCTTTTTGTAGAAGCTGCATGTGGATATTTGGAGACGTTTGTGGCCTATGGTAGAAAAGGAAATATCTTCAAATAAAAACTAGACAGACGCATTTTGAGAAAATTCTCTGTGCTGTGTGCATTCATATCACATGGTTGAAACTACCTTTGGATTGAGCAGTTTTGAATCTCACTTTTTGTACCATCTGCAATGGATATTTGGAGCCCTTTCTGGTCTGTGGTGGAAAAGGAACTATCCTCAAATAGAAACTACACAGAAGTACTCTGAGAAACTTCTTTGTGATGTGGGCATTCATCTCACAGAGTTGAACCTTTGGTTTGATTGAGCAGTTTTGAGACAATCTTTCCATAGAATCTGGAAGTGAATATTTGGAGAACTTTGAGATCCATTTTGGAGAAGGAGATATCTTTATATAAAAACTACACAGAAGCATTCTGAGAAACATCCTTGTGAGGTGTGCACTGAAGTCACAGAGTTGAAACTGTCTTTTGATTCAGCAGTTTTGAATCTCTCTTTTTGCAGAATCTGTGAGCGGATATTTGGAGCGCTTTGAGGCCTACTGTGGAAAACCAAATATGTTCACATAAAAACTACACAGAAGCATCCTGAGAAACTTTTTTTGTGATGTGGTCTTTCAGCTAATGGAGTAGAAACTATCTTTTGATTGAGCAGTTTTGAATCTCTCTTTTTGCAGAATCTACGAGTGGATAATTGGAGAACTTTGAGGCGTACTGTGGAAAATCGAATATCTTCGCATAAAAACTACACAGAAGCATTCTGAGAAACTTCTCTGTCATACGTACATTCATCTCACAGGGTTGATCCTATTTCATGATTGAGCAGTTTTGGAACACTCTTTTTGTAGAATCTGCAAGTGAATATTTGGAGCTCTTTGGGGCCTACTGTGGAAAAACAAATATCTTCACATAAAAACTACACAGAAGCATTCTGAGAAACTACTTTGTGATGTGTGCATTCATCCCACAGCAGTAGAACCTTTCTTTTGATTGAGCAGTTTCGAAACACTCTTTTGGTGGAATCTGCAAGTGGACATTTGGAAAGCTTTGAGGCCTATTGTGGAAAGGGAAATATCTTCAAATAAAAACCACCCAGAAGTACTCTGTGAAACTTCTTTGCGATGTATGCATTCAACTCACAGTGTTGAACCTATGTTTTGATTGAGCAGTTTGGAATCTCTCTTTCTGTAGAATCTGCAAGTGAATATTTGGAGCCCTATTTCGCCCTATACTGGAAAAGCAATTATCTTCAAATAAAAACTGCACAGAAAGCATTCAGAGAAACTTCTTTGAGATGAATGCATTCATGACACAGAGTTGAAACTTTGTTTTGATTTAGGAGTTTTGAGACAATCTTTCCGTAGAATCTTGAAGTGAATATTTGGAGGGCTTGGAGTTCTGTTTTAGAGAAGAAGATATCTTCATCAAAAACTACACAGAGCTTTCTGAGAAACTTCTTTGTGATGTGTGCATTCAACTATCGGAGTTGAACCTATCTTATGATTGAGCAGTTTGGAAACACTCTTTGTGGAGTCTGCAAGTGGATATTTACAGAGATTTGAGGCCTATTGTGGAAAAGGAAGTATCTTCACATAAAAACCACACAGAAGCTCTCTGAAAAACATCTTTGGGATGTGTGCATTCAACTAACCGTGTTGAAACAATGTTTTGATTGAGCAGCTTAGAATCTCTCTTTTTGTAGGAAATGCAAGTGGATATTTGGAGCCCCATTTCGCCCTATGGTGGAAAACGAAACATACTCACAAAAAAGCTGCAGAGAAGCATTCTGAGAAACTTCTTTGCGATGTTGGCATTCAACTCACAGAGTCGAATCTATCTTTTGATAGAGCAGTTTTGTATCTCTCTTTTTGCAGAATCTGCAAGTGGATATTTGGAAAGCTTTGAGGCCTATTGTGGAAAGGGAAATATCCTCAAATAAAAACTACCCAGAAGCACTCTGTGAAACTTCTTTGTGATGTGTGCATTCAACTCACAGTGTTGAACCTATGTTTTGATTGAGCAGTTTGGAATCTCTCCTTTTGTAGAATCTGCAAGTGAATATTTGGAGCCCTATTTCACCCTATACTGGAAAAGCAAATATCTTCAAATAAAAACTCCACAGAGGCATTCAGAGAAACTTCTCTGTGATGAGTGCATTCATCACACAGAGTTGAACATTTGTTTAGATTTAGCAGTGTTGAGACAATCTTTCCGTAGAATCTTGAAGTGAATATTTGGAGGGCTTTGAGACCTGCTTTGGAGAAGGAGATATCTTCATATAAAAACTACACAGAAGCTTTCTGAGAAACACCCTTGTGAGGTGTGCATTGAAGTCACAGAGTTAAACCTATCTTTTGATTCAGCAGATTTGAATCTCTCTTTTTGCAGAATCTGCGAGTGGATATTTGGAGTGCTTGGAAGCCTGCTGTGGAAAATCAAATATCTTCACAAAAAAAACTACACAGAAGCATTCTGAGAAACTTCTTTGTGATGTGTGCATTGATCTCACAGAGTTGAAAGTTTATTTTGATTGAGCTGTTTTGAAACACTCTTTTTCTAGAATCTGCAAGTGCATAATTGGGGAGATTTGAGGCATATTGTGGAAAAGCAAATATCTTCATATAAAAACTATACAGAAACCTTCTGAGAAACATCTTTGTGATGTGTGCATTCAGCTCACAGAGCTGGACCTAACTTTCGAGTGACCAGTTTTGAATCTCTCTTTTTGTACAATATGCAAGTGGATATTTGGAGCGATTTGAGGCCTACATTTGAAAATCAAATATCTTCCCTTAAAAACTACACAGAAACATTCTCAGAAATTGTTTGTCATGTGTGCTTTCCAATTACCAAGTTGAACCTATCTTGTGATTGAGCAGTTTTGAATCTCTCTTTTTGTGGAATCGGCAAGTGGATATTTTTAGCCCTTTGCGGACTGTGGTGGAAAAGGAATTATCTTCAAATCAATTCTACACAGAAGCATTCAGACAAACTTCTTTGTGATGAGTGCATTGGTCACACAGAATTGAACCTTCCCTTTGATTGAGCAATTCTGAAACACTCTTTTGGAGGGTCTGCAAGTGGACATTTTAGAGCTTTGGGACAACTGTGGAAAAGTAAATATCTTCACATAAAAACTACACGGAAGCATTCTGAGAAACTTCTTTGGAGGTGTGCATTCAACTCACAGAGTTGAACCTATCTTTTCATTGAGCAGTTTTGAATCTCTCATTTTGTAGACTCTGCTCGCAGATATTTGGAGAGCTTTGAGGCCTGTTGTGGAAAAGGAAATATCTTCACATAAAAACACACAGAAGCACTCTGAGAAACTTCTTTGTGAGGTGTGCTTTCAACTCACAGAGTTGAACCTATCTTTTGATTGAG
Source organism: Homo sapiens (assembly GCF_000001405.40). Classification (NCBI taxonomy): domain Eukaryota; kingdom Metazoa; phylum Chordata; class Mammalia; order Primates; family Hominidae; genus Homo; species Homo sapiens. The sequence goes on from NC_000015.10 coordinate 17,832,598, forward strand.
AAGTTTTGAATCTCTCTTTTTGTAGAAGCTGCATGTGGATATTTGGAGACGTTTGTGGCCTGTGGTAGAAAAGGAAATATCTTCAAATAAAAACTAGACAGACGCATTTTGAGAAAATTCTCTGTGCTGTGTGCCTTCATATCACCTGGTTGAAACTACCTTTGGATTGAGCAGTTTTGAATCTCACTTTTTGTACCATCTGCAATGGATATTTGGAGCCCTTTCTGGTCTGTGGTGGAAAAGGAACTATCCTCAAATAGAAACTACACAGAAGTACTCTGAGAAACTTCTTTGTGATGTGTGCATTCATCTCACAGAGTTGAACCTTTGGTTTGATTGAGCAGTTTTGAGACAATCTTTCCATAGAATCTGGAAGTGAATATTTGGAGAACTTTGAGATCCATTTTGGAGAAGGAGATATCTTTATATAAAAACTACACAGAAGCATTCTGAGAAACATCCTTGTGAGGTGTGCACTGAAGTCACAGAGTTGAAACTGTCTTTTGATTCAGCAGTTTTGAATCTCTCTTTTTGCAGAATCTGTGAGTGGATATTTGGAGCGCTTTGAGGCCTACTGTGGAAAACCAAATATCTTCACATAAAAACTACACAGAAGCATCCTGAGAAACTTTTTTTGTGATGTGGTCTTTCAGCTAATGGAGTAGAAACTATCTTTTGATTGAGCAGTTTTGAATCTCTCTTTTTGCAGGATCTACGAGTGGATAATTGGAGAACTTTGAGGCGTACTGTGGAAAATCGAATATCTTCGCATAAAAACTACACAGAAGCATTCTGAGAAACTTCTCTGTCATACGTACATTCATCTCACAGGGTTGATCCTATTTCATGATTGAGCAGTTTTGGAACACTCTTTTTGTAGAATCTGCAAGTGAATATTTGGAGCTCTTTGGGGCCTACTGTGGAAAAACAAATATCTTCACATAAAAACTACACAGAAGCATTCTGAGAAACTACTTTGTGATGTGTGCATTCATCCCACAGAGTAGAACCTTTCTTTTGATTGAGCAGTTTCGAAACACTCTTTTGGTGGAATCTGCAAGTGGACATTTGGAAAGCTTTGAGGCCTATTGTGGAAAGGGAAATATCTTCAAATAAAAACCACCCAGAAGTACTCTGTGAAACTTCTTTGCGATGTATGCATTCAACTCACAGTGTTGAACCTATGTTTTGATTGAGCAGTTTGGAATCTCTCTTTCTGTAGAATCTGCAAGTGAATATTTGGAGCCCTATTTCGCCCTATACTGGAAAAGCAATTATCTTCAAATAAAAACTGCACAGAAGCACTCAGAGAAACTTCTTTGTGATGAATGCATTCATCACACAGAGTTGAACCTTTGTTTTGATTTAGCAGTTTGAGACAATCTTTCCGTAGAATCTTGAAGTGAATATTTGGAGGGCTTGGAGTTCTGTTTTAGAGAAGAAGATATCTTCATCAAAAACTACACAGAAGCTTTCCGAGAAACTTCTTTGTGATGTGTGCATTCAACTATCGGAGTTGAACCTATCTTATGATTGAGGAGTTTGGAAACACTCTTTGTAGAGTCTGCAAGTGGATATTTAAAGAGATTTGAGGCCTATTGTGGAAAAGGAAGTATCTTCACATAAAAACCACACAGAAGCACTCTGAAAAACATCTTTGGGATGTGTGCATTCAACTAACCGTGTTGAAACAATGTTTTGATTGAGCAGCTTAGAATCTCTCTTTTTGTAGGAAATGCAAGTGGATATTTGGAGCCCCATTTCGCCCTATGGTGGAAAACGAAACATACTCACAAAAAAGCTGCAGAGAAGCATTCTGAGAAACTTCTTTGCGATGTTGGCATTCAACTCACAGAGTCGAATCTATCTTTTGATAGAGCAGTTTTGTATCTCTCTTTTTGCAGAATCTGCAAGTGGATATTTGGAAAGCTTTGAGGCCTATTGTGGAAAGGGAAATATCCTCAAATAAAAACTACCCAGAAGCACTCTGTGAAACTTCTTTGTGATGTGTGCATTCAACTCACAGTGTTGAACCTATGTTTTGATTGAGCAGTTTGGAATCTCTCCTTTTGTAGAATCTGCAAGTGAATATTTGGAGCCCTATTTCGCCCTATACTGGAAAAGCAAATATCTTCAAATAAAACTACACAGAGGCATTCAGAGAAACTTCTCTGTGATGAGTGCATTCATCACACAGAGTTGAACATTTGTTTAGATTTAGCAGTGTTGAGACAATCTTTCCGTAGAATCTTGAAGTGAATATTTGGAGGGCTTTGAGACCTGCTTTGGAGAAGGAGATATCTTCATATAAAAACTACACAGAAGCTTTCTGAGAAACACCCTTGTGAGGTGTGCATTGAAGTCACAGAGTTAAACCTATCTTTTGATTCAGCAGATTTGAATCTCTCTTTTTGCAGAATCTGCGAGTGGATATTTGGAGTGCTTGGAAGCCTGCTGTGGAAAATCAAATATCTTCACAAAAAAACTACACAGAAGCATTCTGAGAAACTTCTTTGTGATGTGTGCATTGATCTCACAGAGTTGAAAGTTTATTTTGATTGAGCTGTTTTGAAACACTCTTTTTCTAGAATCTGCAAGTGGATAATTGGGGAGATTTGAGGCATATTGTGGAAAAGCAAATATCTTCATATAAAAACTATACAGAAACCTTCTGAGAAACATCTTTGTGATGTGTGCATTCAGCTCACAGAGCTGGACCTAACTTTTGAGTGACCAGTTTTGAATCTCTCTTTTCGTACAATATGCAAGTGGATATTTGGAGCGATTTGAGGCCTACATTTGAAAATCAAATATCTTCCCTTAAAAACTACACAGAAACATTCTCCGAAATTGTTTGTCATGTGTGCTTTCCAATTACCAAGTTGAACCTATCTTGTGATTGAGCAGTTTTGAATATCTCTTTTTGTGGTATCGGCAAGTGGATATTTTTAGCCCTTTGCGGACTGTGGTGGAAAAGGAATTATCTTCAAATCAATTCTACACAGAAGCATTCAGACAAACTTCTTTGTGATGAGTGCATTGGTCACACAGAATTGAACCTTCCCTTTGATTGAGCAATTCTGAAACACTCTTTTGGAGGGTCTGCAAGTGGATATTTTAGAGCTTTGGGACAACTGTGGAAAAGTAAATATCTTCACATAAAAACTACACGGAAGCATTCTGAGAAACTTCTTTGGAGGTGTGCATTCAACTCACAGAGTTGAACCTATCTTTTCATTGAGCAGTTTTGAATCTCTCATTTTGTAGACTCTGCTCGCAGATATTTGGAGAGCTTTGAGGCCTATTGTGGAAAAGGAAATATCTTCACATAAAAACACACAGAAGCACTCTGAGAAACTTCTTTGTGAGGTGTGCTTTCAACTCACAGAGTTGAACCTATCTTTTGATTGAGAAGTTTTGAATCTCTCTTTTTGTAGAAGCTGCATGTGGATATTTGGAGACGTTTGTGGCCTATGGTAGAAAAGGAAATATCTTCAAATAAAAACTAGACAGACGCATTTTGAGAAAATTCTCTGTGCTGTGTGCATTCATATCACATGGTTGAAACTACCTTTGGATTGAGCAGTTTTGAATCTCACTTTTTGTACCATCTGCAATGGATATTTGGAGCCCTTTCTGGTCTGTGGTGGAAAAGGAACTATCCTCAAATAGAAACTACACAGAAGTACTCTGAGAAACTACTTTGTGATGTGGGCATTCATCTCACAGAGTTGAACCTTTGGTTTGATTGAGCAGTTTTGAGACAATCTTTCCATAGAATCTGGAAGTGAATATTTGGAGAACTTTGAGATCCATTTTGGAGAAGGAGATATCTTTATATGAAAACTACACAGAAGCATTCTGAGAAACATCCTTGTGAGGTGTGCACTGAAGTCACAGAGTTGAAACTGTCTTTTGATTCAGCAGTTTTGAATCTCTCTTTTTGCAGAATCTGTGAGTGGATATTTGGAGCGCTTTGAGGCCTACTGTGGAAAACCAAATATCTTCACATAAAAACTACACAGAAGCATCCTGAGAAACTTTTTTTGTGATGTGGTCTTTCAGCTAATGGAGTAGAAACTATCTTTTGATTGAGCAGTTTTGAGTCTCTCTTTTTGCAGGATCTACGAGTGGATAATTGGAGAACTTTGAGGCGTACTGTGGAAAATCGAATATCTTCGCATAAAAACTACACAGAAGCATTCTGAGAAACTTCTCTGTCATACGTACATTCATCTCACAGGGTTGATCCTATTTCATGATTGAGCAGTTTTGGAACACTCTTTTTGTAGAATCTGCAAGTGAATATTTGGAGCTCTTTGGGGCCTACTGTGGAAAAACAAATATCTTCACATAAAAACTACACAGAAGCATTCTGAGAAACTACTTTGTGATGTGTGCATTCATCCCACAGAGTAGAACCTTTCTTTTGATTGAGCAGTTTCGAAACACTCTTTTGGTGGAATCTGCAAGTGGACATTTGGAAAGCTTTGAGGCCTATTGTGGAAAGGGAAATATCTTCAAATAAAAACCACCCAGAAGTACTCTGTGAAACTTCTTTGCGATGTATGCATTCAACTCACAGTGTTGAACCTAAGTTTTGATTGAGCAGTTTGGAATCTCTCTTTCTGTAGAATCTGCAAGTGAATATTTGGAGCCCTATTTCGCCCTATACTGGAAAAGCAATTATCTTCAAATAAAAACTGCACAGAAGCATTCAGAGAAACTTCTTTGACATGAATGCATTCATGACACAGAGTTGAAACTTTGTTTTGATTTAGGAGTTTTGAGACAATCTTTCCGTAGAATCTTGAAGTGAATATTTGGAGGGCTTGGAGTTCTGTTTTAGAGAAGGAGATATCTTCATCAAAAACTACACAGAAGCTTTCTGAGAAACTTCTTTGTGATGTGTGCATTCAACTATCGGAGTTGAACCTATCTTATGATTGAGCAGTTTGGAAACACTCTTTGTAGAGTCTGCAAGTGGATATTTACAGAGATTTGAGGCCTATTGTGGAAAAGGAAGTATCTTCACATAAAAACCACACAGAAGCACTCTGAAAAACATCTTTGGGATGTGTGCATTCAACTAACCGTGTTGAAACAATGTTTTGATTGAGCAGCTTAGAATCTCTCTTTTTGTAGGAAATGCAAGTGGATATTTGGAGCCCCATTTCGCCCTATGGTGGAAAACGAAACATACTCACAAAAAAGCTGCAGAGAAGCATTCTGAGAAACTTCTTTGCGATGTTGGCATTCAACTCACAGAGTCGAATCTATCTTTTGATAGAGCAGTTTTGTATCTCTCTTTTTGCAGAATCTGCAAGTGGATATTTGGAAAGCTTTGAGGCCTATTGTGGAAAGGGAAATATCCTCAAATAAAAACTACCCAGAAGCACTCTGTGAAACTTCTTTGTGATGTGTGCATTCAACTCACAGTGTTGAACCTATGTTTTGATTGAGCAGTTTGGAATCTCTCCTTTTGTAGAATCTGCAAGTGAATATTTGGAGCCCTATTTCGCCCTATACTGGAAAAGCAAATATCTTCAAATAAAAACTACACAGAGGCATTCAGAGAAACTTCTCTGTGATGAGTGCATTCATCACACAGAGTTGAACATTTGTTTAGATTTAGCAGTGTTGAGACAATCTTTCCGTAGAATCTTGAAGTGAATATTTGGAGGGCTTTGAGACCTGCTTTGGAGAAGGAGATATCTTCATATAAAAACTACACAGAAGCTTTCTGAGAAACACCCTTGTGAGGTGTGCATTGAAGTCACAGAGTTAAACCTATCTTTTGATTCAGCAGATTTGAATCTCTCTTTTTGCAGAATCTGCGAGTGGATATTTGGAGTGCTTGGAAGCCTGCTGTGGAAAATCAAATATCTTCACAAAAAAAACTACACAGAAGCATTCTGAGAAACTTCTTTGTGATGTGTGCATTGATCTCACAGAGTTGAAAGTTTATTTTGATTGAGCTGTTTTGAAACACTCTTTTTCTAGAATCTGCAAGTGGATAATTGGGGAGATTTGAGGCATATTGTGGAAAAGCAAATATCTTCATATAGAAACTATACAGAAACCTTCTGAGAAACATCTTTGTGATGTGTGCATTCAGCTCACAGAGCTGGACCTAACTTTTGAGTGACCAGTTTTGAATCTCTCTTTTTGTACAATATGCAAGTGGATATTTGGAGCGATTTGAGGCCTACATTTGAAAATCAAATATCTTCCCCTTAAAAACTACACAGAAACATTCTCAGAAATTGTTTGTCATGTGTGCTTTCCAATTACCAAGTTGAACCTATCTTGTGATTGAGCAGTTTTGAATCTCTCTTTTTGTGGAATCGGCAAGTGGATATTTTTAGCCCTTTGCGGACTGTGGTGGAAAAGGAATTATCTTCAAATCAATTCTACACAGAAGCATTCAGACAAACTTCTTTGTGATGAGTGCATTGGTCACACAGAATTGAACCTTCCCTTTGATTGAGCAATTATGAAACACTCTTTTGGAGGGTCTGCAAGTGGATATTTTAGAGCTTTGGGACAACTGTGGAAAAGTAAATATCTTCACATAAAAACTACACGGAAGCATTCTGAGAAACTTCTTTGGAGGTGTGCATTCAACTCACAGAGTTGAACCTATCTTTTCATTGAGCAGTTTTGAATCTCTCATTTTGTAGACTCTGCTCGCAGATATTTGGAGAGCTTTGAGGCCTATTGTGGAAAAGGAAATATCTTCACATAAAAACACACAGAAGCACTCTGAGAAACTTCTTTGTGAGGTGTGCTTTCAACTCACAGAGTTGAACCTATCTTTTGATTGAGAAGTTTTGAATCTCTCTTTTTGTAGAAGCTGCATGTGGATATTTGGAGACGTTTGTGGCCTATGGTAGAAAAGAAAATATCTTCAAATAAAAACTAGACAGACGCATTTTGAGAAAATTCTCTGTGCTGTGTGCATTCATATCACATGGTTGAAACTACCTTTGGATTGAGCAGTTTTGAATCTCACTTTTTGTACCATCTGCAATGGATATTTGGAGCCCTTTCTGGTCCTGTGGTGGAAAAGGAACTATCCTCAAATAGAAACTACACAGAAGTACTCTGAGAAACTTCTTTGTGATGTGTGCATTCATCTCACAGAGTTGAACCTTTGGTTTGATTGAGCAGTTTTGAGACAGTCTTTCCATAGAATCTGGAAGTGAATATTTGGAGAACTTTGAGATCCATTTTGGAGAAGGAGATATCTTTATATAAAAACTACACAGAAGCATTCTGAGAAACATCCTTGTGAGGTGTGCACTGAAGTCACAGAGTTGAAACTGTCTTTTGATTCAGCAGTTTTGAATCTCTCTTTTTGCAGAATCTGTGAGTGGATATTTGGAGCGCTTTGAGGCCTACTGTGGAAAACCAAATATCTTCACATAAAAACTACACAGAAGCATCCTGAGAAACTTTTTTTGTGATGTGGTCTTTCAGCTAATGGAGTAGAAACTATCTTTTGATTGAGCAGTTTTGAATCTCTCTTTTTGCAGGATCTACGAGTGGATAATTGGAGAACTTTGAGGCGTACTGTGGAAAATCGAATATCTTCGCATAAAAACTACACAGAAGCATTCTGAGAAACTTCTCTGTCATACGTACATTCATCTCACAGGGTTGATCCTATTTCATGATTGAGCAGTTTTGGAACACTCTTTTTGTAGAATCTGCAAGTGAATATTTGGAGCTCTTTGGGGCCTACTGTGGAAAAACAAATATCTTCACATAAAAACTACACAGAAGCATTCTGAGAAACTACTTTGTGATGTGTGCATTCATCCCACAGAGTAGAACTTTTCTTTTGATTGAGCAGTTTCGAAACACTCTTTTGGTGGAATCTGCAAGTGGACATTTGGAAAGCTTTGAGGCCTATTGTGGAAAGGGAAATATCTTCAAATAGAAACCACCCAGAAGTACTCTGTGAAACTTCTTTGCGATGTATGCATTCAACTCACAGTGTTGAACCTATGTTTTGATTGAGCAGTTTGGAATCTCTCTTTCTGTAGAATCTGCAAGTGAATATTTGGAGCCCTATTTCGCCCTATACTGGAAAAGCAATTATCTTCAAATAAAAACTGCACAGAAGCACTCAGAGAAACTTCTTTGTGATGAATGCATTCATCACACAGAGTTGAACCTTTGTTTTGATTTAGCAGTTTGAGACAATCTTTCCGTAGAATCTTGAAGTGAATATTTGGAGGGCTTGGAGTTCTGTTTTAGAGAAGAAGATATCTTCATCAAAAACTACACAGAAGCTTTCCGAGAAACTTCTTTGTGATGTGTGCATTCAACTATCGGAGTTGAACCTATCTTATGATTGAGGAGTTTGGAAACACTCTTTGTAGAGTCTGCAAGTGGATATTTACAGAGATTTGAGGCCTATTGTGGAAAAGGAAGTATCTTCACATAAAAACCACACAGAAGCACTCTGAAAAACATCTTTGGGATGTGTGCATTCAACTAACCGTGTTGAAACAATGTTTTGATTGAGCAGCTTAGAATCTCTCTTTTTGTAGGAAATGCAAGTGGATATTTGGAGCCCCATTTCGCCCTATGGTGGAAAACGAAACATACTCACAAAAAAGCTGCAGAGAAGCATTCTGAGAAACTTCTTTGCGATGTTGGCATTCAACTCACAGAGTCGAATCTATCTTTTGATAGAGCAGTTTTGTATCTCTCTTTTTGCAGAATCTGCAAGTGGATATTTGGAAAGCTTTGAGGCCTATTGTGGAAAGGGAAATATCCTCAAATAAAAACTACCCAGAAGCACTCTGTGAAACTTCTTTGTGATGTGTGCATTCAACTCACAGTGTTGAACCTATGTTTTGATTGAGCAGTTTGGAATCTCTCCTTTTGTAGAATCTGCAAGTGAATATTTGGAGCCCTATTTCGCCCTATACTGGAAAAGCAAATATCTTCAAATAAAAACTACACAGAGGCATTCAGAGAAACTTCTCTGTGATGAGTGCATTCATCACACAGAGTTGAACATTTGTTTAGATTTAGCAGTGTTGAGACAATCTTTCCGTAGAATCTTGAAGTGAATATTTGGAGGGCTTTGAGACCTGCTTTGGAGAAGGAGATATCTTCATATAAAAACTACACAGAAGCTTTCTGAGAAACACCCTTGTGAGGTGTGCATTGAAGTCACAGAGTTAAACCTATCTTTTGATTCAGCAGATTTGAATCTCTCTTTTTGCAGAATCTGCGAGTGGATATTTGGAGTGCTTGGAAGCCTGCTGTGGAAAATCAAATATCTTCACAAAAAAAACTACACAGAAGCATTCTGAGAAACTTCTTTGTGATGTGTGCATTGATCTCACAGAGTTGAAAGTTTATTTTGATTGAGCTGTTTTGAAACACTCTTTTTCTAGAATCTGCAAGTGGATAATTGGGGAGATTTGAGGCATATTGTGGAAAAGCAAATATCTTCATATAAAAACTATACAGAAACCTTCTGAGAAACATCTTTGTGATGTGTGCATTCAGCTCACAGAGCTGGACCTAACTTTTGAGTGACCAGTTTTGAATCTCTCTTTTTGTACAATATGCAAGTGGATATTTGGAGCGATTTGAGGCCTACATTTGAAAATCAAATATCTTCCCTTAAAAACTACACAGAAACATTCTCAGAAATTGTTTGTCATGTGTGCTTTCCAATTACCAAGTTGAACCTATCTTGTGATTGAACAGTTTTGAATCTCTCTTTTTGTGGAATCGGCAAGTGGATATTTTTAGCCCTTTGCGGACTGTGGTGGAAAAGGAATTATCTTCAAATCAATTCTACACAGAAGCATTCAGACAAACTTCTTTGTGATGAGTGCATTGGTCACACAGAATTGAACCTTCCCTTTGATTGAGCAATTCTGAAACACTCTTTTGGAGGGTCTGCAAGTGGACATTTTAGAGCTTTGGGACAACTGTGGAAAAGTAAATATCTTCACATAAAAACTACACGGAAGCATTCTGAGAAACTTCTTTGGAGGTGTGCATTCAACTCACAGAGTTGAACCTATCTTTTCATTGAGCAGTTTTGAATCTCTCATTTTGTAGACTCTGCTCGCAGATATTTGGAGAGCTTTGAGGCCTATTGTGGAAAAGGAAATATCTTCACATAAAAACACACAGAAGCACTCTGAGAAACTTCTCTGTGAGGTGTGCTTTCAACTCACAGAGTTGAACCTATCTTTTGATTGAGAAGTTTTGAATCTCTCTTTTTGTAGAAGCTGCATGTGGATATTTGGAGACGTTTGTGGCCTATGGTAGAAAAGGAAATATCTTCAAATAAAAACTAGACAGACGCATTTTGAGAAAATTCTCTGTGCTGTGTGCATTCATATCACATGGTTGAAACTACCTTTGGATTGAGCAGTTTTGAATCTCACTTTTTGTACCATCTGCAATGGATATTTGGAGCCCTTTCTGGTCTGTGGTGGAAAAGGAACTATCCTCAAATAGAAACTACACAGAAGTACTCTGAGAAACTTCTTTGTGATGTGGGCATTCATCTCACAGAGTTGAACCTTTGGTTTGATTGAGCAGTTTTGAGACAATCTTTCCATAGAATCTGGAAGTGAATATCTGGAGAACTTTGAGATCCATTTTGGAGAAGGAGATATCTTTATATAAAAACTCCACAGAAGCATTCTGAGAAACATCCTTGTGAGGTGTGCACTGAAGTCACAGAGTTGAAACTGTCTTTTGATTCAGCAGTTTTGAATCTCTCTTTTTGCAGAATCTGTGAGTGGATATTTGGAGCGCTTTGAGGCCTACTGTGGAAAACCAAATATCTTCACATAAAAACTACACAGAAGCATCCTGAGAAACTTTTTTTGTGATGTGGTCTTTCAGCTAATGGAGTAGAAACTATCTTTTGATTGAGCAGTTTTGAATCTCTCTTTTTGCAGAATCTACGAGTGGATAATTGGAGAACTTTGAGGCGTACTGTGGAAAGTCGAATATCTTCGCATAAAAACTACACAGAAGCATTCTGAGAAACTTCTCTGTCATACGTACATTCATCTCACAGGGTTGATCCTATTTCATGATTGAGCAGTTTCGGAACACTCTTTTTGTAGAATCTGCAAGTGAATATTTGGAGCTCCCTTGGGGCCTACTGTGGAAAAACAAATATCTTCACATAAAAACTACACAGAAGCATTCTGAGAAACTACTTTGTGATGTGTGCATTCATCCCACAGAGTAGAACCTTTCTTTTGATTGAGCAGTTTCGAAACACTCTTTTGGTGGAATCTGCAAGTGGACATTTGGAAAGCTTTGAGGCCTATTGTGGAAAGGGAAATATCTTCAAATAAAAACCACCCAGAAGTACTCTGTGAAACTTCTTTGCGATGTATGCATTCAACTCACAGTGTTGAACCTATGTTTTGATTGAGCAGTTTGGAATCTCTCTTTCTGTAGAATCTGCAAGTGAATATTTGGAGCCCTATTTCGCCCTATACTGGAAAAGCAATTATCTTCAAATAAAAACTGCACAGAAGCATTCAGAGAAAGTTCTTTGAGATGAATGCATTCATGACACAGAGTTGAAACTTTGTTTTGATTTAGGAGTTTTGAGACAATCTTTCCGTAGAATCTTGAAGTGAATATTTGGAGGGCTTGGAGTTCTGTTTTAGAGAAGAAGATATCTTCATCAAAAACTACACAGAAAGCTTTCTGAGAAACTTCTTTGTGATGTGTGCATTCAACTATCGGAGTTGAACCTATCTTATGATTGAGCAGTTTGGAAACACTCTTTGTAGAGTCTGCAAGTGGATATTTACAGAGATTTGAGGCCTATTGTGGAAAAGGAAGTATCTTCACATAAAAACCACACAGAAGCACTCTGAAAAACATCTTTGGGATGTGTGCATTCAACTAACCGTGTTGAAACAATGTTTTGATTGAGCAGCTTAGAATCTCTCTTTTTGTAGGAAATGCAAGTGGATATTTGGAGCCCCATTTCGCCCTATGGTGGAAAACGAAACATACTCACAAAAAAGCTGCAGAGAAGCATTCTGAGAAACTTCTTTGCGATGTTGGCATTCAACTCACAGAGTCGAATCTATCTTTTGATAGAGCAGTTTTGTATCTCTCTTTTTGCAGAATCTGCAAGTGGATATTTGGAAAGCTTTGAGGCCTATTGTGGAAAGGGAAATATCCTCAAATAAAAACTACCCAGAAGCACTCTGTGAAACTTCTTTGTGATGTGTGCATTCAACTCACAGTGTTGAACCTATGTTTTGATTGAGCAGTTTGGAATCTCTCCTTTTGTAGAATCTGCAAGTGAATATTTGGAGCCCTATTTCGCCCTATACTGGAAAAGCAAATATCTTCAAATAAAAACTACACAGAGGCATTCAGAGAAACTTCTCTGTGATGAGTGCATTCATCACACAGAGTTGAACATTTGTTTAGATTTAGCAGTGTTGAGACAATCTTTCCGTAGAATCTTGAAGTGAATATTTGGAGGGCTTTGAGACCTGCTTTGGAGAAGGAGATATCTTCATATAAAAACTACACAGAAGCTTTCTGAGAAACACCCTTGTGAGGTGTGCATTGAAGTCACAGAGTTAAACCTATCTTTTGATTCAGCAGATTTGAATCTCTCTTTTTGCAGAATCTGCGAGTGGATATTTGGAGTGCTTGGAAGCCTGCTGTGGAAAATCAAATATCTTCACAAAAAAAACTACACAGAAGCATTCTGAGAAACTTCTTTGTGATGTGTGCATTGATCTCACAGAGTTGAAAGTTTATTTTGATTGAGCTGTTTTGAAACACTCTTTTTCTAGAATCTGCAAGTGGATAATTGGGGAGATTTGAGGCATATTGTGGAAAAGCAAATATCTTCATATAGAAACTATACAGAAACCTTCTGAGAAACATCTTTGTGATGTGTGCATTCAGCTCACAGAGCTGGACCTAACTTTTGAGTGACCAGTTTTGAATCTCTCTTTTTGTACAATATGCAAGTGGATATTTGGAGCGATTTGAGGCCTACATTTGAAAATCAAATATCTTCCCTTAAAAACTACACAGAAACATTCTCAGAAATTGTTTGTCATGTGTGCTTTCCAATTACCAAGTTGAACCTATCTTGTGATTGAGCAGTTTTGAATCTCTCTTTTTGTGGAATCGGCAAGTGGATATTTTTAGCCCTTTGCGGACTGTGGTGGAAAAGGAATTATCTTCAAATCAATTACTACACAGAAGCATTCAGACAAACTTCTTTGTGATGAGTGCATTGGTCACACAGCAATTGAACCTTCCCTTTGATTGAGCAATTCTGAAACACTCTTTTGGAGGGTCTGCAAGTGGATATTTTAGAGCTTTGGGACAACTGTGGAAAAGTAAATATCTTCACATAAAAACTACACGGAAGCATTCTGAGAAACTTCTTTGGAGGTGTGCATTCAACTCACAGAGTTGAACCTATCTTTTCATTGAGCAGTTTTGAATCTCTCATTTTGTAGACTCTGCTCGCAGATATTTGGAGAGCTTTGAGGCCTATTGTGGAAAAGGAAATATCTTCACATAAAAACACACAGAAGCACTCTGAGAAACTTCTTTGTGAGGTGTGCTTTCAACTCACAGAGTTGAACCTATCTTTTGATTGAGAAGTTTTGAATCTCTCTTTTTGTAGAAGCTGCATGTGGATATTTGGAGACGTTTGTGGCCTATGGTAGAAAAGGAAATATCTTCAAATAAAAACTAGACAGACGCATTTTGAGAAAATTCTCTGTGCTGTGTGCATTCACATCACATGGTTGAAACTACCTTTGGATTGAGCAGTTTTGAATCTCACTTTTTGTACCATCTGCAATGGATATTTGGAGCCCTTTCTGGTCTGTGGTGGAAAAGGAACTATCCTCAAATAGAAACTACACAGAAGTACTCTGAGAAACTTCTTTGTGATGTGTGCATTCATCTCACAGAGTTGAACCTTTGGTTTGATTGAGCAGTTTTGAGACAATCTTTCCATAGAATCTGGAAGTGAATATTTGGAGAACTTTGAGATCCATTTTGGAGAAGGAGATATCTTTATATAAAAACTACACAGAAGCATTCTGAGAAACATCCTTGTGAGGTGTGCACTGAAGTCACAGAGTTGAAACTGTCTTTTGATTCAGCAGTTTTGAATCTCTCTTTTTGCAGAATCTGTGAGTGGATATTTGGAGCGCTTTGAGGCCTACTGTGGAAAACCAAATATCTTCACATAAAAACTACACAGAAGCATCCTGAGAAACTTTTTTTGTGATGTGGTCTTTCAGCTAAATGGAGTAGAAACTATCTTTTGATTGAGCAGTTTTGAATCTCTCTTTTTGCAGAATCTACGAGTGGATAATTGGAGAACTTTGAGGCGTACTGTGGAAAATCGAATATCTTCGCATAAAAACTACACAGAAGCATTCTGAGAAACTTCTCTGTCATACGTACATTCATCTCACAGAGTTGATCCTATTTCATGATTGAGCAGTTTTGGAACACTCTTTTTGTAGAATCTGCAAGTGAATATTTGGAGCTCTTTGGGGCCTACTGTGGAAAAACAAATATCTTCACATAAAAACTACACAGAAGCATTCTGAGAAACTACTTTGTGATGTGTGCATTCATCCCACAGAGTAGAACCTTTCTTTTGATTGAGCAGTTTCGAAACACTCTTTTGGTGGAATCTGCAAGTGGACATTTGGAAAGCTTTGAGGCCTATTGTGGAAAGGGAAATATCTTCAAATAAAAACCACCCAGAAGTACTCTGTGAAACTTCTTTGCGATGTATGCATTCAACTCACAGTGTTGAACCTATGTTTTGATTGAGCAGTTTGGAATCTCTCTTTCTGTAGAATCTGCAAGTGAATATTTGGAGCCCTATTTCGCCCTATACTGGAAAAGCAATTATCTTCAAATAAAAACTGCACAGAAGCATTCAGAGAAACTTCTTTGAGATGAATGCATTCATGACACAGAGTTGAAACTTTGTTTTGATTTAGGAGTTTTGAGACAATCTTTCCGTAGAATCTTGAAGTGAATATTTGGAGGGCTTGGAGTTCTGTTTTAGAGAAGGAGATATCTTCATCAAAAACTCACAGAAGCTTTCCGAGAAACTGTCTTTGTGATGTGTGCATTCAACTATCGGAGTTGAACCTATCTTATGATTGAGGAGTTTGGAAACACTCTTTGTAGAGTCTGCAAGTGGATATTTAAAGAGATTTGAGGCCTATTGTGGAAAAGGAAGTATCTTCACATAAAAACCACACAGAAGCACTCTGAAAAACATCTTTGGGATGTGTGCATTCAACTAACCGTGTTGAAACAATGTTTTGATTGAGCAGCTTAGAATCTCTCTTTTTGTAGGAAATGCAAGTGGATATTTGGAGCCCCATTTCGCCCTATGGTGGAAAACGAAACATACTCACAAAAAAGCTGCAGAGAAGCATTCTGAGAAACTTCTTTGCGATGTTGGCATTCAACTCACAGAGTCGAATCTATCTTTTGATAGAGCAGTTTTGTATCTCTCTTTTTGCAGAATCTGCAAGTGGATATTTGGAAAGCTTTGAGGCCTATTGTGGAAAGGGAAATATCCTCAAATAAAAACTACCCAGAAGCACTCTGTGAAACTTCTTTGTGATGTGTGCATTCAACTCACAGTGTTGAACCTATGTTTTGATTGAGCAGTTTGGAATCTCTCCTTTTGTAGAATCTGCAAGTGAATATTTGGAGCCCTATTTCGCCCTATACTGGAAAAGCAAATATCTTCAAATAAAAACTACACAGAGGCATTCAGAGAAACTTCTCTGTGATGAGTGCATTCATCACACAGAGTTGAACATTTGTTTAGATTTAGCAGTGTTGAGACAATCTTTCCGTAGAATCTTGAAGTGAATATTTGGAGGGCTTTGAGACCTGCTTTGGAGAAGGAGATATCTTCATATAAAAACTACACAGAAGCTTTCTGAGAAACACCCTTGTGAGGTGTGCATTGAAGTCACAGAGTTAAACCTATCTTTTGATTCAGCAGATTTGAATCTCTCTTTTTGCAGAATCTGCGAGTGGATATTTGGAGTGCTTGGAAGCCTGCTGTGGAAAATCAAATATCTTCACAAAAAAAACTACACAGAAGCATTCTGAGAAACTTCTTTGTGATGTGTGCATTGATCTCACAGAGTTGAAAGTTTATTTGGATTGAGCTGTTTTGAAACACTCTTTTTCTAGAATCTGCAAGTGGATAATTGGGGAGATTTGAGGCATATTGTGGAAAAGCAAATATCTTCATATAGAAACTATACAGAAAACCTTCTGAGAAACATCTTTGTGATGTGTGCATTCAGCTCACAGAGCTGGACCTAACTTTTGAGTGACCAGTTTTGAATCTCTCTTTTTGTACAATATGCAAGTGGATATTTGGAGCGATTTGAGGCCTACATTTGAAAATCAAATATCTTCCCTTAAAAACTACACAGAAACATTCTCAGAAATTGTTTGTCATGTGTGCTTTCCAATTACCAAGTTGAACCTATCTTGTGATTGAGCAGTTTTGAATCTCTCTTTTTGTGGAATCGGCAAGTGGATATTTTTAGCCCTTTGCGGACTGTGGTGGAAAAGGAATTATCTTCAAATCAATTCTACACAGAAGCATTCAGACAAACTTCTTTGTGATGAGTGCATTGGTCACACAGAATTGAACCTTCCCTTTGATTGAGCAATTCTGAAACACTCTTTTGGAGGGTCTGCAAGTGGATATTTTAGAGCTTTGGGACAACTGTGGAAAAGTAAATATCTTCACATAAAAACTGCACGGAAGCATTCTGAGAAACTTCTTTGGAGGTGTGCATTCAACTCACAGAGTTGAACCTATCTTTTCATTGAGCAGTTTTGAATCTCTCATTTTGTAGACTCTGCTCGCAGATATTTGGAGAGCTTTGAGGCCTATTGTGGAAAAGGAAATATCTTCACATAAAAACACACAGAAGCACTCTGAGAAACTTCTTTGTGAGGTGTGCTTTCAACTCACAGAGTTGAACCTATCTTTTGATTGAGAAGTTTTGAATCTCTCTTTTTGTAGAAGCTGCATGTGGATATTTGGAGACGTTTGTGGCCTATGGTAGAAAAGGAAATATCTTCAAATAAAAACTAGACAGACGCATTTTGAGAAAATTCTCTGTGCTGTGTGCATTCATATCACATGGTTGAAACTACCTTTGGATTGAGCAGTTTTGAATCTCACTTTTTGTACCATCTGCAATGGATATTTGGAGCCCTTTCTGGTCTGTGGTGGAAAAGGAACTATCCTCAAATAGAAACTACACAGAAGTACTCTGAGAAACTTCTTTGTGATGTGGGCATTCATCTCACAGAGTTGAACCTTTGGTTTGATTGAGCAGTTTTGAGACAATCTTTCCATAGAATCTGGAAGTGAATATTTGGAGAACTTTGAGATCCATTTTGGAGAAGAGATATCTTTATATAAAAACTACACAGAAGCATTCTGAGAAACATCCTTGTGAGGTGTGCACTGAAGTCACAGTGTTGAAACTGTCTTTTGATTCAGCAGTTTTGAATCTCTCTTTTTGCAGAATCTGTGAGTGGATATTTGGAGCGCTTTGAGGCCTACTGTGGAAAACCAAATATCTTCACATAAAAACTACACAGAAGCATCCTGAGAAACTTTTTTTGTGATGTGGTCTTTCAGCTAATGGAGTAGAAACTATCTTTTGATTGAGCAGTTTTGAGTCTCTCTTTTTGCAGGATCTACGAGTGGATAATTGGAGAACTTTGAGGCGTACTGTGGAAAATCGAATATCTTCGCATAAAAACTACACAGAAGCATTCTGAGAAACTTCTCTGTCATACGTACATTCATCTCACAGGGTTGATCCTATTTCATGATTGAGCAGTTTTGGAACACTCTTTTTGTAGAATCTGCAAGTGAATATTTGGAGCTCTTTGGGGCCTACTGTGGAAAAACAAATATCTTCACATAAAAACTACACAGAAGCATTCTGGGAAACTACTTTGTGATGTGTGCATTCATCCCACAGAGTAGAACCTTTCTTTTGATTGAGCAGTTTCGAAACACTCTTTTGGTGGAATCTGCAAGTGGACATTTGGAAAGCTTTGAGGCCTATTGTGGAAAGGGAAATATCTTCAAATAAAAACCACCCAGAAGTACTCTGTGAAACTTCTTTGCGATGTATGCATTCAACTCACAGTGTTGAACCTATGTTTTGATTGAGCAGTTTGGAATCTCTCTTTCTGTAGAATCTGCAAGTGAATATTTGGAGCCCTATTTCGCCCTATACTGGAAAAGCAATTATCTTCAAATAAAAACTGCACAGAAGCATTCAGAGAAACTTCTTTGAGATGAATGCATTCATGACACAGAGTTGAAACTTTGTTTTGATTTAGGAGTTTTGAGACAATCTTTCCGTAGAATCTTGAAGTGAATATTTGGAGGGCTTGGAGTTCTGTTTTAGAGAAGAAGATATCTTCATCAAAAACTACACAGAAGCTTTCTGAGAAACTTCTTTGTGATGTGTGCATTCAACTATCGGAGTTGAACCTATCTTATGATTGAGCAGTTTGGAAACACTCTTTGTAGAGTCTGCAAGTGGATATTTACAGAGATTTGAGGCCTATTGTGGAAAAGGAAGTATCTTCACATAAAAACCACACAGAAGCACTCTGAAAAACATCTTTGGGATGTGTGCATTCAACTAACCGTGTTGAAACAATGTTTTGATTGAGCAGCTTAGAATCTCTCTTTTTGTAGGAAATGCAAGTGGATATTTGGAGCCCCATTTCGCCCTATGGTGGAAAACGAAACATACTCACAAAAAAGCTGCAGAGAAGCATTCTGAGAAACTTCTTTGCGATGTTGGCATTCAACTCACAGAGTCGAATCTATCTTTTGATAGAGCAGTTTTGTATCTCTCTTTTTGCAGAATCTGCAAGTGGATATTTGGAAAGCTTTGAGGCCTATTGTGGAAAGGGAAATATCCTCAAATAAAAACTACCCAGAAGCACTCTGTGAAACTTCTTTGTGATGTGTGCATTCAACTCACAGTGTTGAACCTATGTTTTGATTGAGCAGTTTGGAATCTCTCCTTTTGTAGAATCTGCAAGTGAATATTTGGAGCCCTATTTCGCCCTATACTGGAAAAGCAAATATCTTCAAATAAAAACTACACAGAGGCATTCAGAGAAACTTCTCTGTGATGAGTGCATTCATCACACAGAGTTGAACATTTGTTTAGATTTAGCAGTGTTGAGACAATCTTTCCGTAGAATCTTGAAGTGAATATTTGGAGGGCTTTGAGACCTGCTTTGGAGAAGGAGATATCTTCATATAAAAACTACACAGAAGCTTTCTGAGAAACACCCTTGTGAGGTGTGCATTGAAGTCACAGAGTTAAACCTATCTTTTGATTCAGCAGATTTGAATCTCTCTTTTTGCAGAATCTGCGAGTGGATATTTGGAGTGCTTGGAAGCCTGCTGTGGAAAATCAAATATCTTCACAAAAAAAACTACACAGAAGCATTCTGAGAAACTTCTTTGTGATGTGTGCATTGATCTCACAGAGTTGAAAGTTTATTTTGATTGAGCTGTTTTGAAACACTCTTTTTCTAGAATCTGCAAGTGGATAATTGGGGAGATTTGAGGCATATTGTGGAAAAGCAAATATCTTCATATAAAAACTATACAGAAACCTTCTGAGAAACATCTTTGTGATGTGTGCATTCAGCTCACAGAGCTGGACCTAACTTTTGAGTGACCAGTTTTGAATCTCTCTTTTTGTACAATATGCAAGTGGATATTTGGAGCGATTTGAGGCCTACATTTGAAAATCAAATATCTTCCCTTAAAAACTACACAGAAACATTCTCAGAAATTGTTTGTCATGTGTGCTTTCCAATTACCAAGTTGAACCTATCTTGTGATTGAGCAGTTTTGAATCTCTCTTTTTGTGGAATCGGCAAGTGGATATTTTTAGCCCTTTGCGGACTGTGGTGGAAAAGGAATTATCTTCAAATCAATTCTACACAGAAGCATTCAGACAAACTTCTTTGTGATGAGTGCATTGGTCACACAGAATTGAAACTTCCCTTTGATTGAGCAATTCTGAAACACTCTTTTGGAGGGTCTGCAAGTGGATATTTTAGAGCTTTGGGACAACTGTGGAAAAGTAAATATCTTCACATAAAAACTACACGGAAGCATTCTGAGAAACTTCTTTGGAGGTGTGCATTCAACTCACAGAGTTGAACCTATCTTTTCATTGAGCAGTTTTGAATCTCTCATTTTGTAGACTCTGCTCGCAGATATTTGGAGAGCTTTGAGGCCTATTGTGGAAAAGGAAATATCTTCACATAAAAACACACAGAAGCACTCTGAGAAACTTCTTTGTGAGGTGTGCTTTCAACTCACAGAGTTGAACCTATCTTTTGATTGAGAAGTTTTGAATCTCTCTTTTTGTAGAAGCTGCATGTGGATATTTGGAGACGTTTGTGGCCTATGGTAGAAAAGGAAATATCTTCAAATAAAAACTAGACAGACGCATTTTGAGAAAATTCTCTGTGCTGTGTGCATTCATATCACATGGTTGAAACTACCTTTGGATTGAGCAGTTTTGAATCTCACTTTTTGTACCATCTGCAATGGATATTTGGAGCCCTTTCTGGTCTGTGGTGGAAAAGGAACTATCCTCAAATAGAAACTACACAGAAGTACTCTGAGAAACTTCTTTGTGATGTGGGCATTCATCTCACAGAGTTGAACCTTTGGTTTGATTGAGCAGTTTTGAGACAATCTTTCCATAGAATCTGGAAGTGAATATTTGGAGAACTTTGAGATCCATTTTGGAGAAGGAGATACCTTTATATAAAAACTACAGAGAAGCATTCTGAGAAACATCCTTGTGAGGTGTGCACTGAAGTCACAGAGTTGAAACTGTCTTTTGATTCAGCAGTTTTGAATCTCTCTTTTTGCAGAATCTGTGAGTGGATATTTGGAGCGCTTTGAGGCCTACTGTGGAAAACCAAATATCTTCACATAAAAACTACACAGAAGCATCCTGAGAAACTTTTTTTGTGATGTGGTCTTTCAGCTAATGGAGTAGAAACTATCTTTTGATTGAGCAGTTTTGAATCTCTCTTTTTGCAGAATCTACGAGTGGATAATTGGAGAACTTTGAGGCGTACTGTGGAAAATCGAATATCTTCGCATAAAAACTACACAGAAGCATTCTGAGAAACTTCTCTGTCATACGTACATTCATCTCACAGGGTTGATCCTATTTCATGATTGAGCAGTTTTGGAACACTCTTTTTGTAGAATCTGCAAGTGAATATTTGGAGCTCTTTGGGGCCTACTGTGGAAAAACAAATATCTTCACATAAAAACTACACAGAAGCATTCTGAGAAACTACTTTGTGATGTGTGCATTCATCCCACAGAGTAGAACCTTTCTTTTGATTGAGCAGTTTCGAAACACTCTTTTGGTGGAATCTGCAAGTGGACATTTGGAAAGCTTTGAGGCCTATTGTGGAAAGGGAAATATCTTCAAATAAAAACCACCCAGAAGTACTCTGTGAAACTTCTTTGCGATGTATGCATTCAACTCACAGTGTTGAACCTATGTTTTGATTGAGCAGTTTGGAATCTCTCTTTCTGTAGAATCTGCAAGTGAATATTTGGAGCCCTATTTCGCCCTATACTGGAAAGGCAATTATCTTCAAATAAAAACTGCACAGAAGCATTCAGAGAAACTTCTTTGAGATGAATGCATTCATGACACAGAGTTGAAACTTTGTATTGATTTAGGAGTTTTGAGACAATCTTTCCGTAGAATCTTGAAGTGAATATTTGGAGGGCTTGGAGTTCTGTTTTAGAGAAGGAGATATCTTCATCAAAAACTACACAGAAGCTTTCTGAGAAACTTCTTTGTGATGTGTGCATTCAACTATCGGAGTTGAACCTATCTTATGATTGAGCAGTTTGGAAACACTCTTTGTAGAGTCTGCAAGTGGATATTTACAGAGATTTGAGGCCTATTGTGGAAAAGGAAGTATCTTCACATAAAAACCACACAGAAGCACTCTGAAAAACATCTTTGGGATGTGTGCATTCAACTAACCGTGTTGAAACAATGTTTTGATTGAGCAGCTTAGAATCTCTCTTTTTGTAGGAAATGCAAGTGGATATTTGGAGCCCCATTTCGCCCTATGGTGGAAAACGAAACATACTCACAAAAAAGCTGCAGAGAAGCATTCTGAGAAACTTCTTTGCGATGTTGGCATTCAACTCACAGAGTCGAATCTATCTTTTGATAGAGCAGTTTTGTATCTCTCTTTTTGCAGAATCTGCAAGTGGATATTTGGAAAGCTTTGAGGCCTATTGTGGAAAGGGAAATATCCTCAAATAAAAACTACCCAGAAGCACCCTGTGAAACTTCTTTGTGATGTGTGCATTCAACTCACAGTGTTGAACCTATGTTTTGATTGAGCAGTTTGGAATCTCTCCTTTTGTAGAATCTGCAAGTGAATATTTGGAGCCCTATTTCGCCCTATACTGGAAAAGCAAATATCTTCAAATAAAAACTACACAGAGGCATTCAGAGAAACTTCTCTGTGATGAGTGCATTCATCACACAGAGTTGAACATTTGTTTAGATTTAGCAGTGTTGAGACAATCTTTCCGTAGAATCTTGAAGTGAATATTTGGAGGGCTTTGAGACCTGCTTTGGAGAAGGAGATATCTTCATATAAAAACTACACAGAAGCTTTCTGAGAAACACCCTTGTGAGGTGTGCATTGAAGTCACAGAGTTAAACCTATCTTTTGATTCAGCAGATTTGAATCTCTCTTTTTGCAGAATCTGCGAGTGGATATTTGGAGTGCTTGGAAGCCTGCTGTGGAAAATCAAATATCTTCACAAAAAAAACTACACAGAAGCATTCTGAGAAACTTCTTTGTGATGTGTGCATTGATCTCACAGAGTTGAAAGTTTATTTTGATTGAGCTGTTTTGAAACACTCTTTTTCTAGAATCTGCAAGTGGATAATTGGGGAGATTTGAGGCATATTGTGGAAAAGCAAATATCTTCATATAGAAACTATACAGAAACCTTCTGAGAAACATCTTTGTGATGTGTGCATTCAGCTCACAGAGCTGGACCTAACTTTTGAGTGACCAGTTTTGAATCTCTCTTTTTGTACAATATGCAAGTGGATATTTGGAGCGATTTGAGGCCTACATTTGAAAATCAAATATCTTCCCTTAAAACTACACAGAAACATTCTCAGCAAATTGTATGTCATGTGTGCTTTCCAATTACCAAGTTGAACCTATCTTGTGATTGAGCAGTTTTGAATCTCTCTTTTTGTGGAATCGGCAAGTGGATATTTTTAGCCCTTTGCGGACTGTGGTGGAAAAGGAATTATCTTCAAATCAATTCTACACAGAAGCATTCAGACAAACTTCTTTGTGATGAGTGCATTGGTCACACAGAATTGAACCTTCCCTTTGATTGAGCAATTCTGAAACACTCTTTTGGAGGGTCTGCAAGTGGATATTTTAGAGCTTTGGGACAACTGTGGAAAAGTAAATATCTTCACATAAAAACTACACGGAAGCATTCTGAGAAACTTCTTTGGAGGTGTGCATTCAACTCACAGAGTTGAACCTATCTTTTCATTGAGCAGTTTTGAATCTCTCATTTTGTAGACTCTGCTCGCAGATATTTGGAGAGCTTTGAGGCCTATTGTGGAAAAGGAAATATCTTCACATAAAAACACACAGAAGCACTCTGAGAAACTTCTTTGTGAGGTGTGCTTTCAACTCACAGAGTTGAACCTATCTTTTGATTGAGAAGTTTTGAATCTCTCTTTTTGTAGAAGCTGCATGTGGATATTTGGAGACGTTTGTGGCCTATGGTAGAAAAGGAAATATCTTCAAATAAAAACTAGACAGACGCATTTTGAGAAAATTCTCTGTGCTGTGTGCATTCATATCACATGGTTGAAACTACCTTTGGATTGAGCAGTTTTGAATCCCACTTTTTGTATCATCTGCAATGGATATTTGGAGCCCTTTCTGGTCTGTGGTGGAAAAGGAACTATCCTCAAATAGAAACTACACAGAAGTACTCTGAGAAACTTCTTTGTGATGTGGGCATTCATCTCACAGAGTTGAACCTTTGGTTTGATTGAGCAGTTTTGAGACAATCTTTCCATAGAATCTGGAAGTGAATATTTGGAGAACTTTGAGATCCATTATGGAGAAGGAGATATCTTTATATGAAAACTACACAGAAGCATTCTGAGAAACATCCTTGTGAGGTGTGCACTGAAGTCACAGAGTTGAAACTGTCTTTTGATTCAGCAGTTTTGAATCTCTCTTTTTGCAGAATCTGTGAGTGGATATTTGGAGCGCTTTGAGGCCTACTGTGGAAAACCAAATATCTTCACATAAAAACTACACAGAAGCATCCTGAGAAACTTTTTTTGTGATGTGGTCTTTCAGCTAATGGAGTAGAAACTATCTTTTGATTGAGCAGTTTTGAATCTCTCTTTTTGCAGAATCTACGAGTGGATAATTGGAGAACTTTGAGGCGTACTGTGGAAAATCGAATATCTTCGCATAAAAACTACACAGAAGCATTCTGAGAAACTTCTCTGTCATACGTACATTCATCTCACAGGGTTGATCCTATTTCATGATTGAGCAGTTTTGGAACACTCTTTTTGTAGAATCTGCAAGTGAATATTTGGAGCTCTTTGGGGCCTACTGTGGAAAAACAAATATCTTCACATAAAAACTACACAGAAGCATTCTGAGAAACTACTTTGTGATGTGTGCATTCATCCCACAGAGTAGAACCTTTCTTTTGATTGAGCAGTTTCGAAACACTCTTTTGGTGGAATCTGCAAGTGGACATTTGGAAAGCTTTGAGGCCTATTGTGGAAAGGGAAATATCTTCAAATAAAAACCACCCAGAAGTACTCTGTGAAACTTCTTTGCGATGTATGCATTCAACTCACAGTGTTGAACCTATGTTTTGATTGAGCAGTTTGGAATCTCTCTTTCTGTAGAATCTGCAAGTGAATATTTGGAGCCCTATTTCGCCCTATACTGGAAAAGCAATTATCTTCAAATAAAAACTGCACAGAAGCATTCAGAGAAACTTCTTTGAGATGAATGCGTTCATGACACAGAGTTGAAACTTTGTTTTGATTTAGGAGTTTTGAGACAATCTTTCCGTAGAATCTTGAAGTGAATATTTGGAGGGCTTGGAGTTCTGTTTTAGAGAAGGAGATATCTTCATCAAAAACTACACAGAAGCTTTCTGAGAAACTTCTTTGTGATGTGTGCATTCAACTATCGGAGTTGAACCTATCTTATGATTGAGCAGTTTGGAAACACTCTTTGTAGAGTCTGCAAGTGGATATTTACAGAGATTTGAGGCCTATTGTGGAAAAGGAAGTATCTTCACATAAAAACCACACAGAAGCACTCTGAAAAACATCTTTGGGATGTGTGCATTCAACTAACCGTGTTGAAACAATGTTTTGATTGAGCAGCTTAGAATCTCTCTTTTTGTAGGAAATGCAAGTGGATATTTGGAGCCCCATTTCGCCCTATGGTGGAAAACGAAACATACTCACAAAAAAGCTGCAGAGAAGCATTCTGAGAAACTTCTTTGCGATGTTGGCATTCAACTCACAGAGTCGAATCTATCTTTTGATAGAGCAGTTTTGTATCTCTCTTTTTGCAGAATCTGCAAGTGGATATTTGGAAAGCTTTGAGGCCTATTGTGGAAAGGGAAATATCCTCAAATAAAAACTACCCAGAAGCACTCTGTGAAACTTCTTTGTGATGTGTGCATTCAACTCACAGTGTTGAACCTACGTTTTGATTGAGCAGTTTGGAATCTCTCCTTTTGTAGAATCTGCAAGTGAATATTTGGAGCCCTATTTCGCCCTATACTGGAAAAGCAAATATCTTCAAATAAAAACTACACAGAAGCATTCAGAGAAACTTCTCTGTGATGAGTGCATTCATCACACAGAGTTGAACATTTGTTTAGATTTAGCAGTGTTGAGACAATCTTTCCGTAGAATCTTGAAGTGAATATTTGGAGGGCTTCGAGACCTGCTTTGGAGAAGGAGATATCTTCATATAAAAACTACACAGAAGCTTTCTGAGAAACACCCTTGTGAGGTGTGCATTGAAGTCACAGAGTTAAACCTATCTTTTGATTCAGCAGATTTGAATCTCTCTTTTTGCAGAATCTGCGAGTGGATATTTGGAGTGCTTGGAAGCCTGCTGTGGAAAATCAAATATCTTCACAAAAAAAACTACACAGAAGCATTCTGAGAAACTTCTTTGTGATGTGTGCATTGATCTCACAGAGTTGAAAGTTTATTTTGATTGAGCTGTTTTGAAACACTCTTTTTCTAGAATCTGCAAGTGGATAATTGGGGAGATTTGAGGCATATTGTGGAAAAGCCAATATCTTCATATAGAAACTATACAGAAACCTTCTGAGAAACATCTTTGTGATGTGTGCATTCAGCTCACAGAGCTGGACCTAACTTTTGAGTGACCAGTTTTGAATCTCTCTTTTTGTACAATATGCAAGTGGATATTTGGAGCGATTTGAGGCCTACATTTGAAAATCAAATATCTTCCCTTAAAAACTACACAGAAACATTCTCAGAAATTGTTTGTCATGTGTGCTTTCCAATTACCAAGTTGAACCTATCTTGTGATTGAGCAGTTTTGAATCTCTCTTTTTGTGGAATCGGCAAGTGGATATTTTTAGCCCTTTGCGGACTGTGGTGGAAAAGGAATTATCTTCAAATCAATTCTACACAGAAGCATTCAGACAAACTTCTTTGTGATGAGTGCATTGGTCACACAGAATTGAACCTTCCCTTTGATTGAGCAATTCTGAAACACTCTTTTGGAGGGTCTGCAAGTGGATATTTTAGAGCTTTGGGACAACTGTGGAAAAGTAAATATCTTCACATAAAAACTGCACGGAAGCATTCTGAGAAACTTCTTTGGAGGTGTGCATTCAACTCACAGAGTTGAACCTATCTTTTCATTGAGCAGTTTTGAATCTCTCATTTTGTAGACTCTGCTCGCAGATATTTGGAGAGCTTTGAGGCCTATTGTGGAAAAGGAAATATCTTCACATAAAAACACACAGAAGCACTCTGAGAAACTTCTTTGTGAGGTGTGCTTTCAACTCACAGAGTTGAACCTATCTTTTGATTGAGAAGTTTTGAATCTCTCTTTTTGTAGAAGCTGCATGTGGATATTTGGAGACGTTTGTGGCCTATGGTAGAAAAGGAAATATCTTCAAATAAAAACTAGACAGACGCATTTTGAGAAAATTCTCTGTGCTGTGTGCATTCATATCACATGGTTGAAACTACCTTTGGATTGAGCAGTTTTGAATCTCACTTTTTGTACCATCTGCAATGGATATTTGGAGCCCTTTCTGGTCTGTGGTGGAAAAGGAACTATCCTCAAATAGAAACTACACAGAAGTACTCTGAGAAACTTCTTTGTGATGTGGGCATTCATCTCACAGAGTTGAACCTTTGGTTTGATTGAGCAGTTTTGAGACAATCTTTCCATAGAATCTGGAAGTGAATATTTGGAGAACTTTGAGATCCATTTTGGAGAAGGAGATATCTTTATATGAAAACTACACAGAAGCATTCTGAGAAACATCCTTGTGAGGTGTGCACTGAAGTCACAGAGTTGAAACTGTCTTTTGATTCAGCAGTTTTGAATCTCTCTTTTTGCAGAATCTGTGAGTGGATATTTGGAGCGCTTTGAGGCCTACTGTGGAAAACCAAATATCTTCACATAAAAACTACACAGAAGCATCCTGAGAAACTTTTTTTGTGATGTGGTCTTTCAGCTAATGGAGTAGAAACTATCTTTTGATTGAGCAGTTTTGAATCTCTCTTTTTGCAGAATCTACGAGTGGATAATTGGAGAACTTTGAGGCGTACTGTGGAAAATCGAATATCTTCGCATAAAAACTACACAGAAGCATTCTGAGAAACTTCTCTGTCATACGTACATTCATCTCACAGGGTTGATCCTATTTCATGATTGAGCAGTTTTGGAACACTCTTTTTGTAGAATCTACAAGTGAATATTTGGAGCTCTTTGGGGCCTACTGTGGAAAAACAACTATCTTCACATAAAAACTACACAGAAGCATTCTGAGAAACTACTTTGTGATGTGTGCATTCATCCCACAGAGTAGAACCTTTCTTTTGATTGAGCAGTTTCGAAACACTCTTTTGGTGGAATCTGCAAGTGGACATTTGGAAAGCTTTGAGGCCTATTGTGGAAAGGGAAATATCTCCAAATAAAAACCACCCAGAAGTACTCTGTGAAACTTCTTTGCGATGTATGCATTCAACTCACAGTGTTGAACCTATGTTTTGATTGAGCAGTTTGGAATCTCTCTTTCTGTAGAATCTGCAAGTGAATATTTGGAGCCCTATTTCGCCCTATACTGGAAAAGCAATTATCTTCAAATAAAAACTGCACAGAAGCACTCAGAGAAACTTCTTTGTGATGAATGCATTCATCACACAGAGTTGAACCTTTGTTTTGATTTAGCAGTTTGAGACAATCTTTCCGTAGAATCTTGAAGTGAATATTTGGAGGGCTTGGAGTTCTGTTTTAGAGAAGAAGATATCTTCATCAAAAACTACACAGAAGCTTTCCGAGAAACTTCTTTGTGATGTGTGCATTCAACTATCGGAGTTGAACCTATCTTATGATTGAGCAGTTTGGAAACACTCTTTGTAGAGTCTGCAAGTGGATATTTACAGAGATTTGAGGCCTATTGTGGAAAAGGAAGTATCTTCACATAAAAACCACACAGAAGCACTCTGAAAAACATCTTTGGGATGTGTGCATTCAACTAACCGTGTTGAAACAATGTTTTGATTGAGCAGCTTAGAATCTCTCTTTTTGTAGGAAATGCAAGTGGATATTTGGAGCCCCATTTCGCCCTATGGTGGAAAACGAAACATACTCACAAAAAAGCTGCAGAGAAGCATTCTGAGAAACTTCTTTGCGATGTTGGCATTCAACTCACAGAGTCGAATCTATCTTTTGATAGAGCAGTGTTGTATCTCTCTTTTTGCAGAATCTGCAAGTGGATATTTGGAAAGCTTTGAGGCCTATTGTGGAAAGGGAAATATCCTCAAATAAAAACTACCCAGAAGCACTCTGTGAAACTTCTTTGTGATGTGTGCATTCAACTCACAGTGTTGAACCTATGTTTTGATTGAGCAGTTTGGAATCTCTCCTTTTGTAGAATCTGCAAGTGAATATTTGGAGCCCTATTTCGCCCTATACTGGAAAAGCAAATATCTTCAAATAAAAACTACACAGAGGCATTCAGAGAAACTTCTCTGTGATGAGTGCATTCATCACACAGAGTTGAACATTTGTTTAGATTTAGCAGTGTTGAGACAATCTTTCCGTAGAATCTTGAAGTGAATATTTGGAGGGCTTTGAGACCTGCTTTGGAGAAGGAGATATCTTCATATAAAAACTACACAGAAGCTTTCTGAGAAACACCCTTGTGAGGTGTGCATTGAAGTCACAGAGTTAAACCTATCTTTTGATTCAGCAGATTTGAATCTCTCTTTTTGCAGAATCTGCGAGTGGATATTTGGAGTGCTTGGAAGCCTGCTGTGGAAAATCAAATATCTTCACAAAAAAAACTACACAGAAGCATTCTGAGAAACTTCTTTGTGATGTGTGCATTGATCTCACAGAGTTGAAAGTTTATTTTGATTGAGCTGTTTTGAAACACTCTTTTTCTAGAATCTGCAAGTGGATAATTGGGGAGATTTGAGGCATATTGTGGAAAAGCAAATATCTTCATATAAAAACTATACAGAAACCTTCTGAGAAACATCTTTGTGATGTGTGCATTCAGCTCACAGAGCTGGACCTAACTTTCGAGTGACCAGTTTTGAATCTCTCTTTTCGTACAATATGCAAGTGGATATTTGGAGCGATTTGAGGCCTACATTTGAAAATCAAATATCTTCCCTTAAAAACTACACAGAAACATTCTCAGAAATTGTTTGTCATGTGTGCTTTCCAATTACCAAGTTGAACCTATCTTGTGATTGAGCAGTTTTGAATCTCTCTTTTTGTGGAATCGGCAAGTGGATATTTTTAGCCCTTTGCGGACTGTGGTGGAAAAGGAATTATCTTCAAATCAATTCTACACAGAAGCATTCAGACAAACTTCTTTGTGATGAGTGCATTGGTCACACAGAATTGAACCTTCCCTTTGATTGAGCAATTCTGAAACACTCTTTTGGAGGGTCTGCAAGTGGATATTTTAGAGCTTTGGGACAACTGTGGAAAAGTAAATATCTTCACATAAAAACTACACGGAAGCATTCTGAGAAACTTCTTTGGAGGTGTGCATTCAACTCACAGAGTTGAACCTATCTTTTCATTGAGCAGTTTTGAATCTCTCATTTTGTAGACTCTGCTCGCAGATATTTGGAGAGCTTTGAGGCCTATTGTGGAAAAGGAAATATCTTCACATAAAAACACACAGAAGCACTCTGAGAAACTTCTTTGTGAGGTGTGCTTTCAACTCACAGAGTTGAACCTATCTTTTGATTGAGAAGTTTTGAATCTCTCTTTTTGTAGAAGCTGCATGTGGATATTTGGAGACGTTTGTGGCCTATGGTAGAAAAGGAAATATCTTCAAATAAAAACTAGACAGACGCATTTTGAGAAAATTCTCTGTGCTGTGTGCATTCATATCACATGGTTGAAACTACCTTTGGATTGAGCAGTTTTGAATCTCATTTTTGTACCATCTGCAATGGATATTTGGAGCCCTTTCTGGTCTGTGGTGGAAAAGGAACTATCCTCAAATAGAAACTACACAGAAGTACTCTGAGAAACTTCTTTGTGATGTGGGCATTCATCTCACAGAGTTGAACCTTTGGTTTGATTGAGCAGTTTTGAGACAATCTTTCCATAGAATCTGGAAGTGAATATTTGGAGAACTTTGAGATCCATTTTGGAGAAGGAGATATCTTTATATGAAAACTACACAGAAGCATTCTGAGAAACATCCTTGTGAGGTGTGCACTGAAGTCACAGAGTTGAAACTGTCTTTTGATTCAGCAGTTTTGAATCTCTCTTTTTGCAGAATCTGTGAGTGGATATTTGGAGCGCTTTGAGGCCTACTGTGGAAAACCAAATATCTTCACATAAAAACTACACAGAAGCATCCTGAGAAACTTTTTTTGTGATGTGGTCTTTCAGCTAATGGAGTAGAAACTATCTTTTGATTGAGCAGTTTTGAATCTCTCTTTTTGCAGAATCTACGAGTGGATAATTGGAGAACTTTGAGGCGTACTGTGGAAAATCGAATATCTTCGCATAAAAACTACACAGAAGCATTCTGAGAAACTTCTCTGTCATACGTACATTCATCTCACAGGGTTGATCCTATTTCATGATTGAGCAGTTTTGGAACACTCTTTTTGTAGAATCTGCAAGTGAATATTTGGAGCTCTTTGGGGCCTACTGTGGAAAAACAACTATCTTCACATAAAAACTGCACAGAAGCATTCTGAGAAACTACTTTGTGATGTGTGCATTCATCCCACAGAGTAGAACCTTTCTTTTGATTGAGCAGTTTCGAAACACTCTTTTGGTGGAATCTGCAAGTGGACATTTGGAAAGCTTTGAGGCCTATTGTGGAAAGGGAAATATCTTCAAATAAAAACCACCCAGAAGTACTCTGTGAAACTTCTTTGCGATGTATGCATTCAACTCACAGTGTTGAACCTATGTTTTGATTGAGCAGTTTGGAATCTCTCTTTCTGTAGAATCTGCAAGTGAATATTTGGAGCCCTATTTCGCCCTATACTGGAAAAGCAATTATCTTCAAATAAAAACTGCACAGAAGCACTCAGAGAAACTTCTTTGAGATGAATGCATTCATGACACAGAGTTGAAACTTTGTTTTGATTTAGGAGTTTTGAGACAATCTTTCCGTAGAATCTTGAAGTGAATATTTGGAGGGCTTGGAGTTCTGTTTTAGAGAAGAAGATATCTTCATCAAAAACTACACAGAAGCTTTCTGAGAAACTTCTTTGTGATGTGTGCATTCAACTATCGGAGTTGAACCTATCTTATGATTGAGCAGTTTGGAAACACTCTTTGTAGAGTCTGCAAGTGGATATTTACAGAGATTTGAGGCCTATTGTGGAAAAGGAAGTATCTTCACATAAAAACCACACAGAAGCACTCTGAAAAACATCTTTGGGATGTGTGCATTCAACTAACCGTGTTGAAACAATGTTTTGATTGAGCAGCTTAGAATCTCTCTTTTTGTAGGAAATGCAAGTGGATATTTGGAGCCCCATTTCGCCCTATGGTGGAAAACGAAACATACTCACAAAAAAGCTGCAGAGAAGCATTCTGAGAAACTTCTTTGCGATGTTGGCATTCAACTCACAGAGTCGAATCTATCTTTTGATAGAGCAGTTTTGTATCTCTCTTTTTGCAGAATCTGCAAGTGGATATTTGGAAAGCTTTGAGGCCTATTGTGGAAAGGGAAATATCCTCAAATAAAAACTACCCAGAAGCACTCTGTGAAACTTCTTTGTGATGTGTGCATTCAACTCACAGTGTTGAACCTATGTTTTGATTGAGCAGTTTGGAATCTCTCCTTTTGTAGAATCTGCAAGTGAATATTTGGAGCCCTATTTCGCCCTATACTGGAAAAGCAAATATCTTCAAATAAAAACTACACAGAGGCATTCAGAGAAACTTCTCTGTGATGAGTGCATTCATCACACAGAGTTGAACATTTGTTTAGATTTAGCAGTGTTGAGACAATCTTTCCGTAGAATCTTGAAGTGAATATTTGGAGGGCTTTGAGACCTGCTTTGGAGAAGGAGATATCTTCATATAAAAACTACACAGAAGCTTTCTGAGAAACACCCTTGTGAGGTGTGCATTGAAGTCACAGAGTTAAACCTATCTTTTGATTCAGCAGATTTGAATCTCTCTTTTTGCAGAATCTGCGAGTGGATATTTGGAGTGCTTGGAAGCCTGCTGTGGAAAATCAAATATCTTCACAAAAAAAACTACACAGAAGCATTCTGAGAAACTTCTTTGTGATGTGTGCATTGATCTCACAGAGTTGAAAGTTTATTTTGATTGAGCTGTTTTGAAACACTCTTTTTCTAGAATCTGCAAGTGGATAATTGGGGAGATTTGAGGCATATTGTGGAAAAGCCAATATCTTCATATAGAAACTATACAGAAACCTTCTGAGAAACATCTTTGTGATGTGTGCATTCAGCTCACAGAGCTGGACCTAACTTTTGAGTGACCAGTTTTGAATCTCTCTTTTTGTACAATATGCAAGTGGATATTTGGAGCGATTTGAGGCCTACATTTGAAAATCAAATATCTTCCCTTAAAAACTACACAGAAACATTCTCAGAAATTGTTTGTCATGTGTGCTTTCCAATTACCAAGTTGAACCTATCTTGTGATTGAGCAGTTTTGAATCTCTCTTTTTGTGGAATCGGCAAGTGGATATTTTTAGCCCTTTGCGGACTGTGGTGGAAAAGGAATTATCTTCAAATCAATTCTACACAGAAGCATTCAGACAAACTTCTTTGTGATGAGTGCATTGGTCACACAGAATTGAACCTTCCCTTTGATTGAGCAATTCTGAAACACTCTTTTGGAGGGTCTGCAAGTGGATATTTTAGAGCTTTGGGACAGCTGTGGAAAAGTAAATATCTTCACATAAAAACTACACGGAAGCATTCTGAGAAACTTCTTTGGAGGTGTGCATTCAACTCACAGAGTTGAACCTATCTTTTCATTGAGCAGTTTTGAATCTCTCATTTTGTAGACTCTGCTCGCAGATATTTGGAGAGCTTTGAGGCCTATTGTGGAAAAGGAAATATCTTCACATAAAAACACACAGAAGCACTCTGAGAAACTTCTTTGTGAGGTGTGCTTTCAACTCACAGAGTTGAACCTATCTTTTGATTGAGAAGTTTTGAATCTCTCTTTTTGTAGAAGCTGCATGTGGATATTTGGAGACGTTTGTGGCCTATGGTAGAAAAGGAAATATCTTCAAATAAAAACTAGACAGACGCATTTTGAGAAAATTCTCTGTGCTGTGTGCATTCATATCACATGGTTGAAACTACCTTTGGATTGAGCAGTTTTGAATCTCACTTTTTGTACCATCTGCAATGGATATTTGGAGCCCTTTCTGGTCTGTGGTGGAAAAGGAACTATCCTCAAATAGAAACTACACAGAAGTACTCTGAGAAACTTCTTTGTGATGTGGGCATTCATCTCACAGAGTTGAACCTTTGGTTTGATTGAGCAGTTTTGAGACAATCTTTCCATAGAATCTGGAAGTGAATATTTGGAGAACTTTGAGATCCATTTTGGAGAAGGAGATATCTATATATGAAAACTACACAGAAGCATTCTGAGAAACATCCTTGTGAGGTGTGCACTGAAGTCACAGAGTTGAAACTGTCTTTTGATTCAGCAGTTTTGAATCTCTCTTTTTGCAGAATCTGTGAGTGGATATTTGGAGCGCTTTGAGGCCTACTGTGGAAAACCAAATATCTTCACATAAAAACTACACAGAAGCATCCTGAGAAACTTTTTTTGTGATGTGGTCTTTCAGCTAATGGAGTAGAAACTATCTTTTGATTGAGCAGTTTTGAATCTCTCTTTTTGCAGAATCTACGAGTGGATAATTGGAGAACTTTGAGGCGTACTGTGGAAAATCGAATATCTTCGCATAAAAACTACACAGAAGCATTCTGAGAAACTTCTCTGTCATACGTACATTCATCTCACAGGGTTGATCCTATTTCATGATTGAGCAGTTTTGGAACACTCTTTTTGTAGAATCTGCAAGTGAATATTTGGAGCTCTTTGGGGCCTACTGTGGAAAAACAAATATCTTCACATAAAAACTACACAGAAGCATTCTGAGAAACTACTTTGTGATGTGTGCATTCATCCCACAGAGTAGAACCTTTCTTTTGATTGAGCAGTTTCGAAACACTCTTTTGGTGGAATCTGCAAGTGGACATTTGGAAAGCTTTGAGGCCTATTGTGGAAAGGGAAATATCTTCAAATAAAAACCACCCAGAAGTACTCTGTGAAACTTCTTTGCGATGTATGCATTCAACTCACAGTGTTGAACCTATGTTTTGATTGAGCAGTTTGGAATCTCTCTTTCTGTAGAATCTGCAAGTGAATATTTGGAGCCCTATTTCGCCCTATACTGGAAAAGCAATTATCTTCAAATAAAAACTGCACAGAAGCATTCAGAGAAACTTCTTTGAGATGAATGCATTCATGACACAGAGTTGAAACTTTGTTTTGATTTAGGAGTTTTGAGACAATCTTTCCGTAGAATCTTGAAGTGAATATTTGGAGGGCTTGGAGTTCTGTTTTAGAGAAGGAGATATCTTCATCAAAAACTCACAGAAGCTTTCTGAGAAACTTCTTTGTGATGTGTGCATTCAACTATCGGAGTTGAACCTATCTTATGATTGAGGAGTTTGGAAACACTCTTTGTAGAGTCTGCAAGTGGATATTTACAGAGATTTGAGGCCTATTGTGGAAAAGGAAGTATCTTCACATAAAAACCACACAGAAGCACTCTGAAAATCATCTTTGGGATGTGTGCATTCAACTAACCGTGTTGAAACAATGTTTTGATTGAGCAGCTTAGAATCTCTCTTTTTGTAGGAAATGCAAGTGGATATTTGGAGCCCCATTTCGCCCTATGGTGGAAAACGAAACATACTCACAAAAAAGCTGCAGAGAAGCATTCTGAGAAACTTCTTTGCGATGTTGGCATTCAACTCACAGAGTCGAATCTATCTTTTGATAGAGCAGTTTTGTATCTCTCTTTTTGCAGAATCTGCAAGTGGATATTTGGAAAGCTTTGAGGCCTATTGTGGAAAGGGAAATATCCTCAAATAAAAACTACCCAGAAGCACTCTGTGAAACTTCTTTGTGATGTGTGCATTCAACTCACAAGTGTTGAACCTATGTTTTGATTGAGCAGTTTGGAATCTCTCCTTTTGTAGAATCTGCAAGTGAATATTTGGAGCCCTATTTCGCCCTATACTGGAAAAGCAAATATCTTCAAATAAAAACTACACAGAGGCATTCAGAGAAACTTCTCTGTGATGAGTGCATTCATCACACAGAGTTGAACATTTGTTTAGATTTAGCAGTGTTGAGACAATCTTTCCGTAGAATCTTGAAGTGAATATTTGGAGGGCTTTGAGACCTGCTTTGGAGAAGGAGATATCTTCATATAAAAACTACACAGAAGCTTTCTGAGAAACACCCTTGTGAGGTGTGCATTGAAGTCACAGAGTTAAACCTATCTTTTGATTCAGCAGATTTGAATCTCTCTTTTTGCAGAATCTGCGAGTGGATATTTGGAGTGCTTGGAAGCCTGCTGTGGAAAATCAAATATCTTCACAAAAAAAACTACACAGAAGCATTCTGAGAAACTTCTTTGTGATGTGTGCATTGATCTCACAGAGTTGAAAGTTTATTTTGATTGAGCTGTTTTGAAACACTCTTTTTCTAGAATCTGCAAGTGGATAATTGGGGAGATTTGAGGCATATTGTGGAAAAGCCAATATCTTCATATAGAAACTATACAGAAACCTTCTGAGAAACATCTTTGTGATGTGTGCATTCAGCTCACAGAGCTGGACCTAACTTTTGAGTGACCAGTTTTGAATCTCTCTTTTTGTACAATATGCAAGTGGATATTTGGAGCGATTTGAGGCCTACATTTGAAAATCAAATATCTTCCCTTAAAAACTACACAGAAACATTCTCAGAAATTGTTTGTCATGTGTGCTTTCCAATTACCAAGTTGAACCTATCTTGTGATTGAGCAGTTTTGAATCTCTCTTTTTGTGGAATCGGCAAGTGGATATTTTTAGCCCTTTGCGGACTGTGGTGGAAAAGGAATTATCTTCAAATCAATTCTACACAGAAGCATTCAGACAAACTTCTTTGTGATGAGTGCATTGGTCACACAGAATTGAACCTTCCCTTTGATTGAGCAATTCTGAAACACTCTTTTGGAGGGTCTGCAAGTGGACATTTTAGAGCTTTGGGACAACTGTGGAAAAGTAAATATCTTCACATAAAAACTACACGGAAGCATTCTGAGAAACTTCTTTGGAGGTGTGCATTCAACTCACAGAGTTGAACCTATCTTTTAATTGAGCAGTTTTGAATCTCTCATTTTGTAGACTCTGCTCGCAGATATTTGGAGAGCTTTGAGGCCTATTGTGGAAAAGGAAATATCTTCACATAAAAACACACAGAAGCACTCTGAGAAACTTCTCTGTGAGGTGTGCTTTCAACTCACAGAGTTGAACCTATCTTTTGATTGAGAAGTTTTGAATCTCTCTTTTTGTAGAAGCTGCATGTGGATATTTGGAGACGTTTGTGGCCTATGGTAGAAAAGGAAATATCTTCAAATAAAAACTAGACAGACGCATTTTGAGAAAATTCTCTGTGCTGTGTGCATTCATATCACATGGTTGAAACTACCTTTGGATTGAGCAGTTTTGAATCTCACTTTTTGTACCATCTGCAATGGATATTTGGAGCCCTTTCTGGTCTGTGGTGGAAAAGGAACTATCCTCAAATAGAAACTACACAGAAGTACTCTGAGAAACTTCTTTGTGATGTGGGCATTCATCTCACAGAGTTGAACCTTTGGTTTGATTGAGCAGTTTTGAGACAATCTTTCCATAGAATCTGGAAGTGAATATTTGGAGAACTTTGAGATCCATTTTGGAGAAGGAGATATCTTTATATAAAAACTACACAGAAGCATTCTGAGAAACATCCTTGTGAGGTGTGCACTGAAGTCACAGAGTTGAAACTGTCTTTTGATTCAGCAGTTTTGAATCTCTCTTTTTGCAGAATCTGTGAGTGGATATTTGGAGCGCTTTGAGGCCTACTGTGGAAAACCAAATATCTTCACATAAAAACTACACAGAAGCATCCTGAGAAACTTTTTTTGTGATGTGGTCTTTCAGCTAATGGAGTAGAAACTATCTTTTGATTGAGCAGTTTTGAATCTCTCTTTTTGCAGGATCTACGAGTGGATAATTGGAGAACTTTGAGGCGTACTGTGGAAAGTCGAATATCTTCGCATAAAAACTACACAGAAGCATTCTGAGAAACTTCTCTGTCATACGTACATTCATCTCACAGGGTTGATCCTATTTCATGATGGAGCAGTTTTGGAACACTCTTTTTGTAGAATCTGCAAGTGAATATTTGGAGCTCTTTGGGGCCTACTGTGGAAAAACAAATATCTTCACATAAAAACTACACAGAAGCATTCTGAGAAACTACTTTGTGATGTGTGCATTCATCCCACAGAGTAGAACCTTTCTTTTGATTGAGCAGTTTCGAAACACTCTTTTGGTGGAATCTGCAAGTGGACATTTGGAAAGCTTTGAGGCCTATTGTGGAAAGGGAAATATCTTCAAATAAAAACCACCCAGAAGTACTCTGTGAAACTTCTTTGCGATGTATGCATTCAACTCACAGTGTTGAACCTATGTTTTGATTGAGCAGTTTGGAATCTCTCTTTCTGTAGAATCTGCAAGTGAATATTTGGAGCCCTATTTCGCCCTATACTGGAAAAGCAATTATCTTCAAATAAAAACTGCACAGAAGCACTCAGAGAAACTTCTTTGTGATGAATGCATTCATCACACAGAGTTGAACCTTTGTTTTGATTTAGCAGTTTGAGACAATCTTTCCGTAGAATCTTGAAGTGAATATTTGGAGGGCTTGGAGTTCTGTTTTAGAGAAGAAGATATCTTCATCAAAAACTACACAGAAGCTTTCTGAGAAACTTCTTTGTGATGTGTGCATTCAACTATCGGAGTTGAACCTATCTTATGATTGAGCAGTTTGGAAACACTCTTTGTAGAGTCTGCAAGTGGATATTTACAGAGATTTGAGGCCTATTGTGGAAAAGGAAGTATCTTCACATAAAAACCACACAGAAGCACTCTGAAAAACATCTTTGGGATGTGTGCATTCAACTAACCGTGTTGAAACAATGTTTTGATTGAGCAGCTTAGAATCTCTCTTTTTGTAGGAAATGCAAGTGGATATTTGGAGCCCCATTTCGCCCTATGGTGGAAAACGAAACATACTCACAAAAAAGCTGCAGAGAAGCATTCTGAGAAACTTCTTTGCGATGTTGGCATTCAACTCACAGAGTCGAATCTATCTTTTGATAGAGCAGTTTTGTATCTCTCTTTTTGCAGAATCTGCAAGTGGATATTTGGAAAGCTTTGAGGCCTATTGTGGAAAGGGAAATATCCTCAAATAAAAACTACCCAGAAGCACTCTGTGAAACTTCTTTGTGATGTGTGCATTCAACTCACAGTGTTGAACCTATGTTTTGATTGAGCAGTTTGGAATCTCTCCTTTTGTAGAATCTGCAAGTGAATATTTGGAGCCCTATTTCGCCCTATACTGGAAAAGCAAATATCTTCAAATAAAAACTACACAGAGGCATTCAGAGAAACTTCTCTGTGATGAGTGCATTCATCACACAGAGTTGAACATTTGTTTAGATTTAGCAGTGTTGAGACAATCTTTCCGTAGAATCTTGAAGTGAATATTTGGAGGGCTTTGAGACCTGCTTTGGAGAAGGAGATATCTTCATATAAAAACTACACAGAAGCTTTCTGAGAAACACCCTTGTGAGGTGTGCATTGAAGTCACAGAGTTAAACCTATCTTTTGATTCAGCAGATTTGAATCTCTCTTTTTGCAGAATCTGCGAGTGGATATTTGGAGTGCTTGGAAGCCTGCTGTGGAAAATCAAATATCTTCACAAAAAAAACTACACAGAAGCATTCTGAGAAACTTCTTTGTGATGTGTGCATTGATCTCACAGAGTTGAAAGTTTATTTTGATTGAGCTGTTTGTGAAACACTCTTTTTCTAGAATCTGCAAGTGGATAATTGGGGAGATTTGAGGCATATTGTGGAAAAGCCAATATCTTCATATAAAAACTATACAGAAACTTCTGAGAAACATCTTTGTGATGTGTGCATTCAGCTCACAGAGCTGGACCTAACTTTTGAGTGACCAGTTTTGAATCTCTCTTTTTGTACAATATGCAAGTGGATATTTGGAGCGATTTGAGGCCTACATTTGAAAATCAAATATCTTCCCTTAAAAACTACACAGAAACATTCTCAGAAATTGTTTGTCATGTGTGCTTTCCAATTACCAAGTTGAACCTATCTTGTGATTGAGCAGTTTTGAATCTCTCTTTTTGTGGAATCGGCAAGTGGATATTTTTAGCCCTTTGCGGACTGTGGTGGAAAAGGAATTATCTTCAAATCAATTCTACACAGAAGCATTCAGACAAACTTCTTTGTGATGAGTGCATTGGTCACACAGAATTGAACCTTCCCTTTGATTGAGCAATTCTGAAACACTCTTTTGGAGGGTCTGCAAGTGGATATTTTAGAGCTTTGGGACAACTGTGGAAAAGTAAATATCTTCACATAAAAACTACACGGAAGCATTCTGAGAAACTTCTTTGGAGGTGTGCATTCAACTCACAGAGTTGAACCTATCTTTTCATTGAGCAGTTTTGAATCTCTCATTTTGTAGACTCTGCTCGCAGATATTTGGAGAGCTTTGAGGCCTATTGTGGAAAAGGAAATATCTTCACATAAAAACACACAGAAGCACTCTGAGAAACTTCTTTGTGAGGTGTGCTTTCAACTCACAGAGTTGAACCTATCTTTTGATTGAGAAGTTTTGAATCTCTCTTTTTGTAGAAGCTGCATGTGGATATTTGGAGACGTTTGTGGCCTATGGTAGAAAAGGAAATATCTTCAAATAAAAACTAGACAGACGCATTTTGAGAAAATTCTCTGTGCTGTGTGCATTCATATCACATGGTTGAAACTACCTTTGGATTGAGCAGTTTTGAATCTCACTTTTTGTACCATCTGCAATGGATATTTGGAGCCCTTTCTGGTCTGTGGTGGAAAAGGAACTATCCTCAAATAGAAACTACACAGAAGTACTCTGAGAAACTTCTTTGTGATGTGTGCATTCATCTCACAGAGTTGAACCTTTGGTTTGATTGAGCAGTTTTGAGACAATCTTTCCATAGAATCTGGAAGTGAATATTTGGGGAACTTTGAGATC
Source organism: Homo sapiens (assembly GCF_000001405.40). Taxonomy (NCBI): domain Eukaryota; kingdom Metazoa; phylum Chordata; class Mammalia; order Primates; family Hominidae; genus Homo; species Homo sapiens. The sequence continues at coordinate 17,873,979 of NC_000015.10, forward strand.
CATTTTGGAGAAGGAGATATCTTTATATAAAAACTACACAGAAGCATTCTGAGAAACATCCTTGTGAGGTGTGCACTGAAGTCACAGAGTTGAAACTGTCTTTTGATTCAGCAGTTTTGAATCTCTCTTTTTGCAGAATCTGTGAGTGGATATTTGGAGCGCTTTGAGGCCTACTGTGGAAAACCAAATATCTTCACATAAAAACTACACAGAAGCATCCTGAGAAACTTTTTTTGTGATGTGGTCTTTCAGCTAATGGAGTAGAAACTATCTTTTGATTGAGCAGTTTTGAATCTCTCTTTTTGCAGAATCTACGAGTGGATAATTGGAGAACTTTGAGGCGTACTGTGGAAAATCGAATATCTTCGCATAAAAACTACACAGAAGCATTCTGAGAAACTTCTCTGTCATACGTACATTCATCTCACAGGGTTGATCCTATTTCATGATTGAGCAGTTTTGGAACACTCTTTTTGTAGAATCTGCAAGTGAATATTTGGAGCTCTTTGGGGCCTACTGTGGAAAAACAAATATCTTCACATAAAAACTACACAGAAGCATTCTGAGAAACTACTTTGTGATGTGTGCATTCATCCCACAGAGTAGAACCTTTCTTTTGATTGAGCAGTTTCGAAACACTCTTTTGGTGGAATCTGCAAGTGGACATTTGGAAAGCTTTGAGGCCTATTGTGGAAAGGGAAATATCTTCAAATAAAAACCACCCAGAAGTACTCTGTGAAACTTCTTTGCGATGTATGCATTCAACTCACAGTGTTGAACCTATGTTTTGATTGAGCAGTTTGGAATCTCTCTTTCTGTAGAATCTGCAAGTGAATATTTGGAGCCCTATTTCGCCCTATACTGGAAAAGCAATTATCTTCAAATAAAAACTGCACAGAAGCATTCAGAGAAACTTCTTTGAGATGAATGCATTCATGACACAGAGTTGAAACTTTGTTTTGATTTAGGAGTTTTGAGACAATCTTTCCGTAGAATCTTGAAGTGAATATTTGGAGGGCTTGGAGTTCTGTTTTAGAGAAGAAGATATCTTCATCAAAAACTACACAGAAGCTTTCTGAGAAACTTCTTTGTGATGTGTGCATTCAACTATCGGAGTTGAACCTATCTTATGATTGAGCAGTTTGGAAACACTCTTTGTAGAGTCTGCAAGTGGATATTTACAGAGATTTGAGGCCTATTGTGGAAAAGGAAGTATCTTCACATAAAAACCACACAGAAGCACTCTGAAAAACATCTTTGGGATGTGTGCATTCAACTAACCGTGTTGAAACAATGTTTTGATTGAGCAGCTTAGAATCTCTCTTTTTGTAGGAAATGCAAGTGGATATTTGGAGCCCCATTTCGCCCTATGGTGGAAAACGAAACATACTCACAAAAAAGCTGCAGAGAAGCATTCTGAGAAACTTCTTTGCGATGTTGGCATTCAACTCACAGAGTTGAATCTATCTTTTGATAGAGCAGTTTTGTATCTCTCTTTTTGCAGAATCTGCAAGTGGATATTTGGAAAGCTTTGAGGCCTATTGTGGAAAGGGAAATATCCTCAAATAAAAACTACCCAGAAGCACTCTGTGAAACTTCTTTGTGATGTGTGCATTCAACTCACAGTGTTGAACCTATGTTTTGATTGAGCAGTTTGGAATCTCTCCTTTTGTAGAATCTGCAAGTGAATATTTGGAGCCCTATTTCGCCCTATACTGGAAAAGCAAATATCTTCAAATAAAAACTACACAGAGGCATTCAGAGAAACTTCTCTGTGATGAGTGCATTCATCACACAGAGTTGAACATTTGTTTAGATTTAGCAGTGTTGAGACAATCTTTCCGTAGAATCTTGAAGTGAATATTTGGAGGGCTTTGAGACCTGCTTTGGAGAAGGAGATATCTTCATATAAAAACTACACAGAAGCTTTCTGAGAAACACCCTTGTGAGGTGTGCATTGAAGTCACAGAGTTAAACCTATCTTTTGATTCAGCAGATTTGAATCTCTCTTTTTGCAGAATCTGCGAGTGGATATTTGGAGTGCTTGGAAGCCTGCTGTGGAAAATCAAATATCTTCACAAAAAAAACTACACAGAAGCATTCTGAGAAACTTCTTTGTGATGTGTGCATTGATCTCACAGAGTTGAAAGTTTATTTTGATTGAGCTGTTTTGAAACACTCTTTTTCTAGAATCTGCAAGTGGATAATTGGGGAGATTTGAGGCATATTGTGGAAAAGCCAATATCTTCATATAGAAACTATACAGAAACCTTCTGAGAAACATCTTTGTGATGTGTGCATTCAGCTCACAGAGCTGGACCTAACTTTTGAGTGACCAGTTTTGAATCTCTCTTTTTGTACAATATGCAAGTGGATATTTGGAGCGATTTGAGGCCTACATTTGAAAATCAAATATCTTCCCTTAAAAACTACACAGAAACATTCTCAGAAATTGTTTGTCATGTGTGCTTTCCAATTACCAAGTTGAACCTATCTTGTGATTGAGCAGTTTTGAATCTCTCTTTTTGTGGAATCGGCAAGTGGATATTTTTAGCCCTTTGCGGACTGTGGTGGAAAAGGAATTATCTTCAAATCAATTCTACACAGAAGCATTCAGACAAACTTCTTTGTGATGAGTGCATTGGTCACACAGAATTGAACCTTCCCTTTGATTGAGCAATTCTGAAACACTCTTTTGGAGGGTCTGCAAGTGGATATTTTAGAGCTTTGGGACAACTGTGGAAAAGTAAATATCTTCACATAAAAACTACACGGAAGCATTCTGAGAAACTTCTTTGGAGGTGTGCATTCAACTCACAGAGTTGAACCTATCTTTTCATTGAGCAGTTTTGAATCTCTCATTTTGTAGACTCTGCTCGCAGATATTTGGAGAGCTTTGAGGCCTATTGTGGAAAAGGAAATATCTTCACATAAAAACACACAGAAGCACTCTGAGAAACTTCTTTGTGAGGTGTGCTTTCAACTCACAGAGTTGAACCTATCTTTTGATTGAGAAGTTTTGAATCTCTCTTTTTGTAGAAGCTGCATGTGGATATTTGGAGACGTTTGTGGCCTATGGTAGAAAAGGAAATATCTTCAAATAAAAACTAGACAGACGCATTTTGAGAAAATTCTCTGTGCTGTGTGCATTCATATCACATGGTTGAAACTACCTTTGGATTGAGCAGTTTTGAATCTCACTTTTTGTACCATCTGCAATGGATATTTGGAGCCCTTTCTGGTCTGTGGTGGAAAAGGAACTATCCTCAAATAGAAACTACACAGAAGTACTCTGAGAAACTTCTTTGTGATGTGGGCATTTATCTCACAGAGTTGAACCTTTGGTTTGATTGAGCAGTTTTGAGACAATCTTTCCATAGAATCTGGAAGTGAATATTTGGAGAACTTTGAGATCCATTTTGGAGAAGGAGATATCTTTATATAAAAACTACACAGAAGCATTCTGAGAAACATCCTTGTGAGGTGTGCACTGAAGTCACAGAGTTGAAACTGTCTTTTGATTCAGCAGTTTTGAATCTCTCTTTTTGCAGAATCTGTGAGTGGATATTTGGAGCGCTTTGAGGCCTACTGTGGAAAACCAAATATCTTCACATAAAAACTACACAGAAGCATCCTGAGAAACTTTTTTTGTGATGTGGTCTTTCAGCTAATGGAGTAGAAACTATCTTTTGATTGAGCAGTTTTGAATCTCTCTTTTTGCGGGATCTACGAGTGGATAATTGGAGAACTTTGAGGCGTACTGTGGAAAGTCGAATATCTTCGCATAAAAACTACACAGAAGCATTCTGAGAAACTTCTCTGTCATACGTACATTCATCTCACAGGGTTGATCCTATTTCATGATTGAGCAGTTTTGGAACACTCTTTTTGTAGAATCTGCAAGTGAATATTTGGAGCTCTTTGGGGCCTACTGTGGAAAAACAAATATCTTCACATAAAAACTACACAGAAGCATTCTGAGAAACTACTTTGTGATGTGTGCATTCATCCCACAGAGTAGAACCTTTCTTTTGATTGAGCAGTTTCGAAACACTCTTTTGGTGGAATCTGCAAGTGGACATTTGGAAAGCTTTGAGGCCTATTGTGGAAAGGGAAATATCTTCAAATAAAAACCACCCAGAAGTACTCTGTGAAACTTCTTTGCGATGTATGCATTCAACTCACAGTGTTGAACCTATGTTTTGATTGAGCAGTTTGGAATCTCTCTTTCTGTAGAATCTGCAAGTGAATATTTGGAGCCCTATTTCGCCCTATACTGGAAAAGCAATTATCTTCAAATAAAAACTGCACAGAAGCACTCAGAGAAACTTCTTTGTGATGAATGCATTCATCACACAGAGTTGAACCTTTGTTTTGATTTAGCAGTTTGAGACAATCTTTCCGTAGAATCTTGAAGTGAATATTTGGAGGGCTTGGAGTTCTGTTTTAGAGAAGAAGATATCTTCATCAAAAACTACACAGAAGCTTTCCGAGAAACTTCTTTGTGATGTGTGCATTCAACTATCGGAGTTGAACCTATCTTATGATTGAGGAGTTTGGAAACACTCTTTGTAGAGTCTGCAAGTGGATATTTACAGAGATTTGAGGCCTATTGTGGAAAAGGAAGTATCTTCACATAAAAACCACACAGAAGCACTCTGAAAAACATCTTTGGGATGTGTGCATTCAACTAACCGTGTTGAAACAATGTTTTGATTGAGCAGCTTAGAATCTCTCTTTTTGTAGGAAATGCAAGTGGATATTTGGAGCCCCATTTCGCCCTATGGTGGAAAACGAAACATACTCACAAAAAAGCTGCAGAGAAGCATTCTGAGAAACTTCTTTGCGATGTTGGCATTCAACTCACAGAGTCGAATCTATCTTTTGATAGAGCAGTTTTGTATCTCTCTTTTTGCAGAATCTGCAAGTGGATATTTGGAAAGCTTTGAGGCCTATTGTGGAAAGGGAAATATCCTCAAATAAAAACTACCCAGAAGCACTCTGTGAAACTTCTTTGTGATGTGTGCATTCAACTCACAGTGTTGAACCTATGTTTTGATTGAGCAGTTTGGAATCTCTCCTTTTGTAGAATCTGCAAGTGAATATTTGGAGCCCTATTTCGCCCTATACTGGAAAAGCAAATATCTTCAAATAAAAACTACACAGAGGCATTCAGAGAAACTTCTCTGTGATGAGTGCATTCATCACACAGAGTTGAACATTTGTTTAGATTTAGCAGTGTTGAGACAATCTTTCCGTAGAATCTTGAAGTGAATATTTGGAGGGCTTTGAGACCTGCTTTGGAGAAGGAGATATCTTCATATAAAAACTACACAGAAGCTTTCTGAGAAACACCCTTGTGAGGTGTGCATTGAAGTCACAGAGTTAAACCTATCTTTTGATTCAGCAGATTTGAATCTCTCTTTTTGCAGAATCTGCGAGTGGATATTTGGAGTGCTTGGAAGCCTGCTGTGGAAAATCAAATATCTTCACAAAAAAAACTACACAGAAGCATTCTGAGAAACTTCTTTGTGATGTGTGCATTGATCTCACAGAGTTGAAAGTTTATTTTGATTGAGCTGTTTTGAAACACTCTTTTTCTAGAATCTGCAAGTGGATAATTGGGGAGATTTGAGGCATATTGTGGAAAAGCCAATACCTTCATATAGAAACTATACAGAAACCTTCTGAGAAACATCTTTTTGATGTGTGCATTCAGCTCACAGAGCTGGACCTAACTTTTGAGTGACCAGTTTTGAATCTCTCTTTTTGTACAATATGCAAGTGGATATTTGGAGCGATTTGAGGCCTACATTTGAAAATCAAATATCTTCCCTTAAAAACTACACAGAAACATTCTCAGAAATTGTTTGTCATGTGTGCTTTCCAATTACCAAGTTGAACCTATCTTGTGATTGAGCAGTTTTGAATCTCTCTTTTTGTGGAATCGGCAAGTGGATATTTTTAGCCCTTTGCGGACTGTGGTGGAAAAGGAATTATCTTCAAATCAATTCTACACAGAAGCATTCAGACAAACTTCTTTGTGATGAGTGCATTGGTCACACAGAATTGAACCTTCCCTTTGATTGAGCAATTCTGAAACACTCTTTTGGAGGGTCTGCAAGTGGATATTTTAGAGCTTTGGGACAACTGTGGAAAAGTAAATATCTTCACATAAAAACTACACGGAAGCATTCTGAGAAACTTCTTTGGAGGTGTGCATTCAACTCACAGAGTTGAACCTATCTTTTCATTGAGCAGTTTTGAATCTCTCATTTTGTAGACTCTGCTCGCAGATATTTGGAGAGCTTTGAGGCCTATTGTGGAAAAGGAAATATCTTCACATAAAAACACACAGAAGCACTCTGAGAAACTTCTTTGTGAGGTGTGCTTTCAACTCACAGAGTTGAACCTATCTTTTGATTGAGAAGTTTTGAATCTCTCTTTTTGTAGAAGCTGCATGTGGATATTTGGAGACGTTTGTGGCCTATGGTAGAAAAGGAAATATCTTCAAATAAAAACTAGACAGACGCATTTTGAGAAAATTCTCTGTGCTGTGTGCATTCATATCACATGGTTGAAACTACCTTTGGATTGAGCAGTTTTGAATCTCACTTTTTGTACCATCTGCAATGGATATTTGGAGCCCTTTCTGGTCTGTGGTGGAAAAGGAACTATCCTCAAATAGAAACTACACAGAAGTACTCTGAGAAACTTCTTTGTGATGTGGGCATTCATCTCACAGAGTTGAACCTTTGGTTTGATTGAGCAGTTTTGAGACAATCTTTCCATAGAATCTGGAAGTGAATATTTGGAGAACTTTGAGATCCATTTTGGAGAAGGAGATATCTTTATATAAAAACTACACAGAAGCATTCTGAGAAACATCCTTGTGAGGTGTGCACTGAAGTCACAGAGTTGAAACTGTCTTTTGATTCAGCAGTTTTGAATCTCTCTTTTTGCAGAATCTGTGAGTGGATATTTGGAGCGCTTTGAGGCCTACTGTGGAAAACCAAATATCTTCACATAAAAACTACACAGAAGCATCCTGAGAAACTTTTTTTGTGATGTGGTCTTTCAGCTAATGGAGTAGAAACTATCTTTTGATTGAGCAGTTTTGAATCTCTCTTTTTGCAGAATCTACGAGTGGATAATTGGAGAACTTTGAGGCGTACTGTGGAAAATCGAATATCTTCGCATAAAAACTACACAGAAGCATTCTGAGAAACTTCTCTGTCATACGTACATTCATCTCACAGGGTTGATCCTATTTCATGATTGAGCAGTTTTGGAACACTCTTTTTGTAGAATCTGCAAGTGAATATTTGGAGCTCTTTGGGGCCTACTGTGGAAAAACAAATATCTTCACATAAAAACTACACAGAAGCATTCTGAGAAACTACTTTGTGATGTGTGCATTCATCCCACAGAGTAGAACCTTTCTTTTGATTGAGCAGTTTCGAAACACTCTTTTGGTGGAATCTGCAAGTGGACATTTGGAAAGCTTTGAGGCCTATTGTGGAAAGGGAAATATCTTCAAATAAAAACCACCCAGAAGTACTCTGTGAAACTTCTTTGCGATGTATGCATTCAACTCACAGTGTTGAACCTATGTTTTGATTGAGCAGTTTGGAATCTCTCTTTCTGTAGAATCTGCAAGTGAATATTTGGAGCCCTATTTCGCCCTATACTGGAAAAGCAATTATCTTCAAATAAAAACTGCACAGAAGCACTCAGAGAAACTTCTTTGTGATGAATGCATTCATCACACAGAGTTGAACCTTTGTTTTGATTTAGCAGTTTGAGACAATCTTTCCGTAGAATCTTGAAGTGAATATTTGGAGGGCTTGGAGTTCTGTTTTAGAGAAGAAGATATCTTCATCAAAAACTACACAGAAGCTTTCTGAGAAACTTCTTTGTGATGTGTGCATTCAACTATCGGAGTTGAACCTATCTTATGATTGAGGAGTTTGGAAACACTCTTTGTAGAGTCTGCAAGTGGATATTTACAGAGATTTGAGGCCTATTGTGGAAAAGGAAGTATCTTCACATAAAAACCACACAGAAGCACTCTGAAAAACATCTTTGGGATGTGTGCATTCAACTAACCGTGTTGAAACAATGTTTTGATTGAGCAGCTTAGAATCTCTCTTTTTGTAGGAAATGCAAGTGGATATTTGGAGCCCCATTTCGCCCTATGGTGGAAAACGAAACATACTCACAAAAAAGCTGCAGAGAAGCATTCTGAGAAACTTCTTTGCGATGTTGGCATTCAACTCACAGAGTCGAATCTATCTTTTGATAGAGCAGTTTTGTATCTCTCTTTTTGCAGAATCTGCAAGTGGATATTTGGAAAGCTTTGAGGCCTATTGTGGAAAGGGAAATATCCTCAAATAAAAACTACCCAGAAGCACTCTGTGAAACTTCTTTGTGATGTGTGCATTCAACTCACAGTGTTGAACCTATGTTTTGATTGAGCAGTTTGGAATCTCTCCTTTTGTAGAATCTGCAAGTGAATATTTGGAGCCCTATTTCGCCCTATACTGGAAAAGCAAATATCTTCAAATAAAAACTACACAGAGGCATTCAGAGAAACTTCTCTGTGATGAGTGCATTCATCACACAGAGTTGAACATTTGTTTAGATTTAGCATTGTTGAGACAATCTTTCAGTAGAATCTTGAAGTGAATATTTGGAGGGCTTTGAGACCTGCTTTGGAGAAGGAGATATCTTCATATAAAAACTACACAGAAGCTTTCTGAGAAACACCCTTGTGAGGTGTGCATTGAAGTCACAGAGTTAAACCTATCTTTTGATTCAGCAGATTTGAATCTCTCTTTTTGCAGAATCTGCGAGTGGATATTTGGAGTGCTTGGAAGCCTGCTGTGGAAAATCAAATATCTTCACAAAAAAAACTACACAGAAGCATTCTGAGAAACTTCTTTGTGATGTGTGCATTGATCTCACAGAGTTGAAAGTTTATTTTGATTGAGCTGTTTTGAAACACTCTTTTTCTAGAATCTGCAAGTGGATAATTGGGGAGATTTGAGGCATATTGTGGAAAAGCCAATATCTTCATATAGAAACTATACAGAAACCTTCTGAGAAACATCTTTGTGATGTGTGCATTCAGCTCACAGAGCTGGACCTAACTTTTGAGTGACCAGTTTTGAATCTCTCTTTTTGTACAATATGCAAGTGGATATTTGGAGCGATTTGAGGCCTACATTTGAAAATCAAATATCTTCCCTTAAAAACTACACAGAAACATTCTCAGAAATTTTTTGTCATGTGTGCTTTCCAATTACCAAGTTGAACCTATCTTGTGATTGAGCAGTTTTGAATCTCTCTTTTTGTGGAATCGGCAAGTGGATATTTTTAGCCCTTTGCGGACTGTGGTGGAAAAGGAATTATCTTCAAATCAATTCTACACAGAAGCATTCAGACAAACTTCTTTGTGATGAGTGCATTGGTCACACAGAATTGAACCTTCCCTTTGATTGAGCAATTCTGAAACACTCTTTTGGAGGGTCTGCAAGTGGACATTTTAGAGCTTTGGGACAACTGTGGAAAAGTAAATATCTTCACATAAAAACTACACGGAAGCATTCTGAGAAACTTCTTTGGAGGTGTGCATTCAACTCACAGAGTTGAACCTATCTTTTCATTGAGCAGTTTTGAATCTCTCATTTTGTAGACTCTGCTCGCAGATATTTGGAGAGCTTTGAGGCCTATTGTGGAAAAGGAAATATCTTCACATAAAAACACACAGAAGCACTCTGAGAAACTTCTTTGTGAGGTGTGCTTTCAACTCACAGAGTTGAACCTATCTTTTGATTGAGAAGTTTTGAATCTCTCTTTTTGTAGAAGCTGCATGTGGATATTTGGAGACGTTTGTGGCCTATGGTAGAAAAGGAAATATCTTCAAATAAAAACTAGACAGACGCATTTTGAGAAAATTCTCTGTGCTGTGTGCATTCATATCACATGGTTGAAACTACCTTTGGATTGAGCAGTTTTGAATCTCACTTTTTGTACCATCTGCAATGGATATTTGGAGCCCTTTCTGGTCTGTGGTGGAAAAGGAACTATCCTCAAATAGAAACTACACAGAAGTACTCTGAGAAACTTCTTTGTGATGTGTGCATTCATCTCACAAAGTTGAACCTTTGGTTTGATTGAGCAGTTTTGAGACAATCTTTCCATAGAATCTGGAAGTGAATATTTGGAGAACTTTGAGATCCATTTTGGAGAAGGAGATATCTTTATATAAAAACTACACAGAAGCATTCTGAGAAACATCCTTGTGAGGTGTGCACTGAAGTCACAGAGTTGAAACTGTCTTTTGATTCAGCAGTTTTGAATCTCTCTTTTTGCAGAATCTGTGAGTGGATATTTGGAGCGCTTTGAGGCCTACTGTGGAAAACCAAATATCTTCACATAAAAACTACACAGAAGCATCCTGAGAAACTTTTTTTGTGATGTGGTCTTTCAGCTAATGGAGTAGAAACTATCTTTTGATTGAGCAGTTTTGAATCTCTCTTTTTGCAGGATCTACGAGTGGATAATTGGAGAACTTTGAGGCGTACTGTGGAAAATCGAATATCTTCGCATAAAAACTACACAGAAGCATTCTGAGAAACTTCTCTGTCATACGTACATTCATCTCACAGGGTTGATCCTATTTCATGATTGAGCAGTTTCGGAACACTCTTTTTGTAGAATCTGCAAGTGAATATTTGGAGCTCCCTTGGGGCCTACTGTGGAAAAACAAATATCTTCACATAAAAACTACACAGAAGCATTCTGAGAAACTACTTTGTGATGTGTGCATTCATCCCACAGAGTAGAACCTTTCTTTTGATTGAGCAGTTTCGAAACACTCTTTTGGTGGAATCTGCAAGTGGACATTTGGAAAGCTTTGAGGCCTATTGTGGAAAGGGAAATATCTTCAAATAAAAACCACCCAGAAGTACTCTGTGAAACTTCTTTGCGATGTATGCATTCAACTCACAGTGTTGAACCTATGTTTTGATTGAGCAGTTTGGAATCTCTCTTTCTGTAGAATCTGCAAGTGAATATTTGGAGCCCTATTTCGCCCTATACTGGAAAAGCAATTATCTTCAAATAAAAACTGCACAGAAGCACTCAGAGAAACTTCTTTGTGATGAATGCATTCATCACACAGAGTTGAACCTTTGTTTTGATTTAGCAGTTTGAGACAATCTTTCCGTAGAATCTTGAAGTGAATATTTGGAGGGCTTGGAGTTCTGTTTTAGAGAAGAAGATATCTTCATCAAAAACTACACAGAAGCTTTCTGAGAAACTTCTTTGTGATGTGTGCATTCAACTATCGGAGTTGAACCTATCTTATGATTGAGCAGTTTGGAAACACTCTTTGTAGAGTCTGCAAGTGGATATTTACAGAGATTTGAGGCCTATTGTGGAAAAGGAAGTATCTTCACATAAAAACCACACAGAAGCACTCTGAAAAACATCTTTGGGATGTGTGCATTCAACTAACCGTGTTGAAACAATGTTTTGATTGAGCAGCTTAGAATCTCTCTTTTTGTAGGAAATGCAAGTGGATATTTGGAGCCCCATTTCGCCCTATGGTGGAAAACGAAACATACTCACAAAAAAGCTGCAGAGAAGCATTCTGAGAAACTTCTTTGCGATGTTGGCATTCAACTCACAGAGTCGAATCTATCTTTTGATAGAGCAGTTTTGTATCTCTCTTTTTGCAGAATCTGCAAGTGGATATTTGGAAAGCTTTGAGGCCTATTGTGGAAAGGGAAATATCCTCAAATAAAAACTACCCAGAAGCACTCTGTGAAACTTCTTTGTGATGTGTGCATTCAACTCACAGTGTTGAACCTATGTTTTGATTGAGCAGTTTGGAATCTCTCCTTTTGTAGAATCAGCAAGTGAATATTTGGAGCCCTATTTCGCCCTATACTGGAAAAGCAAATATCTTCAAATAAAAACTACACAGAGGCATTCAGAGAAACTTCTCTGTGATGAGTGCATTCATCACACAGAGTTGAACATTTGTTTAGATTTAGCAGTGTTGAGACAATCTTTCCGTAGAATCTTGAAGTGAATATTTGGAGGGCTTTGAGACCTGCTTTGGAGAAGGAGATATCTTCATATAAAAACTACACAGAAGCTTTCTGAGAAACACCCTTGTGAGGTGTGCATTGAAGTCACAGAGTTAAACCTATCTTTTGATTCAGCAGATTTGAATCTCTCTTTTTGCAGAATCTGCGAGTGGATATTTGGAGTGCTTGGAAGCCTGCTGTGGAAAATCAAATATCTTCACAAAAAAAACTACACTGAAGCATTCTGAGAAACTTCTTTGTGATGTGTGCATTGATCTCACAGAGTTGAAAGTTTATTTTGATTGAGCTGTTTTGAAACACTCTTTTTCTAGAATCTGCAAGTGGATAATTGGGGAGATTTGAGGCATATTGTGGAAAAGCAAATATCTTCATATAGAAACTATACAGAAACCTTCTGAGAAACATCTTTGTGATGTGTGCATTCAGCTCACAGAGCTGGACCTAACTTTTGAGTGACCAGTTTTGAATCTCTCTTTTTGTACAATATGCAAGTGGATATTTGGAGCGATTTGAGGCCTACATTTGAAAATCAAATATCTTCCCTTAAAAACTACACAGAAACATTCTCAGAAATTGTTTGTCATGTGTGCTTTCCAATTACCAAGTTGAACCTATCTTGTGATTGAGCAGTTTGGAATCTCTCTTTTTGTGGAATCGGCAAGTGGATATTTTTAGCCCTTTGCGGACTGTGGTGGAAAAGGAATTATCTTCAAATCAATTCTACACAGAAGCATTCAGACAAACTTCTTTGTGATGAGTGCATTGGTCACACAGAATTGAACCTTCCCTTTGATTGAGCAATTCTGAAACACTCTTTTGGAGGGTCTGCAAGTGGACATTTTAGAGCTTTGGGACAACTGTGGAAAAGTAAATATCTTCACATAAAAACTACACGGAAGCATTCTGAGAAACTTCTTTGGAGGTGTGCATTCAACTCACAGAGTTGAACCTATCTTTTCATTGAGCAGTTTTGAATCTCTCATTTTGTAGACTCTGCTCGCAGATATTTGGAGAGCTTTGAGGCCTATTGTGGAAAAGGAAATATCTTCACATAAAAACACACAGAAGCACTCTGAGAAACTTCTCTGTGAGGTGTGCTTTCAACTCACAGAGTTGAACCTATCTTTTGATTGAGAAGTTTTGAATCTCTCTTTTTGTAGAAGCTGCATGTGGATATTTGGAGACGTTTGTGGCCTATGGTAGAAAAGGAAATATCTTCAAATAAAAACTAGACAGACGCATTTTGAGAAAATTCTCTGTGCTGTGTGCATTCATATCACATGGTTGAAACTACCTTTGGATTGAGCAGTTTTGAATCTCACTTTTTGTACCATCTGCAATGGATATTTGGAGCCCTTTCTGGTCTGTGGTGGAAAAGGAACTATCCTCAAATAGAAACTACACAGAAGTACTCTGAGAAACTTCTTTGTGATGTGGGCATTCATCTCACAGAGTTGAACCTTTGGTTTGATTGAGCAGTTTTGAGACAATCTTTCCATAGAATCTGGAAGTGAATATTTGGAGAACTTTGAGATCCATTTTGGAGAAGGAGATATCTTTATATAAAAACTACACAGAAGCATTCTGAGAAACATCCTTGTGAGGTGTGCACTGAAGTCACAGAGTTGAAACTGTCTTTTGATTCAGCAGTTTTGAATCTCTCTTTTTGCAGAGTCTGTGAGTGGATATTTGGAGCGCTTTGAGGCCTACTGTGGAAAACCAAATATCTTCACATAAAAACTACACAGAAGCATCCTGAGAAACTTTTTTTGTGATGTGGTCTTTCAGCTAATGGAGTAGAAACTATCTTTTGATTGAGCAGTTTTGAATCTCTCTTTTTTCAGAATCTACGAGTGGATAATTGGAGAACTTTGAGGCGTACTGTGGAAAATCGAATATCTTCGCATAAAAACTACACAGAAGCATTCTGAGAAACTTCTCTGTCATACGTACATTCATCTCACAGGGTTGATCCTATTTCATGATTGAGCAGTTTTGGAACACTCTTTTTGTAGAATCTGCAAGTGAATATTTGGAGCTCCTTGGGGCCTACTGTGGAAAAACAAATATCTTCACATAAAAACTACACAGAAGCATTCTGAGAAACTACTTTGTGATGTGTGCATTCATCCCACAGAGTAGAACCTTTCTTTTGATTGAGCAGTTTCGAAACACTCTTTTGGTGGAATCTGCAAGTGGACATTTGGAAAGCTTTGAGGCCTAGTGTGGAAAGGGAAATATCTTCAAATAAAAACCACCCAGAAGTACTCTGTGAAACTTCTTTGCGATGTATGCATTCAACTCACAGTGTTGAACCTATGTTTTGATTGAGCAGTTTGGAATCTCTCTTTCTGTAGAATCTGCAAGTGAATATTTGGAGCCCTATTTCGCCCTATACTGGAAAAGCAATTATCTTCAAATAAAAACTGCACAGAAGCATTCAGAGAAACTTCTTTGAGATGAATGCATTCATGACACAGAGTTGAAACTTTGTTTTGATTTAGGAGTTTTGAGACAATCTTTCCGTAGAATCTTGAAGTGAATATTTGGAGGGCTTGGAGTTCTGTTTTAGAGAAGGAGATATCTTCATCAAAAACTACACAGAAGCTTTCTGAGAAACTTCTTTGTGATGTGTGCATTCAACTATCGGAGTTGAACCTATCTTATGATTGAGCAGTTTGGAAACACTCTTTGTAGAGTCTGCAAGTGGATATTTACAGAGATTTGAGGCCTATTGTGGAAAAGGAAGTATCTTCACATAAAAACCACACAGAAGCACTCTGAAAAACATCTTTGGGATGTGTGCATTCAACTAACCGTGTTGAAACAATGTTTTGATTGAGCAGCTTAGAATCTCTCTTTTTGTAGGAAATGCAAGTGGATATTTGGAGCCCCATTTCGCCCTATGGTGGAAAACGAAACATACTCACAAAAAAGCTGCAGAGAAGCATTCTGAGAAACTTCTTTGCGATGTTGGCATTCAACTCACAGAGTCGAATCTATCTTTTGATAGAGCAGTTTTGTATCTCTCTTTTTGCAGAATCTGCAAGTGGATATTTGGAAAGCTTTGAGGCCTATTGTGGAAAGGGAAATATCCTCAAATAAAAACTACCCAGAAGCACTCTGTGAAACTTCTTTGTGATGTGTGCATTCAACTCACAGTGTTGAACCTATGTTTTGATTGAGCAGTTTGGAATCTCTCCTTTTGTAGAATCTGCAAGTGAATATTTGGAGCCCTATTTCGCCCTATACTGGAAAAGCAAATATCTTCAAATAAAAACTACACAGAGGCATTCAGAGAAACTTCTCTGTGATGAGTGCATTCATCACACAGAGTTGAACATTTGTTTAGATTTAGCAGTGTTGAGACAATCTTTCCGTAGAATCTTGAAGTGAATATTTGGAGGGCTTTGAGACCTGCTTTGGAGAAGGAGATATCTTCATATAAAAACTACACAGAAGCTTTCTGAGAAACACCCTTGTGAGGTGTGCATTGAAGTCACAGAGTTAAACCTATCTTTTGATTCAGCAGATTTGAATCTCTCTTTTTGCAGAATCTGCGAGTGGATATTTGGAGTGCTTGGAAGCCTGCTGTGGAAAATCAAATATCTTCACAAAAAAAACTACACAGAAGCATTCTGAGAAACTTCTTTGTGATGTGTGCATTGATCTCACAGAGTTGAAAGTTTATTTTGATTGAGCTGTTTTGAAACACTCTTTTTCTAGAATCTGCAAGTGGATAATTGGGGAGATTTGAGGCATATTGTGGAAAAGCAAATATCTTCATATAGAAACTATACAGAAACCTTCTGAGAAACATCTTTGTGATGTGTGCATTCAGCTCACAGAGCTGGACCTAACTTTTGAGTGACCAGTTTTGAATCTCTCTTTTTGTACAATATGCAAGTGGATATTTGGAGCGATTTGAGGCCTACATTTGAAAATCAAATATCTTCCCTTAAAAACTACACAGAAACATTCTCAGAAATTGTTTGTCATGTGTGCTTTCCAATTACCAAGTTGAACCTATCTTGTGATTGAGCAGTTTTGAATCTCTCTTTTTGTGGAATCGGCAAGTGGATATTTTTAGCCCTTTGCGGACTGTGGTGGAAAAGGAATTATCTTCAAATCAATTCTACACAGAAGCATTCAGACAAACTTCTTTGTGATGAGTGCATTGGTCACACAGAATTGAACCTTCCCTTTGATTGAGCAATTCTGAAACACTCTTTTGGAGGGTCTGCAAGTGGATATTTTAGAGCTTTGGGACAACTGTGGAAAAGTAAATATCTTCACATAAAAACTACACGGAAGCATTCTGAGAAACTTCTTTGGAGGTGTGCATTCAACTCACAGAGTTGAACCTATCTTTTCATTGAGCAGTTTTGAATCTCTCATTTTGTAGACTCTGCTCGCAGATATTTGGAGAGCTTTGAGGCCTATTGTGGAAAAGGAAATATCTTCACATAAAAACACACAGAAGCACTCTGAGAAACTTCTTTGTGAGGTGTGCTTTCAACTCACAGAGTTGAACCTATCTTTTGATTGAGAAGTTTTGAATCTCTCTTTTTGTAGAAGCTGCATGTGGATATTTGGAGACGTTTGTGGCCTATGGTAGAAAAGGAAATATCTTCAAATAAAAACTAGACAGACGCATTTTGAGAAAATTCTCTGTGCTGTGTGCATTCATATCACATGGTTGAAACTACCTTTGGATTGAGCAGTTTTGAATCTCACTTTTTGTACCATCTGCAATGGATATTTGGAGCCCTTTCTGGTCTGTGGTGGAAAAGGAACTATCCTCAAATAGAAACTACACAGAAGTACTCTGAGAAACTTCTTTGTGATGTGGGCATTCATCTCACAGAGTTGAACCTTTGGTTTGATTGAGCAGTTTTGAGACAATCTTTCCATAGAATCTGGAAGTGAATATTTGGAGAACTTTGAGATCCATTTTGGAGAAGGAGATATCTTTATATAAAAACACCACAGAAGCATTCTGAGAAACATCCTTGTGAGGTGTGCACTGAAGTCACAGAGTTGAAACTGTCTTTTGATTCAGCAGTTTTGAATCTCTCTTTTTGCAGAATCTGTGAGTGGATATTTGGAGCGCTTTGAGGCCTACTGTGGAAAACCAAATATCTTCACATAAAAACTACACAGAAGCATCCTGAGAAACTTTTTTTGTGATGTGGTCTTTCAGCTAATGGAGTAGAAACTATCTTTTGATTGAGCAGTTTTGAATCTCTCTTTTTGCAGAATCTACGAGTGGATAATTGGAGAACTTTGAGGCGTACTGTGGAAAATCGAATATCTTCACATAAAAACTACACAGAAAGCATTCTGAGAAACTTCTCTGTCATACGTACATTCATCTCACAGGGTTGATCCTATTTCATGATTGAGCAGTTCTGGAACACTCTTTTTGTAGAATCTGCAAGTGAATATTTGGAGCTCTTTGGGGCCTACTGTGGAAAAACAAATATCTTCACATAAAAACTACACAGAAGCATTCTGAGAAACTACTTTGTGATGTGTGCATTCATCCCACAGAGTAGAACCTTTCTTTTGATTGAGCAGTTTCGAAACACTCTTTTGGTGGAATCTGCAAGTGGACATTTGGAAAGCTTTGAGGCCTATTGTGGAAAGGGAAATATCTTCAAATAAAAACCACCCAGAAGTACTCTGTGAAACTTCTTTGCGATGTATGCATTCAACTCACAGTGTTGAACCTATGTTTTGATTGAGCAGTTTGGAATCTCTCTTTCTGTAGAATCTGCAAGTGAATATTTGGAGCCCTATTTCGCCCTATACTGGAAAAGCAATTATCTTCAAATAAAAACTGCACAGAAGCATTCAGAGAAACTTCTTTGAGATGAATGCATTCATGACACAGAGTTGAAACTTTGTTTTGATTTAGGAGTTTTGAGACAATCTTTCCGTAGAATCTTGAAGTGAATATTTGGAGGGCTTGGAGTTCTGTTTTAGAGAAGAAGATATCTTCATCAAAAACTACACAGAAGCTTTCTGAGAAACTTCTTTGTGATGTGTGCATTCAACTATCGGAGTTGAACCTATCTTATGATTGAGCAGTTTGGAAACACTCTTTGTAGAGTCTGCAAGTGGATATTTACAGAGATTTGAGGCCTATTGTGGAAAAGGAAGTATCTTCACATAAAAACCACACAGAAGCACTCTGAAAAACATCTTTGGGATGTGTGCATTCAACTAACCGTGTTGAAACAATGTTTTGATTGAGCAGCTTAGAATCTCTCTTTTTGTAGGAAATGCAAGTGGATATTTGGAGCCCCATTTCGCCCTATGGTGGAAAACGAAACATACTCACAAAAAAGCTGCAGAGAAGCATTCTGAGAAACTTCTTTGCGATGTTGGCATTCAACTCACAGAGTCGAATCTATCTTTTGATAGAGCAGTTTTGTATCTCTCTTTTTGCAGAATCTGCAAGTGGATATTTGGAAAGCTTTGAGGCCTATTGTGGAAAGGGAAATATCCTCAAATAAAAACTACCCAGAAGCACTCTGTGAAACTTCTTTGTGATGTGTGCATTCAACTCACAGTGTTGAACCTATGTTTTGATTGAGCAGTTTGGAATCTCTCCTTTTGTAGAATCTGCAAGTGAATATTTGGAGCCCTATTTCGCCCTATACTGGAAAAGCAAATATCTTCAAATAAAAACTACACAGAGGCCTTCAGAGAAACTTCTCTGTGATGAGTGCATTCATCACACAGAGTTGAACATTTGTTTAGATTTAGCAGTGTTGAGACAATCTTTCCGTAGAATCTTGAAGTGAATATTTGGAGGGCTTTGAGACCTGCTTTGGAGAAGGAGATATCTTCATATAAAAACTACACAGAAGCTTTCTGAGAAACACCCTTGTGAGGTGTGCATTGAAGTCACAGAGTTAAACCTATCTTTTGATTCAGCAGATTTGAATCTCTCTTTTTGCAGAATCTGCGAGTGGATATTTGGAGTGCTTGGAAGCCTGCTGTGGAAAATCAAATATCTTCACAAAAAAAACTACACAGAAGCATTCTGAGAAACTTCTTTGTGATGTGTGCATTGATCTCACAGAGTTGAAAGTTTATTTTGATTGAGCTGTTTTGAAACACTCTTTTTCTAGAATCTGCAAGTGGATAATTGGGGAGATTTGAGGCATATTGTGGAAAAGCAAATATCTTCATATAGAAACTATACAGAAACCTTCTGAGAAACATCTTTGTGATGTGTGCATTCAGCTCACAGAGCTGGACCTAACTTTTGAGTGACCAGTTTTGAATCTCTCTTTTTGTACAATATGCAAGTGGATATTTGGAGCGATTTGAGGCCTACATTTGAAAATCAAATATCTTCCCTTAAAAACTACACAGAAACATTCTCAGAAATTGTTTGTCATGTGTGCTTTCCAATTACCAAGTTGAACCTATCTTGTGATTGAGCAGTTTTGAATCTCTCTTTTTGTGGAATCGGCAAGTGGATATTTTTAGCCCTTTGCGGACTGTGGTGGAAAAGGAATTATCTTCAAATCAATTCTACACAGAAGCATTCAGACAAACTTCTTTGTGATGAGTGCATTGGTCACACAGAATTGAACCTTCCCTTTGATTGAGCAATTCTGAAACACTCTTTTGGAGGGTCTGCAAGTGGATATTTTAGAGCTTTGGGACAACTGTGGAAAAGTAAATATCTTCACATAAAAACTACACGGAAGCATTCTGAGAAACTTCTTTGGAGGTGTGCATTCAACTCACAGAGTTGAACCTATCTTTTCATTGAGCAGTTTTGAATCTCTCATTTTGTAGACTCTGCTCGCAGATATTTGGAGAGCTTTGAGGCCTATTGTGGAAAAGGAAATATCTTCACATAAAAACACACAGAAGCACTCTGAGAAACTTCTTTGTGAGGTGTGCTTTCAACTCACAGAGTTGAACCTATCTTTTGATTGAGAAGTTTTGAATCTCTCTTTTTGTAGAAGCTGCATGTGGATATTTGGAGACGTTTGTGGCCTATGGTAGAAAAGGAAATATCTTCAAATAAAAACTAGACAGACGCATTTTGAGAAAATTCTCTGTGCTGTGTGCATTCATATCACATGGTTGAAACTACCTTTGGATTGAGCAGTTTTGAATCTCACTTTTTGTACCATCTGCAATGGATATTTGGAGCCCTTTCTGGTCTGTGGTGGAAAAGGAACTATCCTCAAATAGAAACTACACAGAAGTACTCTGAGAAACTACTTTGTGATGTGGGCATTCATCTCACAGAGTTGAACCTTTGGTTTGATTGAGCAGTTTTGAGACAATCTTTCCATAGAATCTGGAAGTGAATATTTGGAGAACTTTGAGATCCATTTTGGAGAAGGAGATATCTTTATATGAAAACTACACAGAAGCATTCTGAGAAACATCCTTGTGAGGTGTGCACTGAAGTCACAGAGTTGAAACTGTCTTTTGATTCAGCAGTTTTGAATCTCTCTTTTTGCAGAGTCTGTGAGCGGATATTTGGAGCGCTTTGAGGCCTACTGTGGAAAACCAAATATGTTCACATAAAAACTACACAGAAGCATCCTGAGAAACTTTTTTTGTGATGTGGTCTTTCAGCTAATGGAGTAGAAACTATCTTTTGATTGAGCAGTTTTGAATCTCTCTTTTTGCAGAATCTACGAGTGGATAATTGGAGAACTTTGAGGCGTACTGTGGAAAATCGAATATCTTCGCATAAAAACTACACAGAAGCATTCTGAGAAACTTCTCTGTCATACGTACATTCATCTCACAGGGTTGATCCTATTTCATGATTGAGCAGTTTTGGAACACTCTTTTTGTAGAATCTGCAAGTGAATATTTGGAGCTCTTTGGGGCCTACTGTGGAAAAACAAATATCTTCACATAAAAACTACACAGAAGCATTCTGAGAAACTACTTTGTGATGTGTGCATTCATCCCACAGAGTAGAACCTTTCTTTTGATTGAGCAGTTTCGAAACACTCTTTTGGTGGAATCTGCAAGTGGACATTTGGAAAGCTTTGAGGCCTATTGTGGAAAGGGAAATATCTTCAAATAAAAACCACCCAGAAGTACTCTGTGAAACTTCTTTGCGATGTATGCATTCAACTCACAGTGTTGAACCTATGTTTTGATTGAGCAGTTTGGAATCTCTCTTTCTGTAGAATCTGCAAGTGAATATTTGGAGCCCTATTTCGCCCTATACTGGAAAAGCAATTATCTTCAAATAAAAACTGCACAGAAGCACTCAGAGAAACTTCTTTGTGATGAATGCATTCATCACACAGAGTTGAACCTTTGTTTTGATTTAGCAGTTTGAGACAATCTTTCCGTAGAATCTTGAAGTGAATATTTGGAGGGCTTGGGGTTCTGTTTTAGAGAAGGAGATATCTTCATCAAAAACTACACAGAAGCTTTCCGAGAAACTTCTTTGTGATGTGTGCATTCAGCTATCGGAGTTGAACCTATCTTATGATTGAGCAGTTTGGAAACACTCTTTGTAGAGTCTGCAAGTGGATATTTACAGAGATTTGAGGCCTATTGTGGAAAAGGAAGTATCTTCACATAAAAACCACACAGAAGCACTCTGAAAAACATCTTTGGGATGTGTGCATTCAACTAACCGTGTTGAAACAATGTTTTGATTGAGCAGCTTAGAATCTCTCTTTTTGTAGGAAATGCAAGTGGATATTTGGAGCCCCATTTCGCCCTATGGTGGAAAACGAAACATACTCACAAAAAAGCTGCAGAGAAGCATTCTGAGAAACTTCTTTGCGATGTTGGCATTCAACTCACAGAGTCGAATCTATCTTTTGATAGAGCAGTTTTGTATCTCTCTTTTTGCAGAATCTGCAAGTGGATATTTGGAAAGCTTTGAGGCCTATTGTGGAAAGGGAAATATCCTCAAATAAAAACTACCCAGAAGCACTCTGTGAAACTTCTTTGTGATGTGTGCATTCAACTCACAGTGTTGAACCTATGTTTTGATTGAGCAGTTTGGAATCTCTCCTTTTGTAGAATCTGCAAGTGAATATTTGGAGCCCTATTTCGCCCTATACTGGAAAAGCAAATATCTTCAAATAAAAACTACACAGAGGCATTCAGAGAAACTTCTCTGTGATGAGTGCATTCATCACACAGAGTTGAACATTTGTTTAGATTTAGCAGTGTTGAGACAATCTTTCCGTAGAATCTTGAAGTGAATATTTGGAGGGCTTTGAGACCTGCTTTGGAGAAGGAGATATCTTCATATAAAAACTACACAGAAGCTTTCTGAGAAACACCCTTGTGAGGTGTGCATTGAAGTCACAGAGTTAAACCTATCTTTTGATTCAGCAGATTTGAATCTCTCTTTTTGCAGAATCTGCGAGTGGATATTTGGAGTGCTTGGAAGCCTGCTGTGGAAAATCAAATATCTTCACAAAAAAAACTACACAGAAGCATTCTGAGAAACTTCTTTGTGATGTGTGCATTGATCTCACAGAGTTGAAAGTTTATTTTGATTGAGCTGTTTTGAAACACTCTTTTTCTAGAATCTGCAAGTGGATAATTGGGGAGATTTGAGGCATATTGTGGAAAAGCAAATATCTTCATATAAAAACTATACAGAAACCTTCTGAGAAACATCTTTGTGATGTGTGCATTCAGCTCACAGAGCTGGACCTAACTTTCGAGTGACCAGTTTTGAATCTCTCTTTTTGTACAATATGCAAGTGGATATTTGGAGCGATTTGAGGCCTACATTTGAAAATCAAATATCTTCCCTTAAAAACTACACAGAAACATTCTCAGAAATTGTTTGTCATGTGTGCTTTCCAATTACCAAGTTGAACCTATCTTGTGATTGAGCAGTTTTGAATCTCTCTTTTTGTGGAATCGGCAAGTGGATATTTTTAGCCCTTTGCGGACTGTGGTGGAAAAGGAATTATCTTCAAATCAATTCTACACAGAAGCATTCAGACAAACTTCTTTGTGATGAGTGCATTGGTCACACAGAATTGAACCTTCCCTTTGATTGAGCAATTCTGAAACACTCTTTTGGAGGGTCTGCAAGTGGACATTTTAGAGCTTTGGGACAACTGTGGAAAAGTAAATATCTTCACATAAAAACTACACGGAAGCATTCTGAGAAACTTCTTTGGAGGTGTGCATTCAACTCACAGAGTTGAACCTATCTTTTCATTGAGCAGTTTTGAATCTCTCATTTTGTAGACTCTGCTCGCAGATATTTGGAGAGCTTTGAGGCCTATTGTGGAAAAGGAAATATCTTCACATAAAAACACACAGAAGCACTCTGAGAAACTTCTTTGTGAGGTGTGCTTTCAACTCACAGAGTTGAACCTATCTTTTGATTGAGAAGTTTTGAATCTCTCTTTTTGTAGAAGCTGCATGTGGATATTTGGAGACGTTTGTGGCCTATGGTAGAAAAGAAAATATCTTCAAATAAAAACTAGACAGACGCATTTTGAGAAAATTCTCTGTGCTGTGTGCATTCATATCACATGGTTGAAACTACCTTTGGATTGAGCAGTTTTGAATCTCACATTTTGTACCATCTGCAATGGATATTTGGAGCCCTTTCTGGTCTGTGGTGGAAAAGGAACTATCCTCAAATAGAAACTACACAGAAGTACTCTGAGAAACTTCTTTGTGATGTGGGCATTCATCTCACAGAGTTGAACCTTTGGTTTGATTGAGCAGTTTTGAGACAATCTTTCCATAGAATCTGGAAGTGAATATTTGGAGAACTTTGAGATCCATTTTGGAGAAGGAGATATCTTTATATGAAAACTACACAGAAGCATTCTGAGAAACATCCTTGTGAGGTGTGCACTGAAGTCACAGAGTTGAAACTGTCTTTTGATTCAGCAGTTTTGAATCTCTCTTTTTGCAGAATCTGTGAGTGGATATTTGGAGCGCTTTGAGGCCTACTGTGGAAAACCAAATATCTTCACATAAAAACTACACAGAAGCATCCTGAGAAACTTTTTTTGTGATGTGGTCTTTCAGCTAATGGAGTAGAAACTATCTTTTGATTGAGCAGTTTTGAATCTCTCTTTTTGCAGAATCTACGAGTGGATAATTGGAGAACTTTGAGGCGTACTGTGGAAAATCGAATATCTTCGCATAAAAACTACACAGAAGCATTCTGAGAAACTTCTCTGTCATACGTACATTCATCTCACAGGGTTGATCCTATTTCATGATTGAGCAGTTTTGGAACACTCTTTTTGTAGAATCTGCAAGTGAATATTTGGAGCTCTTTGGGGCCTACTGTGGAAAAACAAATATCTTCACATAAAAACTACACAGAAGCATTCTGAGAAACTACTTTGTGATGTGTGCATTCATCCCACAGAGTAGAACCTTTCTTTTGATTGAGCAGTTTCGAAACACTCTTTTGGTGGAATCTGCAAGTGGACATTTGGAAAGCTTTGAGGCCTATTGTGGAAAGGGAAATATCTTCAAATAAAAACCACCCAGAAGTACTCTGTGAAACTTCTTTGCGATGTATGCATTCAACTCACAGTGTTGAACCTATGTTTTGATTGAGCAGTTTGGAATCTCTCTTTCTGTAGAATCTGCAAGTGAATATTTGGAGCCCTATTTCGCCCTATACTGGAAAAGCAATTATCTTCAAATAAAAACTGCACAGAAGCACTCAGAGAAACTTCTTTGTGATGAATGCATTCATCACACAGAATTGAACCTTTGTTTTGATTTAGCAGTTTGAGACAATCTTTCCGTAGAATCTTGAAGTGAATATTTGGAGGGCTTGGAGTTCTGTTTTAGAGAAGAAGATATCTTCATCAAAAACTACACAGAAGCTTTCTGAGAAACTTCTTTGTGATGTGTGCATTCAACTATCGGAGTTGAACCTATCTTATGATTGAGGAGTTTGGAAACACTCTTTGTAGAGTCTGCAAGTGGATATTTACAGAGATTTGAGGCCTATTGTGGAAAAGGAAGTATCTTCACATAAAAACCACACAGAAAGCACTCTGAAAAACATCTTTGGGATGTGTGCATTCAACTAACCGTGTTGAAACAATGTTTTGATTGAGCAGCTTAGAATCTCTCTTTTTGTAGGAAATGCAAGTGGATATTTGGAGCCCCATTTCGCCCTATGGTGGAAAACGAAACATACTCACAAAAAAGCTGCAGAGAAGCATTCTGAGAAACTTCTTTGCGATGTTGGCATTCAACTCACAGAGTCGAATCTATCTTTTGATAGAGCAGTTTTGTATCTCTCTTTTTGCAGAATCTGCAAGTGGATATTTGGAAAGCTTTGAGGCCTATTGTGGAAAGGGAAATATCCTCAAATAAAAACTACCCAGAAGCACTCTGTGAAACTTCTTTGTGATGTGTGCATTCAACTCACAGTGTTGAACCTATGTTTTGATTGAGCAGTTTGGAATCTCTCCTTTTGTAGAATCTGCAAGTGAATATTTGGAGCCCTATTTCGCCCTATACTGGAAAAGCAAATATCTTCAAATAAAAACTACACAGAGGCATTCAGAGAAACTTCTCTGTGATGAGTGCATTCATCACACAGAGTTGAACATTTGTTTAGATTTAGCAGTGTTGAGACAATCTTTCCGTAGAATCTTGAAGTGAATATTTGGAGGGCTTTGAGACCTGCTTTGGAGAAGGAGATATCTTCATATAAAAACTACACAGAAGCTTTCTGAGAAACACCCTTGTGAGGTGTGCATTGAAGTCACAGAGTTAAACCTATCTTTTGATTCAGCAGATTTGAATCTCTCTTTTTGCAGAATCTGCGAGTGGATATTTGGAGTGCTTGGAAGCCTGCTGTGGAAAATCAAATATCTTCACAAAAAAAACTACACAGAAGCATTCTGAGAAACTTCTTTGTGATGTGTGCATTGATCTCACAGAGTTGAAAGTTTATTTTGATTGAGCTGTTTTGAAACACTCTTTTTCTAGAATCTGCAAGTGGATAATTGGGGAGATTTGAGGCATATTGTGGAAAAGCAAATATCTTCATATAAAAACTATACAGAAACCTTCTGAGAAACATCTTTGTGATGTGTGCATTCAGCTCACAGAGCTGGACCTAACTTTTGAGTGACCAGTTTTGAATCTCTCTTTTTGTACAATATGCAAGTGGATATTTGGAGCGATTTGAGGCCTACATTTGAAAATCAAATATCTTCCCTTAAAAACTACACAGAAACATTCTCAGAAATTGTTTGTCATGTGTGCTTTCCAATTACCAAGTTGAACCTATCTTGTGATTGAGCAGTTTTGAATCTCTCTTTTTGTGGAATCGGCAAGTGGATATTTTTAGCCCTTTGCGGACTGTGGTGGAAAAGGAATTATCTTCAAATCAATTCTACACAGAAGCATTCAGACAAACTTCTTTGTGATGAGTGCATTGGTCACACAGAATTGAACCTTCCCTTTGATTGAGCAATTCTGAAACACTCTTTTGGAGGGTCTGCAAGTGGATATTTTAGAGCTTTGGGACAACTGTGGAAAAGTAAATATCTTCACATAAAAACTACACGGAAGCATTCTGAGAAACTTCTTTGGAGGTGTGCATTCAACTCACAGAGTTGAACCTATCTTTTCATTGAGCAGTTTTGAATCTCTCATTTTGTAGACTCTGCTCGCAGATATTTGGAGAGCTTTGAGGCCTATTGTGGAAAAGGAAATATCTTCACATAAAAACACACAGAAGCACTCTGAGAAACTTCTTTGTGAGGTGTGCTTTCAACTCACAGAGTTGAACCTATCTTTTGATTGAGAAGTTTTGAATCTCTCTTTTTGTAGAAGCTGCATGTGGATATTTGGAGACGTTTGTGGCCTATGGTGGAAAAGGAAATATCTTCAAATAAAAACTAGACAGACGCATTTTGAGAAAATTCTCTGTGCTGTGTGCATTCATATCACATGGTTGAAACTACCTTTGGATTGAGCAGTTTTGAATCTCACTTTTTGTACCATCTGCAATGGATATTTGGAGCCCTTTCTGGTCTGTGGTGGAAAAGGAACTATCCTCAAATAGAAACTACACAGAAGTACTCTGAGAAACTTCTTTGTGATGTGGGCATTTATCTCACAGAGTTGAACCTTTGGTTTGATTGAGCAGTTTTGAGACAATCTTTCCATAGAATCTGGAAGTGAATATTTGGAGAACTTTGAGATCCATTTTGGAGAAGGAGATATCTTTATATAAAAACTACACAGAAGCATTCTGAGAAACATCCTTGTGAGGTGTGCACTGAAGTCACAGAGTTGAAACTGTCTTTTGATTCAGCAGTTTTGAATCTCTCTTTTTGCAGAATCTGTGAGTGGATATTTGGAGCGCTTTGAGGCCTACTGTGGAAAACCAAATATCTTCACATAAAAACTACACAGAAGCATCCTGAGAAACTTTTTTTGTGATGTGGTCTTTCAGCTAATGGAGTAGAAACTATCTTTTGATTGAGCAGTTTTGAATCTCTCTTTTTGCAGAATCTACGAGTGGATAACTGGAGAACTTTGAGGCGTACTGTGGAAAATCGAATATCTTCGCATAAAAACTACACAGAAGCATTCTGAGAAACTTCTCTGTCATACGTACATTCATCTCACAGGGTTGATCCTATTTCATGATTGAGCAGTTTTGGAACACTCTTTTTGTAGAATCTGCAAGTGAATATTTGGAGCTCTTTGGGGCCTACTGTGGAAAAACAAATATCTTCACATAAAAACTACACAGAAGCATTCTGAGAAACTACTTTGTGATGTGTGCATTCATCCCACAGAGTAGAACCTTTCTTTTGATTGAGCAGTTTCGAAACACTCTTTTGGTGGAATCTGCAAGTGGACATTTGGAAAGCTTTGAGGCCTATTGTGGAAAGGGAAATATCTTCAAATAAAAACCACCCAGAAGTACTCTGTGAAACTTCTTTGCGATGTATGCATTCAACTCACAGTGTTGAACCTATGTTTTGATTGAGCAGTTTGGAATCTCTCTTTCTGTAGAATCTGCAAGTGAATATTTGGAGCCCTATTTCGCCCTATACTGGAAAAGCAATTATCTTCAAATAAAAACTGCACAGAAGCATTCAGAGAAACTTCTTTGAGATGAATGCGTTCATGACACAGAGTTGAAACTTTGTTTTGATTTAGGAGTTTTGAGACAATCTTTCCGTAGAATCTTGAAGTGAATATTTGGAGGGCTTGGAGTTCTGTTTTAGAGAAGGAGATATCTTCATCAAAAACTACACAGAAGCTTTCTGAGAAACTTCTTTGTGATGTGTGCATTCAACTATCGGAGTTGAACCTATCTTATGATTGAGCAGTTTGGAAACACTCTTTGTAGAGTCTGCAAGTGGATATTTACAGAGATTTGAGGCCTATTGTGGAAAAGGAAGTATCTTCACATAAAAACCACACAGAAGCACTCTGAAAAACATCTTTGGGATGTGTGCATTCAACTAACCGTGTTGAAACAATGTTTTGATTGAGCAGCTTAGAATCTCTCTTTTTGTAGGAAATGCAAGTGGATATTTGGAGCCCCATTTCGCCCTATGGTGGAAAACGAAACATACTCACAAAAAAGCTGCAGAGAAGCATTCTGAGAAACTTCTTTGCGATGTTGGCATTCAACTCACAGAGTCGAATCTATCTTTTGATAGAGCAGTTTTGTATCTCTCTTTTTGCAGAATCTGCAAGTGGATATTTGGAAAGCTTTGAGGCCTATTGTGGAAAGGGAAATATCCTCAAATAAAAACTACCCAGAAGCACTCTGTGAAACTTCTTTGTGATGTGTGCATTCAACTCACAGTGTTGAACCTATGTTTTGATTGAGCAGTTTGGAATCTCTCCTTTTGTAGAATCTGCAAGTGAATATTTGGAGCCCTATTTCGCCCTATACTGGAAAAGCAAATATCTTCAAATAAAAACTACACAGAGGCATTCAGAGAAACTTCTCTGTGATGAGTGCATTCATCACACAGAGTTGAACATTTGTTTAGATTTAGCAGTGTTGAGACAATCTTTCCGTAGAATCTTGAAGTGAATATTTGGAGGGCTTTGAGACCTGCTTTGGAGAAGGAGATATCTTCATATAAAAACTACACAGAAGCTTTCTGAGAAACACCCTTGTGAGGTGTGCATTGAAGTCACAGAGTTAAACCTATCTTTTGATTCAGCAGATTTGAATCTCTCTTTTTGCAGAATCTGCGAGTGGATATTTGGAGTGCTTGGAAGCCTGCTGTGGAAAATCAAATATCTTCACAAAAAAAACTACACAGAAGCATTCTGAGAAACTTCTTTGTGATGTGTGCATTGATCTCACAGAGTTGAAAGTTTATTTTGATTGAGCTGTTTTGAAACACTCTTTTTCTAGAATCTGCAAGTGGATAATTGGGGAGATTTGAGGCATATTGTGGAAAAGCAAATATCTTCATATAGAAACTATACAGAAACCTTCTGAGAAACATCTTTGTGATGTGTGCATTCAGCTCACAGAGCTGGACCTAACTTTTGAGTGACCAGTTTTGAATCTCTCTTTTTGTACAATATGCAAGTGGATATTTGGAGCGATTTGAGGCCTACATTTGAAAATCAAATATCTTCCCTTAAAAACTACACAGAAACATTCTCAGAAATTGTTTGTCATGTGTGCTTTCCAATTACCAAGTTGAACGTATCTTGTGATTGAGCAGTTTTGAATCTCTCTTTTTGTGGAATCGGCAAGTGGA
Source organism: Homo sapiens (assembly GCF_000001405.40). NCBI lineage: Eukaryota > Metazoa > Chordata > Mammalia > Primates > Hominidae > Homo > Homo sapiens. The sequence goes on from NC_000015.10 coordinate 17,903,842, forward strand.
TATTTTTAGCCCTTTGCGGACTGTGGTGGAAAAGGAATTATCTTCAAATCAATTCTACACAGAAGCATTCAGACAAACTTCTTTGTGATGAGTGCATTGGTCACACAGAATTGAACCTTCCCTTTGATTGAGCAATTCTGAAACACTCTTTTGGAGGGTCTGCAAGTGGACATTTTAGAGCTTTGGGACAACTGTGGAAAAGTAAATATCTTCACATAAAAACTGCACGGAAGCATTCTGAGAAACTTCTTTGGAGGTGTGCATTCAACTCACAGAGTTGAACCTATCTTTTCATTGAGCAGTTTTGAATCTCTCATTTTGTAGACTCTGCTCGCAGATATTTGGAGAGCTTTGAGGCCTATTGTGGAAAAGGAAATATCTTCACATAAAAACACACAGAAGCACTCTGAGAAACTTCTTTGTGAGGTGTGCTTTCAACTCACAGAGTTGAACCTATCTTTTGATTGAGAAGTTTTGAATCTCTCTTTTTGTAGAAGCTGCATGTGGATATTTGGAGACGTTTGTGGCCTATGGTAGAAAAGGAAATATCTTCAAATAAAAACTAGACAGACGCATTTTGAGAAAATTCTCTGTGCTGTGTGCATTCATATCACATGGTTGAAACTACCTTTGGATTGAGCAGTTTTGAATCTCACTTTTTGTACCATCTGCAATGGATATTTGGAGCCCTTTCTGGTCTGTGGTGGAAAAGGAACTATCCTCAAATAGAAACTACACAGAAGTACTCTGAGAAACTTCTTTGTGATGTGTGCATTCATCTCACAGAGTTGAACCTTTGGTTTGATTGAGCAGTTTTGAGACAATCTTTCCATAGAATCTGGAAGTGAATATTTGGAGAACTTTGAGATCCATTTTGGAGAAGGAGATATCTTTATATAAAAACTACACAGAAGCATGCTGAGAAACATCCTTGTGAGGTGTGCACTGAAGTCACAGAGTTGAAACTGTCTTTTGATTCAGCAGTTTTGAATCTCTCTTTTTGCAGAATCTGTGAGTGGATATTTGGAGCGCTTTGAGGCCTACTGTGGAAAACCAAATATCTTCACATAAAAACTACACAGAAGCATCCTGAGAAACTTTTTTTGTGATGTGGTCTTTCAGCTAATGGAGTAGAAACTATCTTTTGATTGAGCAGTTTTGAATCTCTCTTTTTGCAGAATCTACGAGTGGATAATTGGAGAACTTTGAGGCGTACTGTGGAAAATCGAATATCTTCGCATAAAAACTACACAGAAGCATTCTGAGAAACTTCTCTGTCATACGTACATTCATCTCACAGGGTTGATCCTATTTCATGATTGAGCAGTTTTGGAACACTCTTTTTGTAGAATCTGCAAGTGAATATTTGGAGCTCCTTGGGGCCTACTGTGGAAAAACAAATATCTTCACATAAAAACTACACAGAAGCATTCTGAGAAACTACTTTGTGATGTGTGCATTCATCCCACAGAGTAGAACCTTTCTTTTGATTGAGCAGTTTCGAAACACTCTTTTGGTGGAATCTGCAAGTGGACATTTGGAAAGCTTTGAGGCCTATTGTGGAAAGGGAAATATCTTCAAATAAAAACCACCCAGAAGTACTCTGTGAAACTTCTTTGCGATGTATGCATTCAACTCACAGTGTTGAACCTATGTTTTGATTGAGCAGTTTGGAATCTCTCTTTCTGTAGAATCTGCAAGTGAATATTTGGAGCCCTATTTCGCCCTATACTGGAAAAGCAATTATCTTCAAATAAAAACTGCACAGAAGCACTCAGAGAAACTTCTTTGTGATGAATGCATTCATCACACAGAGTTGAACCTTTGTTTTGATTTAGCAGTTTGAGACAATCTTTCCGTAGAATCTTGAAGTGAATATTTGGAGGGCTTGGGGTTCTGTTTTAGAGAAGGAGATATCTTCATCAAAAACTACACAGAAGCTTTCTGAGAAACTTCTTTGTGATGTGTGCATTCAACTATCGGAGTTGAACCTATCTTATGATTGAGCAGTTTGGAAACACTCTTTGTAGAGTCTGCAAGTGGATATTTACAGAGATTTGAGGCCTATTGTGGAAAAGGAAGTATCTTCACATAAAAACCACACAGAAGCACTCTGAAAAACATCTTTGGGATGTGTGCATTCAACTAACCGTGTTGAAACAATGTTTTGATTGAGCAGCTTAGAATCTCTCTTTTTGTAGGAAATGCAAGTGGATATTTGGAGCCCCATTTCGCCCTATGGTGGAAAACGAAACATACTCACAAAAAAGCTGCAGAGAAGCATTCTGAGAAACTTCTTTGCGATGTTGGCATTCAACTCACAGAGTCGAATCTATCTTTTGATAGAGCAGTTTTGTATCTCTCTTTTTGCAGAATCTGCAAGTGGATATTTGGAAAGCTTTGAGGCCTATTGTGGAAAGGGAAATATCCTCAAATAAAAACTACCCAGAAGCACTCTGTGAAACTTCTTTGTGATGTGTGCATTCAACTCACAGTGTTGAACCTATGTTTTGATTGAGCAGTTTGGAATCTCTCCTTTTGTAGAATCTGCAAGTGAATATTTGGAGCCCTATTTCGCCCTATACTGGAAAAGCAAATATCTTCAAATAAAACTACACAGAGGCATTCAGAGAAACTTCTCTGTGATGAGTGCATTCATCACACAGAGTTGAACATTTGTTTAGATTTAGCAGTGTTGAGACAATCTTTCCGTAGAATCTTGAAGTGAATATTTGGAGGGCTTTGAGACCTGCTTTGGAGAAGGAGATATCTTCATATAAAAACTACACAGAAGCTTTCTGAGAAACACCCTTGTGAGGTGTGCATTGAAGTCACAGAGTTAAACCTATCTTTTGATTCAGCAGATTTGAATCTCTCTTTTTGCAGAATCTGCGAGTGGATATTTGGAGTGCTTGGAAGCCTGCTGTGGAAAATCAAATATCTTCACAAAAAAAACTACACAGAAGCATTCTGAGAAACTTCTTTGGGATGTGTGCATTGATCTCACAGAGTTGAAAGTTTATTTTGATTGAGCTGTTTTGAAACACTCTTTTTCTAGAATCTGCAAGTGGATAATTGGGGAGATTTGAGGCATATTGTGGAAAAGCAAATATCTTCATATAGAAACTATACAGAAACCTTCTGAGAAACATCTTTGTGATGTGTGCATTCAGCTCACAGAGCTGGACCTAACTTTTGAGTGACCAGTTTTGAATCTCTCTTTTTGTACAATATGCAAGTGGATATTTGGAGCGATTTGAGGCCTACATTTGAAAATCAAATATCTTCCCTTAAAAACTACACAGAAACATTCTCAGAAATTGTTTGTCATGTGTGCTTTCCAATTACCAAGTTGAACCTATCTTGTGATTGAGCAGTTTTGAATCTCTCTTTTTGTGGAATCGGCAAGTGGATATTTTTAGCCCTTTGCGGACTGTGGTGGAAAAGGAATTATCTTCAAATCAATTCTACACAGAAGCATTCAGACAAACTTCTTTGTGATGAGTGCATTGGTCACACAGAATTGAACCTTCCCTTTGATTGAGCAATTCTGAAACACTCTTTTGGAGGGTCTGCAAGTGGACATTTTAGAGCTTTGGGACAACTGTGGAAAAGTAAATATCTTCACATAAAAACTACACGGGAAGCATTCTGAGAAACTTCTTTGGAGGTGTGCATTCAACTCACAGAGTTGAACCTATCTTTTCATTGAGCAGTTTTGAATCTCTCATTTTGTAGACTCTGCTCGCAGATATTTGGAGAGCTTTGAGGCCTATTGTGGAAAAGGAAATATCTTCACATAAAAACACACAGAAGCACTCTGAGAAACTTCTCTGTGAGGTGTGCTTTCAACTCACAGAGTTGAACCTATCTTTTGATTGAGAAGTTTTGAATCTCTCTTTTTGTAGAAGCTGCATGTGGATATTTGGAGACGTTTGTGGCCTATGGTAGAAAAGGAAATATCTTCAAATAAAAACTAGACAGACGCATTTTGAGAAAATTCTCTGTGCTGTGTGCATTCATATCACATGGTTGAAACTACCTTTGGATTGAGCAGTTTTGAATCTCACTTTTTGTACCATCTGCAATGGATATTTGGAGCCCTTTCTGGTCTGTGGTGGAAAAGGAACTATCCTCAAATAGAAACTACACAGAAGTACTCTGAGAAACTTCTTTGTGATGTGGGCATTCATCTCACAGAGTTGAACCTTTGGTTTGATTGAGCAGTTTTGAGACAATCTTTCCATAGAATCTGGAAGTGAATATTTGGAGAACTTTGAGATCCATTTTGGAGAAGGAGATATCTTTATATAAAAACTACACAGAAGCATTCTGAGAAACATCCTTGTGAGGTGTGCACTGAAGTCACAGAGTTGAAACTGTCTTTTGATTCAGCAGTTTTGAATCTCTCTTTTTGCAGAATCTGTGAGTGGATATTTGGAGCGCTTTGAGGCCTACTGTGGAAAACCAAATATCTTCACATAAAAACTACACAGAAGCATCCTGAGAAACTTTTTTTGTGATGTGGTCTTTCAGCTAATGGAGTAGAAACTATCTTTTGATTGAGCAGTTTTGAATCTCTCTTTTTGCAGGATCTACGAGTGGATAATTGGAGAACTTTGAGGCGTACTGTGGAAAATCGAATATCTTCGCATAAAAACTACACAGAAGCATTCTGAGAAACTTCTCTGTCATACGTACATTCGTCTCACAGGGTTGATCCTATTTCATGATTGAGCAGTTTTGGAACACTCTTTTTGTAGAATCTGCAAGTGAATATTTGGAGCTCTTTGGGGCCTACTGTGGAAAAACAAATATCTTCACATAAAAACTACACAGAAGCATTCTGAGAAACTACTTTGTGATGTGTGCATTCATCCCACAGAGTAGAACCTTTCTTTTGATTGAGCAGTTTCGAAACACTCTTTTGGTGGAATCTGCAAGTGGACATTTGGAAAGCTTTGAGGCCTATTGTGGAAAGGGAAATATCTTCAAATAAAAACCACCCAGAAGTACTCTGTGAAACTTCTTTGCGATGTATGCATTCAACTCACAGTGTTGAACCTATGTTTTGATTGAGCAGTTTGGAATCTCTCTTTCTGTAGAATCTGCAAGTGAATATTTGGAGCCCTATTTCGCCCTATACTGGAAAAGCAATTATCTTCAAATAAAAACTGCACAGAAGCATTCAGAGAAACTTCTTTGAGATGAATGCATTCATGACACAGAGTTGAAACTTTGTTTTGATTTAGGAGTTTTGAGACAATCTTTCCGTAGAATCTTGAAGTGAATATTTGGAGGGCTTGGAGTTCTGTTTTAGAGAAGAAGATATCTTCATCAAAAACTACACAGAAAGCTTTCTGAGAAACTTCTTTGTGATGTGTGCATTCAACTATTGGAGTTGAACCTATCTTATGATTGAGCAGTTTGGAAACACTCTTTGTAGAGTCTGCAAGTGGATATTTACAGAGATTTGAGGCCTATTGTGGAAAAGGAAGTATCTTCACATAAAAACCACACAGAAGCACTCTGAGAAACATCTTTGGGATGTGTGCATTCAACTAACCGTGTTGAAACAATGTTTTGATTGAGCAGCTTAGAATCTCTCCTTTTGTAGGAAATGCAAGTGGATATTTGGAGCCCCATTTCGCCCTATGGTGGAAAACGAAACATACTCACAAAAAAGCTGCAGAGAAGCATTCTGAGAAACTTCTTTGCGATGTTGGCATTCAACTCACAGAGTCGAATCTATCTTTTGATAGAGCAGTTTTGTATCTCTCTTTTTGCAGAATCTGCAAGTGGATATTTGGAAAGCTTTGAGGCCTATTGTGGAAAGGGAAATATCCTCAAATAAAAACTACCCAGAAGCACTCTGTGAAACTTCTTTGTGATGTGTGCATTCAACTCACAGTGTTGAACCTATGTTTTGATTGAGCAGTTTGGAATCTCTCCTTTTGTAGAATCTGCAAGTGAATATTTGGAGCCCTATTTCGCCCTATACTGGAAAAGCAAATATCTTCAAATAAAAACTACACAGAGGCATTCAGAGAAACTTCTCTGTGATGAGTGCATTCATCACACAGAGTTGAACATTTGTTTAGATTTAGCAGTGTTGAGACAATCTTTCCGTAGAATCTTGAAGTGAATATTTGGAGGGCTTTGAGACCTGCTTTGGAGAAGGAGATATCTTCATATAAAAACTACACAGAAGCTTTCTGAGAAACACCCTTGTGAGGTGTGCATTGAAGTCACAGAGTTAAACCTATCTTTTGATTCAGCAGATTTGAATCTCTCTTTTTGCAGAATCTGCGAGTGGATATTTGGAGTGCTTGGAAGCCTGCTGTGGAAAATCAAATATCTTCACAAAAAAAACTACACAGAAGCATTCTGAGAAACTTCTTTGTGATGTGTGCATTGATCTCACAGAGTTGAAAGTTTATTTTGATTGAGCTGTTTTGAAACACTCTTTTTCTAGAATCTGCAAGTGGATAATTGGGGAGATTTGAGGCATATTGTGGAAAAGCAAATATCTTCATATAGAAACTATACAGAAACCTTCTGAGAAACATCTTTGTGATGTGTGCATTCAGCTCACAGGGCTGGACCTAACTTTTGAGTGACCAGTTTTGAATCTCTCTTTTTGTACAATATGCAAGTGGATATTTGGAGCGATTTGAGGCCTACATTTGAAAATCAAATATCTTCCCTTAAAAACTACACAGAAACATTCTCAGAAATTGTTTGTCATGTGTGCTTTCCAATTACCAAGTTGAACCTATCTTGTGATTGAGCAGTTTTGAATCTCTCTTTTTGTGGAATCGGCAAGTGGATATTTTTAGCCCTTTGCGGACTGTGGTGGAAAAGGAATTATCTTCAAATCAATTCTACACAGAAGCATTCAGACAAACTTCTTTGTGATGAGTGCATTGGTCACACAGAATTGAACCTTCCCTTTGATTGAGCAATTCTGAAACACTCTTTTGGAGGGTCTGCAAGTGGACATTTTAGAGCTTTGGGACAACTGTGGAAAAGTAAATATCTTCACATAAAAACTACACGGAAGCATTCTGAGAAACTTCTTTGGAGGTGTGCATTCAACTCACAGAGTTGAACCTATCTTTTCATTGAGCAGTTTTGAATCTCTCATTTTGTAGACTCTGCTCACAGATATTTGGAGAGCTTTGAGGCCTATTGTGGAAAAGGAAATATCTTCACATAAAAACACACAGAAGCACTCTGAGAAACTTCTCTGTGAGGTGTGCTTTCAACTCACAGAGTTGAACCTATCTTTTGATTGAGAAGTTTTGAATCTCTCTTTTTGTAGAAGCTGCATGTGGATATTTGGAGACGTTTGTGGCCTATGGTAGAAAAGGAAATATCTTCAAATAAAAACTAGACAGACGCATTTTGAGAAAATTCTCTGTGCTGTGTGCATTCATATCACATGGTTGAAACTACCTTTGGATTGAGCAGTTTTGAATCTCACTTTTTGTACCATCTGCAATGGATATTTGGAGCCCTTTCTGGTCTGTGGTGGAAAAGGAACTATCCTCAAATAGAAACTACACAGAAGTACTCTGAGAAACTTCTTTGTGATGTGGGCATTCATCTCACAGAGTTGAACCTTTGGTTTGATTGAGCAGTTTTGAGACAATCTTTCCATAGAATCTGGAAGTGAATATTTGGAGAACTTTGAGATCCATTTTGGAGAAGGAGATATCTTTATATAAAAACTACACAGAAGCATTCTGAGAAACATCCTTGTGAGGTGTGCACTGAAGTCACAGAGTTGAAACTGTCTTTTGATTCAGCAGTTTTGAATCTCTCTTTTTGCAGAATCTGTGAGTGGATATTTGGAGCGCTTTGAGGCCTACTGTGGAAAACCAAATATCTTCACATAAAAACTACACAGAAGCATCCTGAGAAACTTTTTTTGTGATGTGGTCTTTCAGCTAATGGAGTAGAAACTATCTTTTGATTGAGCAGTTTTGAATCTCTCTTTTTGCAGGATCTACGAGTGGATAATTGGAGAACTTTGAGGCGTACTGTGGAAAGTCGAATATCTTCGCATAAAAACTACACAGAAGCATTCTGAGAAACTTCTCTGTCATACGTACATTCATCTCACAGGGTTGATCCTATTTCATGATGGAGCAGTTTTGGAACACTCTTTTTGTAGAATCTGCAAGTGAATATTTGGAGCTCTTTGGGGCCTACTGTGGAAAAACAAATATCTTCACATAAAAACTACACAGAAGCATTCTGAGAAACTACTTTGTGATGTGTGCATTCATCCCACAGAGTAGAACCTTTCTTTTGATTGAGCAGTTTCGAAACACTCTTTTGGTGGAATCTGCAAGTGGACATTTGGAAAGCTTTGAGGCCTATTGTGGAAAGGGAAATATCTTCAAATAAAAACCACCCAGAAGTACTCTGTGAAACTTCTTTGCGATGTATGCATTCAACTCACAGTGTTGAACCTATGTTTTGATTGAGCAGTTTGGAATCTCTCTTTCTGTAGAATCTGCAAGTGAATATTTGGAGCCCTATTTCGCCCTATACTGGAAAAGCAATTATCTTCAAATAAAAACTGCACAGAAGCACTCAGAGAAACTTCTTTGTGATGAATGCATTCATCACACAGAGTTGAACCTTTGTTTTGATTTAGCAGTTTGAGACAATCTTTCCGTAGAATCTTGAAGTGAATATTTGGAGGGCTTGGAGTTCTGTTTTAGAGAAGAAGATATCTTCATCAAAAACTACAAAGAAGCTTTCTGAGAAACTTCTTTGTGATGTGTGCATTCAACTATCGGAGTTGAACCTATCTTATGATTGAGCAGTTTGGAAACACTCTTTGTAGAGTCTGCAAGTGGATATTTACAGAGATTTGAGGCCTATTGTGGAAAAGGAAGTATCTTCACATAAAAACCACACAGAAGCACTCTGAAAAACATCTTTGGGATGTGTGCATTCAACTAACCGTGTTGAAACAATGTTTTGATTGAGCAGCTTAGAATCTCTCTTTTTGTAGGAAATGCAAGTGGATATTTGGAGCCCCATTTCGCCCTATGGTGGAAAACGAAACATACTCACAAAAAAGCTGCAGAGAAGCATTCTGAGAAACTTCTTTGCGATGTTGGCATTCAACTCACAGAGTCGAATCTATCTTTTGATAGAGCAGTTTTGTATCTCTCTTTTTGCAGAATCTGCAAGTGGATATTTGGAAAGCTTTGAGGCCTATTGTGGAAAGGGAAATATCCTCAAATAAAAACTACCCAGAAGCACTCTGTGAAACTTCTTTGTGATGTGTGCATTCAACTCACAGTGTTGAACCTATGTTTTGATTGAGCAGTTTGGAATCTCTCCTTTTGTAGAATCTGCAAGTGAATATTTGGAGCCCTATTTCGCCCTATACTGGAAAAGCAAATATCTTCAAATAAAAACTACACAGAGGCATTCAGAGAAACTTCTCTGTGATGAGTGCATTCATCACACAGAGTTGAACATTTGTTTAGATTTAGCAGTGTTGAGACAATCTTTCCGTAGAATCTTGAAGTGAATATTTGGAGGGCTTTGAGACCTGCTTTGGAGAAGGAGATATCTTCATATAAAAACTACACAGAAGCTTTCTGAGAAACACACTTGTGAGGTGTGCATTGAAGTCACAGAGTTAAACCTATCTTTTGATTCAGCAGATTTGAATCTCTCTTTTTGCAGAATCTGCGAGTGGATATTTGGAGTGCTTGGAAGCCTGCTGTGGAAAATCAAATATCTTCACAAAAAAAACTACACAGAAGCATTCTGAGAAACTTCTTTGTGATGTGTGCATTGATCTCACAGAGTTGAAAGTTTATTTTGATTGAGCTGTTTTGAAACACTCTTTTTCTAGAATCTGCAAGTGGATAATTGGGGAGATTTGAGGCATATTGTGGAAAAGCAAATATCTTCATATAAAAACTATGCAGAAACCTTCTGAGAAACATCTTTGTGATGTGTGCATTCAGCTCACAGAGCTGGACCTAACTTTTGAGTGACCAGTTTTGAATCTCTCTTTTTGTACAATATGCAAGTGGATATTTGGAGCGATTTGAGGCCTACATTTGAAAATCAAATATCTTCCCTTAAAAACTACACAGAAACATTCTCAGAAATTGTTTGTCATGTGTGCTTTCCAATTACCAAGTTGAACCTATCTTGTGATTGAGCAGTTTTGAATCTCTCTTTTTGTGGAATCGGCAAGTAGATATTTTTAGCCCTTTGCGGACTGTGGTGGAAAAGGAATTATCTTCAAATCAATTCTACACAGAAGCATTCAGACAAACTTCTTTGTGATGAGTGCATTGGTCACAAAGAATTGAACCTTCCCTTTGATTGAGCAATTCTGAAACACTCTTTTGGAGGGTCTGCAAGTGGACATTTTAGAGCTTTGGGACAACTGTGGAAAAGTAAATACCTTCACATAAAAACTGCACGGGAAGCATTCTGAGAAACTTCTTTGGAGGTGTGCATTCAACTCACAGAGTTGAACCTATCTTTTCATTGAGCAGTTTTGAATCTCTCATTTTGTAGACTCTGCTCGCAGATATTTGGAGAGCTTTGAGGCCTATTGTGGAAAAGGAAATATCTTCACATAAAAACACACAGAAGCACTCTGAGAAACTGCTTTGTGAGGTGTGCTTTCAACTCACAGAGTTGAACCTATCTTTTGATTGAGAAGTTTTGAATCTCTCTTTTTGTAGAAGCTGCATGTGGATATTTGGAGACGTTTGTGGCCTATGGTAGAAAAGGAAATATCTTCAAATAAAAAGTAGACAGACGCATTTTGAGAAAATTCTCTGTGCTGTGTGCATTCATATCACATGGTTGAAACTACCTTTGGATTGAGCAGTTTTGAATCTCACTTTTTGTACCATCTGCAATGGATATTTGGAGCCCTTTCTGGTCTGTGGTGGAAAAGGAACTATCCTCAAATAGAAACTACACAGAAAAGTACTCTGAGAAACTTCTTTGTGATGTGGGCATTCATCTCACAGGAGTTGAACCTTTGGTTTGATTGAGCAGTTTTGAGACAATCTTTCCATAGAATCTGGAAGTGAATATTTGGAGAACTTTGAGATCCATTTTGGGGAAGGAGATATCTTTATATAAAAACTACACAGAAGCATTCTGAGAAACATCCTTGTGAGGTGTGCACTGAAGTCACAGAGTTGAAACTGTCTTTTGATTCAGCAGTTTTGAATCTCTCTTTTTGCAGAATCTGTGAGTGGATATTTGGAGCGCTTTGAGGCCTACTGTGGAAAACCAAATATCTTCACATAAAAACTACACAGAAGCATCCTGAGAAACTTTTTTTGTGATGTGGTCTTTCAGCTAATGGAGTAGAAACTATCTTTTGATTGAGCAGTTTTGAATCTCTCTTTTTGCAGAATCTACGAGTGGATAATTGGAGAACTTTGAGGCGTACTGTGGAAAATCGAATATCTTCGCATAAAAACTACACAGAAGCATTCTGAGAAACTTCTCTGTCATACGTACATTCATCTCACAGGGTTGATCCTATTTCATGATTGAGCAGTTTTGGAACACTCTTTTTGTAGAATCTGCAAGTGAATATTTGGAGCTCTTTGGGGCCTACTGTGGAAAAACAAATATCTTCACATAAAAACTACACAGAAGCATTCTGAGAAACTACTTTGTGATGTGTGCATTCATCCCACAGAGTAGAACCTTTCTTTTGATTGAGCAGTTTCGAAACACGCTTTTGGTGGAATCTGCAAGTGGACATTTGGAAAGCTTTGAGGCCTATTGTGGAAAGGGAAATATCTTCAAATAAAAACCACCCAGAAGTACTCTGTGAAACTTCTTTGCGATGTATGCATTCAACTCACAGTGTTGAACCTATGTTTTGATTGAGCAGTTTGGAATCTCTCTTTCTGTAGAATCTGCAAGTGAATATTTGGAGCCCTATTTCGCCCTATACTGGAAAAGCAATTATCTGCAAATAAAAACTGCACAGAAGCATTCAGAGAAACTTCTTTGAGATGAATGCATTCATGACACAGAGTTGAAACTTTGTTTTGATTTAGGAGTTTTGAGACAATCTTTCCGTAGAATCTTGAAGTGAATATTTGGAGGGCTTGGAGTTCTGTTTTAGAGAAGGAGATATCTTCATCAAAAACTACACAGAAGCTTTCTGAGAAACTTCTTTGTGATGTGTGCATTCAACTATTGGAGTTGAACCTATCTTATGATTGAGCAGTTTGGAAACACTCTTTGTAGAGTCTGCAAGTGGATATTTACAGAGATTTGAGGCCTATTGTGGAAAAGGAAGTATCTTCACATAAAAACCACACAGAAGCACTCTGAAAAACATCTTTGGGATGTGTGCATTCAACTAACCGTGTTGAAACAATGTTTTGATTGAGCAGCTTAGAATCTCTCTTTTTGTAGGAAATGCAAGTGGATATTTGGAGCCCCATTTCGCCCTATGGTGGAAAACGAAACATACTCACAAAAAAGCTGCAGAGAAGCATTCTGAGAAACTTCTTTGCGATGTTGGCATTCAACTCACAGAGTCGAATCTATCTTTTGATAGAGCAGTTTTGTATCTCTCTTTTTGCAGAATCTGCAAGTGGATATTTGGAAAGCTTTGAGGCCTATTGTGGAAAGGGAAATATCCTCAAATAAAAACTACCCAGAAAGCACTCTGTGAAACTTCTTTGTGATGTGTGCATTCAACTCACAGTGTTGAACCTATGTTTTGATTGAGCAGTTTGGAATCTCTCCTTTTGTAGAATCTGCAAGTGAATATTTGGAGCCCTATTTCGCCCTATACTGGAAAAGCAAATATCTTCAAATAAAAACTACACAGAGGCATTCAGAGAAACTTCTCTGTGATGAGTGCATTCATCACACAGAGTTGAACATTTGTTTAGATTTAGCAGTGTTGAGACAATCTTTCCGTAGAATCTTGAAGTGAATATTTGGAGGGCTTTGAGACCTGCTTTGGAGAAGGAGATATCTTCATATAAAAACTACACAGAAGCTTTCTGAGAAACACCCTTGTGAGGTGTGCATTGAAGTCACAGAGTTAAACCTATCTTTTGATTCAGCAGATTTGAATCTCTCTTTTTGCAGAATCTGCGAGTGGATATTTGGAGTGCTTGGAAGCCTGCTGTGGAAAATCAAATATCTTCACAAAAAAAACTACACAGAAGCATTCTGAGAAACTTCTTTGTGATGTGTGCATTGATCTCACAGAGTTGAAAGTTTATTTTGATTGAGCTGTTTTGAAACACTCTTTTTCTAGAATCTGCAAGTGGATAATTGGGGGAGATTTGAGGCATATTGTGGAAAAGCAAATATCTTCATATAGAAACTATACAGAAACATTCTGAGAAACATCTTTGTGATGTGTGCATTCAGCTCACAGAGCTGGACCTAACTTTTGAGTGACCAGTTTTGAATCTCTCTTTTTGTACAATATGCAAGTGGATATTTGGAGCGATTTGAGGCCTACATTTGAAAATCAAATATCTTCCCTTAAAAACTACACAGAAACATTCTCAGAAATTGTTTGTCATGTGTGCTTTCCAATTACCAAGTTGAACCTATCTTGTGATTGAGCAGTTTTGAATCTCTCTTTTTGTGGAATCGGCAAGTGGATATTTTTAGCCCTTTGCGGACTGTGGTGGAAAAGGAATTATCTTCAAATCAATTCTACACAGAAGCATTCAGACAAACTTCTTTGTGATGAGTGCATTGGTCACACAGAATTGAACCTTCCCTTTGATTGAGCAATTCTGAAACACTCTTTTGGAGGGTCTGCAAGTGGACATTTTAGAGCTTTGGGACAACTGTGGAAAAGTAAATATCTTCACATAAAAACTACACGGAAGCATTCTGAGAAACTTCTTTGGAGGTGTGCATTCAACACACAGAGTTGAACCTATCTTTTCATTGAGCAGTTTTGAATCTCTCATTTTGTAGACTCTGCTCGCAGATATTTGGAGAGCTTTGAGGCCTATTGTGGAAAAGGAAATATCTTCACATAAAAACACACAGAAGCACTCTGAGAAACTTCTTTGTGAGGTGTGCTTTCAACTCACAGAGTTGAACCTATCTTTTGATTGAGAAGTTTTGAATCTCTCTTTTTGTAGAAGCTGCATGTGGATATTTGGAGACGTTTGTGGCCTATGGTAGAAAAGGAAATATCTTCAAATAAAAACTAGACAGACGCATTTTGAGAAAATTCTCTGTGCTGTGTGCATTCATATCACATGGTTGAAACTACCTTTGGATTGAGCAGTTTTGAATCTCACTTTTTGTACCATCTGCAATGGATATTTGGAGCCCTTTCTGGTCTGTGGTGGAAAAGGAACTATCCTCAAATAGAAACTACACAGAAGTACTCTGAGAAACTTCTTTGTGATGTGGGCATTCATCTCACAGAGTTGAACCTTTGGTTTGATTGAGCAGTTTTGAGACAATCTTTCCATAGAATCTGGAAGTGAATATTTGGAGAACTTTGAGATCCATTTTGGAGAAGGAGATATCTTTATATGAAAACTACACAGAAGCATTCTGAGAAACATCCTTGTGAGGTGTGCACTGAAGTCACAGAGTTGAAACTGTCTTTTGATTCAGCAGTTTTGAATCTCTCTTTTTGCAGAGTCTGTGAGTGGATATTTGGAGCGCTTTGAGGCCTACTGTGGAAAACCAAATATCTTCACATAAAAACTACACAGAAGCATCCTGAGAAACTTTTTTTGTGATGTGGTCTTTCAGCTAATGGAGTAGAAACTATCTTTTGATTGAGCAGTTTTGAATCTCTCTTTTTGCAGAATCTACGAGTGGATAATTGGAGAACTTTGAGGCGTACTGTGGAAAATCGAATATCTTCGCATAAAAACTACACAGAAGCATTCTGAGAAACTTCTCTGTCATACGTACATTCATCTCACAGGGTTGATCCTATTTCATGATTGAGCAGTTTTGGAACACTCTTTTTGTAGAATCTGCAAGTGAATATTTGGAGCTCTTTGGGGCCTACTGTGGAAAAACAAATATCTTCACATAAAAACTACACAGAAGCATTCTGAGAAACTACTTTGTGATGTGTGCATTCATCCCACAGAGTAGAACCTTTCTTTTGATTGAGCAGTTTCGAAACACGCTTTTGGTGGAATCTGCAAGTGGACATTTGGAAAGCTTTGAGGCCTATTGTGGAAAGGGAAATATCTTCAAATAAAAACCACCCAGAAGTACTCTGTGAAACTTCTTTGCGATGTATGCATTCAACTCACAGTGTTGAACCTATGTTTTGATTGAGCAGTTTGGAATCTCTCTTTCTGTAGAATCTGCAAGTGAATATTTGGAGCCCTATTTCGCCCTATACTGGAAAAGCAATTATCTTCAAATAAAAACTGCACAGAAGCATTCAGAGAAACTTCTTTGAGATGAATGCATTCATGACACAGAGTTGAAACTTTGTTTTGATTTAGGAGTTTTGAGACAATCTTTCCGTAGAATCTTGAAGTGAATATTTGGAGGGCTTGGAGTTCTGTTTTAGAGAAGAAGATATCTTCATCAAAAACTACACAGAAGCTTTCTGAGAAACTTCTTTGTGATGTGTGCATTCAACTATCGGAGTTGAACCTATCTTATGATTGAGCAGTTTGGAAACACTCTTTGTAGAGTCTGCAAGTGGATATTTACAGAGATTTGAGGCCTATTGTGGAAAAGGAAGTATCTTCACATAAAAACCACACAGAAGCACTCTGAAAAACACCTTTGGGATGTGTGCATTCAACTAACCGTGTTGAAACAATGTTTTGATTGAGCAGCTTAGAATCTCTCTTTTTGTAGGAAATGCAAGTGGATATTTGGAGCCCCATTTCGCCCTATGGTGGAAAACGAAACATACTCACAAAAAAGCTGCAGAGAAGCATTCTGAGAAACTTCTTTGCGATGTTGGCATTCAACTCACAGAGTCGAATCTATCTTTTGATAGAGCAGTTTTGTATCTCTCTTTTTGCAGAATCTGCAAGTGGATATTTGGAAAGCTTTGAGGCCTATTGTGGAAAGGGAAATATCCTCAAATAAAAACTACCCAGAAGCACTCTGTGAAACTTCTTTGTGATGTGTGCATTCAACTCACAGTGTTGAACCTATGTTTTGATTGAGCAGTTTGGAATCTCTCCTTTTGTAGAATCTGCAAGTGAATATTTGGAGCCCTATTTCGCCCTATACTGGAAAAGCAAATATCTTCAAATAAAAACTACACAGAGGCATTCAGAGAAACTTCTCTGTGATGAGTGCATTCATCACACAGAGTTGAACATTTGTTTAGATTTAGCAGTGTTGAGACAATCTTTCCGTAGAATCTTGAAGTGAATATTTGGAGGGCTTTGAGACCTGCTTTGGAGAAGGAGATATCTTCATATAAAAACTACACAGAAGCTTTCTGAGAAACACCCTTGTGAGGTGTGCATTGAAGTCACAGAGTTAAACCTATCTTTTGATTCAGCAGATTTGAATCTCTCTTTTTGCAGAATCTGCGAGTGGATATTTGGAGTGCTTGGAAGCCTGCTGTGGAAAATCAAATATCTTCACAAAAAAAACTACACAGAAGCATTCTGAGAAACTTCTTTGTGATGTGTGCATTGATCTCACAGAGTTGAAAGTTTATTTTGATTGAGCTGTTTTGAAACACTCTTTTTCTAGAATCTGCAAGTGGATAATTGGGGAGATTTGAGGCATATTGTGGAAAAGCCAATATCTTCATATAGAAACTATACAGAAACCTTCTGAGAAACATCTTTGTGATGTGTGCATTCAGCTCACAGAGCTGGACCTAACTTTTGAGTGACCAGTTTTGAATCTCTCTTTTTGTACAATATGCAAGTGGATATTTGGAGCGATTTGAGGCCTACATTTGAAAATCAAATATCTTCCCTTAAAAACTACACAGAAACATTCTCAGAAATTGTTTGTCATGTGTGCTTTCCAATTACCAAGTTGAACCTATCTTGTGATTGAGCAGTTTTGAATCTCTCTTTTTGTGGAATCGGCAAGTGGATATTTTTAGCCCTTTGCGGACTGTGGTGGAAAAGGAATTATCTTCAAATCAATTCTACACAGAAGCATTCAGACAAACTTCTTTGTGATGAGTGCATTGGTCACACAGAATTGAACCTTCCCTTTGATTGAGCAATTCTGAAACACTCTTTTGGAGGGTCTGCAAGTGGACATTTTAGAGCTTTGGGACAACTGTGGAAAAGTAAATATCTTCACATAAAAACTGCACGGAAGCATTCTGAGAAACTTCTTTGGAGGTGTGCATTCAACTCACAGAGTTGAACCTATCTTTTCATTGAGCAGTTTTGAATCTCTCATTTTGTAGACTCTGCTCGCAGATATTTGGAGAGCTTTGAGGCCTATTGTGGAAAAGGAAATATCTTCACATAAAAACACACAGAAGCACTCTGAGAAACTTCTTTGTGAGGTGTGCTTTCAACTCACAGAGTTGAACCTATCTTTTGATTGAGAAGTTTTGAATGTCTCTTTTTGTAGAAGCTGCATGTGGATATTTGGAGACGTTTGTGGCCTATGGTAGAAAAGGAAATATCTTCAAATAAAAACTAGACAGACGCATTTTGAGAAAATTCTCTGTGCTGTGTGCATTCATATCACATGGTTGAAACTACCTTTGGATTGAGCAGTTTTGAATCTCACTTTTTGTACCATCTGCAATGGATATATGGAGCCCTTTCTGGTCTGTGGTGGAAAAGGAACTATCCTCAAATAGAAACTACACAGAAGTACTCTGAGAAACTTCTTTGTGATGTGGGCATTCATCTCACAGAGTTGAACCTTTGGTTTGATTGAGCAGTTTTGAGACAATCTTTCCATAGAATCTGGAAGTGAATATTTGGAGAACTTTGAGATCCATTTTGGAGAAGGAGATATCTTTATATGAAAACTACACAGAAGCATTCTGAGAAACATCCTTGTGAGGTGTGCACTGAAGTCACAGAGTTGAAACTGTCTTTTGATTCAGCAGTTTTGAATCTCTCTTTTTGCAGAATCTGTGAGTGGATATTTGGAGCGCTTTGAGGCCTACTGTGGAAAACCAAATATCTTCACATAAAAACTACACAGAAGCATCCTGAGAAACTTTTTTTGTGATGTGGTCTTTCAGCTAATGGAGTAGAAACTATCTTTTGATTGAGCAGTTTTGAATCTCTCTTTTTGCAGAATCTACGAGTGGATAATTGGAGAACTTTGAGGCGTACTGTGGAAAATCGAATATCTTCGCATAAAAACTACACAGAAGCATTCTGAGAAACTTCTCTGTCATACGTACATTCATCTCACAGGGTTGATCCTATTTCATGATTGAGCAGTTTTGGAACACTCTTTTTGTAGAATCTGCAAGTGAATATTTGGAGCTCTTTGGGGCCTACTGTGGAAAAACAAATATCTTCACATAAAAACTACACAGAAGCATTCTGAGAAACTACTTTGTGATGTGTGCATTCATCCCACAGAGTAGAACCTTTCTTTTGATTGAGCAGTTTCGAAACACGCTTTTGGTGGAATCTGCAAGTGGACATTTGGAAAGCTTTGAGGCCTATTGTGGAAAGGGAAATATCTTCAAATAAAAACCACCCAGAAGTACTCTGTGAAACTTCTTTGCGATGTATGCATTCAACTCACAGTGTTGAACCTATGTTTTGATTGAGCAGTTTGGAATCTCTCTTTCTGTAGAATCTGCAAGTGAATATTTGGAGCCCTATTTCGCCCTATACTGGAAAAGCAATTATCTTCAAATAAAAACTGCACAGAAGCATTCAGAGAAAGTTCTTTGAGATGAATGCATTCATGACACAGAGTTGAAACTTTGTTTTGATTTAGGAGTTTTGAGACAATCTTTCCGTAGAATCTTGAAGTGAATATTTGGAGGGCTTGGAGTTCTGTTTTAGAGAAGGAGATATCTTCATCAAAAACTACACAGAAGCTTTCCGAGCAAACTTCTTTGTGATGTGTGCATTCAACTATCGGAGTTGAACCTATCTTATGATTGAGGAGTTTGGAAACACTCTTTGTAGAGTCTGCAAGTGGATATTTACAGAGATTTGAGGCCTATTGTGGAAAAGGAAGTATCTTCACATAAAAACCACACAGAAGCACTCTGAAAAACATCTTTGGGATGTGTGCATTCAACTAACCGTGTTGAAACAATGTTTTGATTGAGCAGCTTAGAATCTCTCTTTTTGTAGGAAATGCAAGTGGATATTTGGAGCCCCATTTCGCCCTATGGTGGAAAACGAAACATACTCACAAAAAAGCTGCAGAGAAGCATTCTGAGAAACTTCTTTGCGATGTTGGCATTCAACTCACAGAGTCGAATCTATCTTTTGATAGAGCAGTTTTGTATCTCTCTTTTTGCAGAATCTGCAAGTGGATATTTGGAAAGCTTTGAGGCCTATTGTGGAAAGGGAAATATCCTCAAATAAAAACTACCCAGAAGCACTCTGTGAAACTTCTTTGTGATGTGTGCATTCAACTCACAGTGTTGAACCTATGTTTTGATTGAGCAGTTTGGAATCTCTCCTTTTGTAGAATCTGCAAGTGAATATTTGGAGCCCTATTTCGCCCTATACTGGAAAAGCAAATATCTTCAAATAAAAACTACACAGAGGCATTCAGAGAAACTTCTCTGTGATGAGTGCATTCATCACACAGAGTTGAACATTTGTTTAGATTTAGCAGTGTTGAGACAATCTTTCCGTAGAATCTTGAAGTGAATATTTGGAGGGCTTTGAGACCTGCTTTGGAGAAGGAGATATCTTCATATAAAAACTACACAGAAGCTTTCTGAGAAACACCCTTGTGAGGTGTGCATTGAAGTCACAGAGTTAAACCTATCTTTTGATTCAGCAGATTTGAATCTCTCTTTTTGCAGAATCTGCGAGTGGATATTTGGAGTGCTTGGAAGCCTGCTGTGGAAAATCAAATATCTTCACAAAAAAAACTACACAGAAGCATTCTGAGAAACTTCTTTGTGATGTGTGCATTGATCTCACAGAGTTGAAAGTTTATTTTGATTGAGCTGTTTTGAAACACTCTTTTTCTAGAATCTGCAAGTGGATAATTGGGGAGATTTGAGGCATATTGTGGAAAAGCAAATATCTTCATATAAAAACTATACAGAAACCTTCTGAGAAACATCTTTGTGATGTGTGCATTCAGCTCACAGAGCTGGACCTAACTTTTGAGTGACCAGTTTTGAATCTCTCTTTTTGTACAATATGCAAGTGGATATTTGGAGCGATTTGAGGCCTACATTTGAAAATCAAATATCTTCCCTTAAAAACTACACAGAAACATTCTCAGAAATTGTTTGTCATGTGTGCTTTCCAATTACCAAGTTGAACCTATCTTGTGATTGAGCAGTTTTGAATCTCTCTTTTTGTGGAATCGGCAAGTGGATATTTTTAGCCCTTTGCGGACTGTGGTGGAAAAGGAATTATCTTCAAATCAATTCTACACAGAAGCATTCAGACAAACTTCTTTGTGATGAGTGCATTGGTCACACAGAATTGAACCTTCCCTTTGATTGAGCAATTCTGAAACACTCTTTTGGAGGGTCTGCAAGTGGATATTTTAGAGCTTTGGGACAACTGTGGAAAAGTAAATATCTTCACATAAAAACTACACGGAAGCATTCTGAGAAACTTCTTTGGAGGTGTGCATTCAACTCACAGAGTTGAACCTATCTTTTCATTGAGCAGTTTTGAATCTCTCATTTTGTAGACTCTGCTCGCAGATATTTGGAGAGCTTTGAGGCCTATTGTGGAAAAGGAAATATCTTCACATAAAAACACACAGAAGCACTCTGAGAAACTTCTTTGTGAGGTGTGCTTTCAACTCACAGAGTTGAACCTATCTTTTGATTGAGAAGTTTTGAATCTCTCTTTTTGTAGAAGCTGCATGTGGATATTTGGAGACGTTTGTGGCCTATGGTAGAAAAGGAAATATCTTCAAATAAAAACTAGACAGACGCATTTTGAGAAAATTCTCTGTGCTGTGTGCATTCATATCACATGGTTGAAACTACCTTTGGATTGAGCAGTTTTGAATCTCACTTTTTGTACCATCTGCAATGGATATTTGGAGCCCTTTCT
Source organism: Homo sapiens (assembly GCF_000001405.40). Taxonomy (NCBI): domain Eukaryota; kingdom Metazoa; phylum Chordata; class Mammalia; order Primates; family Hominidae; genus Homo; species Homo sapiens. The sequence goes on from NC_000015.10 coordinate 17,925,033, forward strand.
GGTCTGTGGTGGAAAAGGAACTATCCTCAAATAGAAACTACACAGAAGTACTCTGAGAAACTTCTTTGTGATGTGGGCATTCATCTCACAGAGTTGAACCTTTGGTTTGATTGAGCAGTTTTGAGACAATCTTTCCATAGAATCTGGAAGTGAATATTTGGAGAACTTTGAGATCCATTTTGGAGAAGGAGATATCTTTATATAAAAACTACACAGAAGCATTCTGAGAAACATCCTTGTGAGGTGTGCACTGAAGTCACAGAGTTGAAACTGTCTTTTGATTCAGCAGTTTTGAATCTCTCTTTTTGCAGAATCTGTGAGTGGATATTTGGAGCGCTTTGAGGCCTACTGTGGAAAACCAAATATCTTCACATAAAAACTACACAGAAGCATCCTGAGAAACTTTTTTTGTGATGTGGTCTTTCAGCTAATGGAGTAGAAACTATCTTTTGATTGAGCAGTTTTGAATCTCTCTTTTTGCAGGATCTACGAGTGGATAATTGGAGAACTTTGAGGCGTACTGTGGAAAGTCGAATATCTTCGCATAAAAACTACACAGAAGCATTCTGAGAAACTTCTCTGTCATACGTACATTCATCTCACAGGGTTGATCCTATTTCATGATTGCGCAGTTTTGGAATACTCTTTTTGTAGAATCTGCAAGTGAATATTTGGAGCTCTTTGGGGCCTACTGTGGAAAAACAAATATCTTCACATAAAAACTACACAGAAGCATTCTGAGAAACTACTTTGTGATGTGTGCATTCATCCCACAGAGTAGAACCTTTCTTTTGATTGAGCAGTTTCGAAACACTCTTTTGGTGGAATCTGCAAGTGGACATTTGGAAAGCTTTGAGGCCTATTGTGGAAAGGGAAATATCTTCAAATAAAAACCACCCAGAAGTACTCTGTGAAACTTCTTTGCGATGTATGCATTCAACTCACAGTGTTGAACCTATGTTTTGATTGAGCAGTTTGGAATCTCTCTTTCTGTAGAATCTGCAAGTGAATATTTGGAGCCCTATTTCGCCCTATACTGGAAAAGCAATTATCTTCAAATAAAAACTGCACAGAAGCACTCAGAGAAACTTCTTTGTGATGAATGCATTCATCACACAGAGTTGAACCTTTGTTTTGATTTAGCAGTTTGAGACAATCTTTCCGTAGAATCTTGAAGTGAATATTTGGAGGGCTTGGAGTTCTGTTTTAGAGAAGAAGATATCTTCATCAAAAACTACACAGAAGCTTTCCGAGAAACTTCTTTGTGATGTGTGCATTCAACTATCGGAGTTGAACCTATCTTATGATTGAGCAGTTTGGAAACACTCTTTGTAGAGTCTGCAAGTGGATATTTACAGAGATTTGAGGCCTATTGTGGAAAAGGAAGTATCTTCACATAAAAACCACACAGAAGCACTCTGAAAAACATCTTTGGGATGTGTGCATTCAACTAACCGTGTTGAAACAATGTTTTGATTGAGCAGCTTAGAATCTCTCTTTTTGTAGGAAATGCAAGTGGATATTTGGAGCCCCATTTCGCCCTATGGTGGAAAACGAAACATACTCACAAAAAAGCTGCAGAGAAGCATTCTGAGAAACTTCTTTGCGATGTTGGCATTCAACTCACAGAGTCGAATCTATCTTTTGATAGAGCAGTTTTGTATCTCTCTTTTTGCAGAATCTGCAAGTGGATATTTGGAAAGCTTTGAGGCCTATTGTGGAAAGGGAAATATCCTCAAATAAAAACTACCCAGAAGCACTCTGTGAAACTTCTTTGTGATGTGTGCATTCAACTCACAGTGTTGAACCTATGTTTTGATTGAGCAGTTTGGAATCTCTCCTTTTGTAGAATCTGCAAGTGAATATTTGGAGCCCTATTTCGCCCTATACTGGAAAAGCAAATATCTTCAAATAAAAACTACACAGAGGCATTCAGAGAAACTTCTCTGTGATGAGTGCATTCATCACACAGAGTTGAACATTTGTTTAGATTTAGCAGTGTTGAGACAATCTTTCCGTAGAATCTTGAAGTGAATATTTGGAGGGCTTTGAGACCTGCTTTGGAGAAGGAGATATCTTCATATAAAAACTACACAGAAGCTTTCTGAGAAACACCCTTGTGAGGTGTGCATTGAAGTCACAGAGTTAAACCTATCTTTTGATTCAGCAGATTTGAATCTCTCTTTTTGCAGAATCTGCGAGTGGATATTTGGAGTGCTTGGAAGCCTGCTGTGGAAAATCAAATATCTTCACAAAAAAAACTACACAGAAGCATTCTGAGAAACTCCTTTGTGATGTGTGCATTGATCTCACAGAGTTGAAAGTTTATTTTGATTGAGCTGTTTTGAAACACTCTTTTTCTAGAATCTGCAAGTGGATAATTGGGGAGATTTGAGGCATATTGTGGAAAAGCAAATATCTTCATATAAAAACTATACAGAAACCTTCTGAGAAACATCTTTGTGATGTGTGCATTCAGCTCACAGAGCTGGACCTAACTTTTGAGTGACCAGTTTTGAATCTCTCTTTTTGTACAATATGCAAGTGGATATTTGGAGCGATTTGAGGCCTACATTTGAAAATCAAATATCTTCCCTTAAAAACTACACAGAAACATTCTCAGAAATTGTTTGTCATGTGTGCTTTCCAATTACCAAGTTGAACCTATCTTGTGATTGAGCAGTTTTGAATCTCTCTTTTTGTGGAATCGGCAAGTGGATATTTTTAGCCCTTTGCGGACTGTGGTGGAAAAGGAATTATCTTCAAATCAATTCTACACAGAAGCATTCAGACAAACTTCTTTGTGATGAGTGCATTGGTCACACAGAATTGAACCTTCCCTTTGATTGAGCAATTCTGAAACACTCTTTTGGAGGGTCTGCAAGTGGATATTTTAGAGCTTTGGGACAACTGTGGAAAAGTAAATATCTTCACATAAAAACTACACGGAAGCATTCTGAGAAACTTCTTTGGAGGTGTGCATTCAACTCACAGAGTTGAACCTATCTTTTCATTGAGCAGTTTTGAATCTCTCATTTTGTAGACTCTGCTCGCAGATATTTGGAGAGCTTTGAGGCCTATTGTGGAAAAGGAAATATCTTCACATAAAAACACACAGAAGCACTCTGAGAAACTTCTTTGTGAGGTGTGCTTTCAACTCACAGAGTTGAACCTATCTTTTGATTGAGAAGTTTTGAATCTCTCTTTTTGTAGAAGCTGCATGTGGATATTTGGAGACGTTTGTGGCCTATGGTAGAAAAGGAAATATCTTCAAATAAAAACTAGACAGACGCATTTTGAGAAAATTCTCTGTGCTGTGTGCATTCATATCACATGGTTGAAACTACCTTTGGATTGAGCAGTTTTGAATCTCACTTTTTGTACCATCTGCAATGGATATTTGGAGCCCTTTCTGGTCTGTGGTGGAAAAGGAACTATCCTCAAATAGAAACTACACAGAAGTACTCTGAGAAACTTCTTTGTGATGTGGGCATTCATCTCACAGAGTTGAACCTTTGGTTTGATTGAGCAGTTTTGAGACAATCTTTCCATAGAATCTGGAAGTGAATATTTGGAGAACTTTGAGATCCATTTTGGGGAAGGAGATATCTTTATATAAAAACTACACAGAAAGCATTCTGAGAAACATCCTTGTGAGGTGTGCACTGAAGTCACAGTGTTGAAACTGTCTTTTGATTCAGCAGTTTTGAATCTCTCTTTTTGCAGAATCTGTGAGTGGATATTTGGAGCGCTTTGAGGCCTACTGTGGAAAACCAAATATCTTCACATAAAAACTACACAGAAGCATCCTGAGAAACTTTTTTTGTGATGTGGTCTTTCAGCTAATGGAGTAGAAACTATCTTTTGATTGAGCAGTTTTGAGTCTCTCTTTTTGCAGGATCTACGAGTGGATAATTGGAGAACTTTGAGGCGTACTGTGGAAAATCGAATATCTTCGCATAAAAACTACACAGAAGCATTCTGAGAAACTTCTCTGTCATACGTACATTCATCTCACAGGGTTGATCCTATTTCATGATTGAGCAGTTTTGGAACACTCTTTTTGTAGAATCTGCAAGTGAATATTTGGAGCTCTTTGGGGCCTACTGTGGAAAAACAAATATCTTCACATAAAAACTACACAGAAGCATTCTGGGAAACTACTTTGTGATGTGTGCATTCATCCCACAGAGTAGAACCTTTCTTTTGATTGAGCAGTTTCGAAACACTCTTTTGGTGGAATCTGCAAGTGGACATTTGGAAAGCTTTGAGGCCTATTGTGGAAAGGGAAATATCTTCAAATAAAAACCACCCAGAAGTACTCTGTGAAACTTCTTTGCGATGTATGCATTCAACTCACAGTGTTGAACCTATGTTTTGATTGAGCAGTTTGGAATCTCTCTTTCTGTAGAATCTGCAAGTGAATATTTGGAGCCCTATTTCGCTCTATACTGGAAAAGCAATTATCTTCAAATAAAAACTGCACAGAAGCATTCAGAGAAACTTCTTTGAGATGAATGCATTCATGACACAGAGTTGAAACTTTGTTTTGATTTAGGAGTTTTGAGACAATCTTTCCGTAGAATCTTGAAGTGAATATTTGGAGGGCTTGGAGTTCTGTTTTAGAGAAGAAGATATCTTCATCAAAAACTACACAGAAGCTTTCTGAGAAACTTCTTTGTGATGTGTGCATTCAACTATCGGAGTTGAACCTATCTTATGATTGAGCAGTTTGGAAACACTCTTTGTAGAGTCTGCAAGTGGATATTTACAGAGATTTGAGGCCTATTGTGGAAAAGGAAGTATCTTCACATAAAAACCACACAGAAGCACTCTGAAAAACATCTTTGGGATGTGTGCATTCAACTAACCGTGTTGAAACAATGTTTTGATTGAGCAGCTTAGAATCTCTCTTTTTGTAGGAAATGCAAGTGGATATTTGGAGCCCCATTTCGCCCTATGGTGGAAAACGAAACATACTCACAAAAAAGCTGCAGAGAAGCATTCTGAGAAACTTCTTTGCGATGTTGGCATTCAACTCACAGAGTCGAATCTATCTTTTGATAGAGCAGTTTTGTATCTCTCTTTTTGCAGAATCTGCAAGTGGATATTTGGAAAGCTTTGAGGCCTATTGTGGAAAGGGAAATATCCTCAAATAAAAACTACCCAGAAGCACTCTGTGAAACTTCTTTGTGATGTGTGCATTCAACTCACAGTGTTGAACCTACGTTTTGATTGAGCAGTTTGGAATCTCTCCTTTTGTAGAATCTGCAAGTGAATATTTGGAGCCCTATTTCGCCCTATACTGGAAAAGCAAATATCTTCAAATAAAAACTACACAGAGGCCTTCAGAGAAACTTCTCTGTGATGAGTGCATTCATCACACAGAGTTGAACATTTGTTTAGATTTAGCAGTGTTGAGACAATCTTTCCGTAGAATCTTGAAGTGAATATTTGGAGGGCTTTGAGACCTGCTTTGGAGAAGGAGATATCTTCATATAAAAACTACACAGAAGCTTTCTGAGAAACACCCTTGTGAGGTGTGCATTGAAGTCACAGAGTTAAACCTATCTTTTGATTCAGCAGTTTGAATCTCTCTTTTTGCAGAATCTGCGAGTGGATATTTGGAGTGCTTGGAAGCCTGCTGTGGAAAATCAAATATCTTCACAAAAAAAACTACACAGAAGCATTCTGAGAAACTTCTTTGTGATGTGTGCATTGATCTCACAGAGTTGAAAGTTTATTTGGATTGAGCTGTTTTGAAACACTCTTTTTCTAGAATCTGCAAGTGGATAATTGGGGAGATTTGAGGCATATTGTGGAAAAGCAAATATCTTCATATAGAAACTATACAGAAAACCTTCTGAGAAACATCTTTGTGATGTGTGCATTCAGCTCACAGAGCTGGACCTAACTTTTGAGTGACCAGTTTTGAATCTCTCTTTTTGTACAATATGCAAGTGGATATTTGGAGCGATTTGAGGCCTACATTTGAAAATCAAATATCTTCCCTTAAAAACTACACAGAAACATTCTCAGAAATTGTTTGTCATGTGTGCTTTCCAATTACCAAGTTGAACCTATCTTGTGATTGAGCAGTTTTGAATCTCTCTTTTTGTGGAATCGGCAAGTGGATATTTTTAGCCCTTTGCGGACTGTGGTGGAAAAGGAATTATCTTCAAATCAATTCTACACAGAAGCATTCAGACAAACTTCTTTGTGATGAGTGCATTGGTCACACAGAATTGAACCTTCCCTTTGATTGAGCAATTCTGAAACACTCTTTTGGAGGGTCTGCAAGTGGACATTTTAGAGCTTTGGGACAACTGTGGAAAAGTAAATATCTTCACATAAAAACTACACGGAAGCATTCTGAGAAACTTCTTTGGAGGTGTGCATTCAACTCACAGAGTTGAACCTATCTTTTCATTGAGCAGTTTTGAATCTCTCATTTTGTAGACTCTGCTCGCAGATATTTGGAGAGCTTTGAGGCCTATTGTGGAAAAGGAAATATCTTCACATAAAAACACACAGAAGCACTCTGAGAAACTTCTTTGTGAGGTGTGCTTTCAACTCACAGAGTTGAACCTATCTTTTGATTGAGAAGTTTTGAATCTCTCTTTTTGTAGAAGCTGCATGTGGATATTTGGAGACGTTTGTGGCCTATGGTAGAAAAGGAAATATCTTCAAATAAAAACTAGACAGACGCATTTTGAGAAAATTCTCTGTGCTGTGTGCATTCATATCACATGGTTGAAACTACCTTTGGATTGAGCAGTTTTGAATCTCACTTTTTGTACCATCTGCAATGGATATTTGGAGCCCTTTCTGGTCTGTGGTGGAAAAGGAACTATCCTCAAATAGAAACTACACAGAAGTACTCTGAGAAACTTCTTTGTGATGTGGGCATTCATCTCACAGAGTTGAACCTTTGGTTTGATTGAGCAGTTTTGAGACAATCTTTCCATAGAATCTGGAAGTGAATATTTGGAGAACTTTGAGATCCATTTTGGAGAAGGAGATATCTTTATATAAAAACTACACAGAAGCATTCTGAGAAACATCCTTGTGAGGTGTGCACTGAAGTCACAGAGTTGAAACTGTCTTTTGATTCAGCAGTTTTGAATCTCTCTTTTTGCAGAATCTGTGAGTGGATATTTGGAGCGCTTTGAGGCCTACTGTGGAAAACCAAATATCTTCACATAAAAACTACACAGAAGCATCCTGAGAAACTTTTTTTGTGATGTGGTCTTTCAGCTAATGGAGTAGAAACTATCTTTTGATTGAGCAGTTTTGAATCTCTCTTTTTGCAGAATCTACGAGTGGATAATTGGAGAACTTTGAGGCGTACTGTGGAAAATCGAATATCTTCGCATAAAAACTACACAGAAGCATTCTGAGAAACTTCTCTGTCATACGTACATTCATCTCACAGATGTTGATCCTATTTCATGATTGAGCAGTTTTGGAACACTCTTTTTGTAGAATCTGCAAGTGAATATTTGGAGCTCTTTGGGGCCTACTGTGGAAAAACAAATATCTTCACATAAAAACTACACAGAAGCATTCTGAGAAACTACTTTGTGATGTGTGCATTCATCCCACAGAGTAGAACCTTTCTTTTGATTGAGCAGTTTCGAAACACTCTTTTGGTGGAATCTGCAAGTGGACATTTGGAAAGCTTTGAGGCCTATTGTGGAAAGGGAAATATCTTCAAATAAAAACCACCCAGAGTACTCTGTGAAACTTCTTTGCGATGTATGCATTCAACTCACAGTGTTGAACCTATGTTTTGATTGAGCAGTTTGGAATCTCTCTTTCTGTAGAATCTGCAAGTGAATATTTGGAGCCCTATTTCGCCCTATACTGGAAAAGCAATTATCTTCAAATAAAAACTGCACAGAAGCATTCAGAGAAACTTCTTTGACATGAATGCATTCATTACACAGAGTTGAAACTTTGTTTTGATTTAGGAGTTTTGAGACAATCTTTCCGTAGAATCTTGAAGTGAATATTTGGAGGGCTTGGAGTTCTGTTTTAGAGAAGGAGATATCTTCATCAAAAACTACACAGAAGCTTTCTGAGAAACTTCTTTGTGATGTGTGCATTCAACTATCGGAGTTGAACCTATCTTATGATTGAGCAGTTTGGAAACACTCTTTGTAGAGTCTGCAAGTGGATATTTACAGAGATTTGAGGCCTATTGTGGAAAAGGAAGTATCTTCACATAAAAACCACACAGAAGCACTCTGAAAAACATCTTTGGGATGTGTGCATTCAACTAACCGTGTTGAAACAATGTTTTGATTGAGCAGCTTAGAATCTCTCTTTTTGTAGGAAATGCAAGTGGATATTTGGAGCCCCATTTCGCCCTATGGTGGAAAACGAAACATACTCACAAAAAAGCTGCAGAGAAGCATTCTGAGAAACTTCTTTGCGATGTTGGCATTCAACTCACAGAGTCGAATCTATCTTTTGATAGAGCAGTTTTGTATCTCTCTTTTTGCAGAATCTGCAAGTGGATATTTGGAAAGCTTTGAGGCCTATTGTGGAAAGGGAAATATCCTCAAATAAAAACTACCCAGAAGCACTCTGTGAAACTTCTTTGTGATGTGTGCATTCAACTCACAGTGTTGAACCTATGTTTTGATTGAGCAGTTTGGAATCTCTCCTTTTGTAGAATCTGCAAGTGAATATTTGGAGCCCTATTTCGCCCTATACTGGAAAAGCAAATATCTTCAAATAAAAACTACACAGAGGCATTCAGAGAAACTTCTCTGTGATGAGTGCATTCATCACACAGAGTTGAACATTTGTTTAGATTTAGCAGTGTTGAGACAATCTTTCCGTAGAATCTTGAAGTGAATATTTGGAGGGCTTTGAGACCTGCTTTGGAGAAGGAGATATCTTCATATAAAAACTACACAGAAGCTTTCTGAGAAACACCCTTGTGAGGTGTGCATTGAAGTCACAGAGTTAAACCTATCTTTTGATTCAGCAGATTTGAATCTCTCTTTTTGCAGAATCTGCGAGTGGATATTTGGAGTGCTTGGAAGCCTGCTGTGGAAAATCAAATATCTTCACAAAAAAAACTACACAGAAGCATTCTGAGAAACTTCTTTGTGATGTGTGCATTGATCTCACAGAGTTGAAAGTTTATTTTGATTGAGCTGTTTTGAAACACTCTTTTTCTAGAATCTGCAAGTGGATAATTGGGGAGATTTGAGGCATATTGTGGAAAAGCAAATATCTTCATATAGAAACTATACAGAAACCTTCTGAGAAACATCTTTGTGATGTGTGCATTCAGCTCACAGAGCTGGACCTAACTTTTGAGTGACCAGTTTTGAATCTCTCTTTTTGTACAATATGCAAGTGGATATTTGGAGCGATTTGAGGCCTACATTTGAAAATCAAATATCTTCCCTTAAAAACTACACAGAAACATTCTCAGAAATTGTTTGTCATGTGTGCTTTCCAATTACCAAGTTGAACCTATCTTGTGATTGAGCAGTTTTGAATCTCTCTTTTTGTGGAATCGGCAAGTGGATATTTTTAGCCCTTTGCGGACTGTGGTGGAAAAGGAATTATCTTCAAATCAATTCTACACAGAAGCATTCAGACAAACTTCTTTGTGATGAGTGCATTGGTCACACAGAATTGAACCTTCCCTTTGATTGAGCAATTCTGAAACACTCTTTTGGAGGGTCTGCAAGTGGATATTTTAGAGCTTTGGGACAACTGTGGAAAAGTAAATATCTTCACATAAAAACTACACGGAAGCATTCTGAGAAACTTCTTTGGAGGTGTGCATTCAACTCACAGAGTTGAACCTATCTTTTCATTGAGCAGTTTTGAATCTCTCATTTTGTAGACTCTGCTCGCAGATATTTGGAGAGCTTTGAGGCCTATTGTGGAAAAGGAAATATCTTCACATAAAAACACACAGAAGCACTCTGAGAAACTTCTTTGTGAGGTGTGCTTTCAACTCACAGAGTTGAACCTATCTTTTGATTGAGAAGTTTTGAATCTCTCTTTTTGTAGAAGCTGCATGTGGATATTTGGAGACGTTTGTGGCCTATGGTAGAAAAGGAAATATCTTCAAATAAAAACTAGACAGACGCATTTTGAGAAAATTCTCTGTGCTGTGTGCATTCATATCACATGGTTGAAACTACCTTTGGATTGAGCAGTTTTGAATCTCACTTTTTGTACCATCTGCAATGGATATTTGGAGCCCTTTCTGGTCTGTGGTGGAAAAGGAACTATCCTCAAATAGAAACTACACAGAAGTACTCTGAGAAACTTCTTTGTGATGTGGGCATTCATCTCACAGAGTTGAACCTTTGGTTTGATTGAGCAGTTTTGAGACAATCTTTCCATAGAATCTGGAAGTGAATATTTGGAGAACTTTGAGATCCATTTTGGAGAAGGAGATATCTTTATATGAAAACTACACAGAAGCATTCTGAGAAACATCCTTGTGAGGTGTGCACTGAAGTCACAGAGTTGAAACTGTCTTTTGATTCAGCAGTTTTGAATCTCTCTTTTTGCAGAATCTGTGAGTGGATATTTGGAGCGCTTTGAGGCCTACTGTGGAAAACCAAATATCTTCACATAAAAACTACACAGAAGCATCCTGAGAAACTTTTTTTGTGATGTGGTCTTTCAGCTAATGGAGTAGAAACTATCTTTTGATTGAGCAGTTTTGAATCTCTCTTTTTGCAGAATCTACGAGTGGATAATTGGAGAACTTTGAGGCGTACTGTGGAAAATCGAATATCTTCGCATAAAAACTACACAGAAGCATTCTGAGAAACTTCTCTGTCATACGTACATTCATCTCACAGGGTTGATCCTAGTTCATGATTGAGCAGTTTTGGAACACTCTTTTTGTAGAATCTGCAAGTGAATATTTGGAGCTCTTTGGGGCCTACTGTGGAAAAACAAATATCTTCACATAAAAACTACACAGAAGCATTCTGAGAAACTACTTTGTGATGTGTGCATTCATCCCACAGAGTAGAACCTTTCTTTTGATTGAGCAGTTTCGAAACACTCTTTTGGTGGAATCTGCAAGTGGACATTTGGAAAGCTTTGAGGCCTATTGTGGAAAGGGAAATATCTTCAAATAAAAACCACCCAGAAGTACTCTGTGAAACTTCTTTGCGATGTATGCATTCAACTCACAGTGTTGAACCTATGTTTTGATTGAGCAGTTTGGAATCTCTCTTTCTGTAGAATCTGCAAGTGAATATTTGGAGCCCTATTTCGCCCTATACTGGAAAAGCAATTATCTTCAAATAAAAACTGCACAGAAGCACTCAGAGAAACTTCTTTGTGATGAATGCATTCATCACACAGAGTTGAACCTTTGTTTTGATTTAGCAGTTTGAGACAATCTTTCCGTAGAATCTTGAAGTGAATATTTGGAGGGCTTGGAGTTCTGTTTTAGAGAAGAAGATATCTTCATCAAAAACTACACAGAAGCTTTCCGAGAAACTTCTTTGTGATGTGTGCATTCAACTATCGGAGTTGAACCTATCTTATGATTGAGGAGTTTGGAAACACTCTTTGTAGAGTCTGCAAGTGGATATTTACAGAGATTTGAGGCCTATTGTGGAAAAGGAAGTATCTTCACATAAAAACCACACAGAAGCACTCTGAAAAACATCTTTGTGATGTGTGCATTCAACTAACCGTGTTGAAACAATGTTTTGATTGAGCAGCTTAGAATCTCTCTTTTTGTAGGAAATGCAAGTGGATATTTGGAGCCCCATTTCGCCCTATGGTGGAAAACGAAACATACTCACAAAAAAGCTGCAGAGAAGCATTCTGAGAAACTTCTTTGCGATGTTGGCATTCAACTCACAGAGTCGAATCTATCTTTTGATAGAGCAGTTTTGTATCTCTGTTTTTGCAGAATCTGCAAGTGGATATTTGGAAAGCTTTGAGGCCTATTGTGGAAAGGGAAATATCCTCAAATAAAAACTACCCAGAAGCACTCTGTGAAACTTCTTTGTGTTGTGTGCATTCAACTCACAGTGTTGAACCTATGTTTTGATTGAGCAGTTTGGAATCTCTCCTTTTGTAGAATCTGCAAGTGAATATTTGGAGCCCTATTTCGCCCTATACTGGAAAAGCAAATATCTTCAAATAAAAACTACACAGAGGCATTCAGAGAAACTTCTCTGTGATGAGTGCATTCATCACACAGAGTTGAACATTTGTTTAGATTTAGCAGTGTTGAGACAATCTTTCCGTAGAATCTTGAAGTGAATATTTGGAGGGCTTTGAGACCTGCTTTGGAGAAGGAGATATCTTCATATAAAAACTACACAGAAGCTTTCTGAGAAACACCCTTGTGAGGTGTGCATTGAAGTCACAGAGTTAAACCTATCTTTTGATTCAGCAGATTTGAATCTCTCTTTTTGCAGAATCTGCGAGTGGATATTTGGAGTGCTTGGAAGCCTGCTGTGGAAAATCAAATATCTTCACAAAAAAAACTACACAGAAGCATTCTGAGAAACTTCTTTGTGATGTGTGCATTGATCTCACAGAGTTGAAAGTTTATTTTGATTGAGCTGTTTTGAAACACTCTTTTTCTAGAATCTGCAAGTGGATAATTGGGGAGATTTGAGGCATATTGTGGAAAAGCAAATATCTTCATATAGAAACTATACAGAAACCTTCTGAGAAACATCTTTGTGATGTGTGCATTCAGCTCACAGAGCTGGACCTAACTTTTGAGTGACCAGTTTTGAATCTCTCTTTCTGTACAATATGCAAGTGGATATTTGGAGCGATTTGAGGCCTACATTTGAAAATCAAATATCTTCCCTTAAAAACTACACAGAAACATTCTCAGAAATTGTTTGTCATGTGTGCTTTCCAATTACCAAGTTGAACCTATCTTGTGATTGAGCAGTTTTGAATCTCTCTTTTTGCAGGATCTACGAGTGGATAATTGGAGAACTTTGAGGCGTACTGTGGAAAATCGAATATCTTCGCATAAAAACTACACAGAAGCATTCTGAGAAACTTCTCTGTCATACGTACATTCATCTCACAGGGTTGATCCTATTTCATGATTGAGCAGTTTTGGAACACTCTTTTTGTAGAATCTGCAAGTGAATATTTGGAGCTCTTTGGGGCCTACTGTGGAAAAACAAATATCTTCACATAAAAACTACACAGAAGCATTCTGAGAAACTACTTTGTGATGTGTGCATTCATCCCACAGAGTAGAACCTTTCATTTGATTGAGCAGTTTCGAAACACTCTTTTGGTGGAATCTGCAAGTGGACATTTGGAAAGCTTTGAGGCCTATTGTGGAAAGGGAAATATCTTCAAATAAAAACCACCCAGAAGTACTCTGTGAAACTTCTTTGCGATGTATGCATTCAACTCACAGTGTTGAACCTATGTTTTGATTGAGCAGTTTGGAATCTCTCTTTCTGTAGAATCTGCAAGTGAATATTTGGAGCCCTATTTCGCCCTATACTGGAAAAGCAATTATCTTCAAATAAAAACTGCACAGAAGCACTCAGAGAAGCTTCTTTGTGATGAATGCATTCATCACACAGAGTTGAACCTTTGTTTTGATTTAGCAGTTTGAGACAATCTTTCCGTAGAATCTTGAAGTGAATATTTGGAGGGCTTGGAGTTCTGTTTTAGAGAAGAAGATATCTTCATCAAAAACTACACAGAAGCTTTCTGAGAAACTTCTTTGTGATGTGTGCATTCAACTATCGGAGTTGAACCTATCTTATGATTGAGCAGTTTGGAAACACTCTTTGTGGAGTCTGCAAGTGGATATTTACAGAGATTTGAGGCCTATTGTGGAAAAGGAAGTATCTTCACATAAAAACCACACAGAAGCACTCTGAAAAACATCTTTGGGATGTGTGCATTCAACTAACCGTGTTGAAACAATGTTTTGATTGAGCAGCTTAGAATCTCTCTTTTTGTAGGAAATGCAAGTGGATATTTGGAGCCCCATTTCGCCCTATGGTGGAAAACGAAACATACTCACAAAAAAGCTGCAGAGAAGCATTCTGAGAAACTTCTTTGCGATGTTGGCATTCAACTCACAGAGTCGAATCTATCTTTTGATAGAGCAGTTTTGTATCTCTGTTTTTGCAGAATCTGCAAGTGGATATTTGGAAAGCTTTGAGGCCTATTGTGGAAAGGGAAATATCCTCAAATAAAAACTACCCAGAAGCACTCTGTGAAACTTCTTTGTGATGTGTGCATTCAACTCACAGTGTTGAACCTATGTTTTGATTGAGCAGTTTGGAATCTCTCCTTTTGTAGAATCTGCAAGTGAATATTTGGAGCCCTATTTCGCCCTATATTGGAAAAGCAAATATCTTCAAATAAAAACTACACAGAGGCATTCAGAGAAACTTCTCTGTGATGAGTGCATTCATCACACAGAGTTGAACATTTGTTTAGATTTAGCAGTGTTGAGACAATCTTTCCGTAGAATCTTGAAGTGAATATTTGGAGGGCTTTGAGACCTGCTTTGGAGAAGGAGATATCCTCATATAAAAACTACACAGAAGCTTTCTGAGAAACACCCTTGTGAGGTGTGCATTGAAGTCACAGAGTTAAACCTATCTTTTGATTCAGCAGATTTGAATCTCTCTTTTTGCAGAATCTGCGAGTGGATATTTGGAGTGCTTGGAAGCCTGCTGTGGAAAATCAAATATCTTCACAAAAAAACTACACAGAAGCATTCTGAGAAACTTCTTTGTGATGTGTGCATTGATCTCACAGAGTTGAAAGTTTATTTTGATTGAGCTGTTTTGAAACACTCTTTTTCTAGAATCTGCAAGTGGATAATTGGGGAGATTTGAGGCATATTGTGGAAAAGCCAATATCTTCATATAGAAACTATACAGAAACCTTCTGAGAAACATCTTTGTGATGTGTGCATTCAGCTCACAGAGCTGGACCTAACTTTTGAGTGACCAGTTTTGAATCTCTCTTTTTGTACAATATGCAAGTGGATATTTGGAGCGATTTGAGGCCTACATTTGAAAATCAAATATCTTCCCTTAAAAACTACACAGAAACATTCTCAGAAATTGTTTGTCATGTGTGCTTTCCAATTACCAAGTTGAACCTATCTTGTGATTGAGCAGTTTTGAATCTCTCTTTTTGTGGAATCGGCAAGTGGATATTTTTAGCCCTTTGCGGACTGTGGTGGAAAAGGAATTATCTTCAAATCAATTCTACACAGAAGCATTCAGACAAACTTCTTTGTGATGAGTGCATTGGTCACACAGAATTGAACCTTCCCTTTGATTGAGCAATTCTGAAACACTCTTTTGGAGGGTCTGCAAGTGGATATTTTAGAGCTTTGGGACAACTGTGGAAAAGTAAATATCTTCACATAAAAACTACACGGAAGCATTCTGAGAAACTTCTTTGGAGGTGTGCATTCAACTCACAGAGTTGAACCTATCTTTTCATTGAGCAGTTTTGAATCTCTCATTTTGTAGACTCTGCTCGCAGATATTTGGAGAGCTTTGAGGCCTATTGTGGAAAAGGAAATATCTTCACATAAAAACACACAGAAGCACTCTGAGAAACTTCTTTGTGAGGTGTGCTTTCAACTCACAGAGTTGAACCTATCTTTTGATTGAGAAGTTTTGAATCTCTCTTTTTGTAGAAGCTGCATGTGGATATTTGGAGACGTTTGTGGCCTATGGTAGAAAAGGAAATATCTTCAAATAAAAACTAGACAGACGCATTTTGAGCAAAATTCTCTGTGCTGTGTGCATTCATATCACATGGTTGAAACTACCTTTGGATTGAGCAGTTTTGAATCTCACTTTTTGTACCATCTGCAATGGATATTTGGAGCCCTTTCTGGTCTGTGGTGGAAAAGGAACTATCCTCAAATAGAAACTACACAGAAGTACTCTGAGAAACTTCTTTGTGATGTGGGCATTCATCTCACAGAGTTGAACCTTTGGTTTGATTGAGCAGTTTTGAGACAATCTTTCCATGGAATCTGGAAGTGAATATTTGGAGAACTTTGAGATCCATTTTGGAGAAGGAGATATCTTTATATGAAAACTACACAGAAGCATTCTGAGAAACATCCTTGTGAGGTGTGCACTGAAGTCACAGAGTTGAAACTGTCTTTTGATTCAGCAGTTTTGAATCTCTCTTTTTGCAGAACCTGTGAGTGGATATTTGGAGCGCTTTGAGGCCTACTGTGGAAAACCAAATATCTTCACATAAAAACTACACAGAAGCATCCTGAGAAACTTTTTTTGTGATGTGGTCTTTCAGCTAATGGAGTAGAAACTATCTTTTGATTGAGCAGTTTTGAATCTCTCTTTTTGCAGGATCTACGAGTGGATAATTGGAGAACTTTGAGGCGTACTGTGGAAAATCGAATATCTTCGCATAAAAACTACACAGAAGCATTCTGAGAAACTTCTCTGTCATACGTACATTCATCTCACAGGGTTGATCCTATTTCATGATTGAGCAGTTTTGGAACACTCTTTTTGTAGAATCTGCAAGTGAATATTTGGAGCTCTTCGGGGCCTACTGTGGAAAAACAAATATCTTCACATAAAAACTACACAGAAGCATTCTGAGAAACTACTTTGTGATGTGTGCATTCATCCCACAGAGTAGAACCTTTCTTTTGATTGAGCAGTTTCGAAACACTCTTTTGGTGGAATCTGCAAGTGGACATTTGGAAAGCTTTGAGGCCTATTGTGGAAAGGGAAATATCTTCAAATAAAAACCACCCAGAAGTACTCTGTGAAACTTCTTTGCGATGTATGCATTCAACTCACAGTGTTGAACCTATGTTTTGATTGAGCAGTTTGGAATCTCTCTTTCTGTAGAATC
This sequence comes from Homo sapiens, assembly GCF_000001405.40. Lineage (NCBI taxonomy): Eukaryota > Metazoa > Chordata > Mammalia > Primates > Hominidae > Homo > Homo sapiens. Next base: position 17,941,914 of record NC_000015.10, read on the forward strand.
TGCAAGTGAATATTTGGAGCCCTATTTCGCCCTATACTGGAAAGGCAATTATCTTCAAATAAAAACTGCACAGAAGCATTCAGAGAAACTTCTTTGAGATGAATGCATTCATGACACAGAGTTGAAACTTTGTTTTGATTTAGGAGTTTTGAGACAATCTTTCCGTAGAATCTTGAAGTGAATATTTGGAGGGCTTGGAGTTCTGTTTTAGAGAAGAAGATATCTTCATCAAAAACTACACAGAAGCTTTCTGAGAAACTTCTTTGTGATGTGTGCATTCAACTATCGGAGTTGAACCTATCTTATGATTGAGCAGTTTGGAAACACTCTTTGTGGAGTCTGCAAGTGGATATTTACAGAGATTTGAGGCCTATTGTGGAAAAGGAAGTATCTTCACATAAAAACCACACAGAAGCTCTCTGAAAAACATCTTTGGGATGTGTGCATTCAACTAACCGTGTTGAAACAATGTTTTGATTGAGCAGCTTAGAATCTCTCTTTTTGTAGGAAATGCAAGTGGATATTTGGAGCCCCATTTCGCCCTATGGTGGAAAACGAAACATACTCACAAAAAAGCTGCAGAGAAGCATTCTGAGAAACTTCTTTGCGATGTTGGCATTCAACTCACAGAGTCGAATCTATCTTTTGATAGAGCAGTTTTGTATCTCTCTTTTTGCAGAATCTGCAAGTGGATATTTGGAAAGCTTTGAGGCCTATTGTGGAAAGGGAAATATCCTCAAATAAAAACTACCCAGAAGCACTCTGTGAAACTTCTTTGTGATGTGTGCATTCAACTCACAGTGTTGAACCTATGTTTTGATTGAGCAGTTTGGAATCTCTCCTTTTGTAGAATCTGCAAGTGAATATTTGGAGCCCTATTTCACCCTATACTGGAAAAGCAAATATCTTCAAATAAAAACTACACAGAGGCATTCAGAGAAACTTCTCTGTGATGAGTGCATTCATCACACAGAGTTGAACATTTGTTTAGATTTAGCAGTGTTGAGACAATCTTTCCGTAGAATCTTGAAGTGAATATTTGGAGGGCTTTGAGACCTGCTTTGGAGAAGGAGATATCTTCATATAAAAACTACACAGAAGCTTTCTGAGAAACACCCTTGTGAGGTGTGCATTGAAGTCACAGAGTTAAACCTATCTTTTGATTCAGCAGATTTGAATCTCTCTTTTTGCAGAATCTGCGAGTGGATATTTGGAGTGCTTGGAAGCCTGCTGTGGAAAATCAAATATCTTCACAAAAAAAACTACACAGAAGCATTCTGAGAAACTTCTTTGTGATGTGTGCATTGATCTCACAGAGTTGAAAGTTTATTTTGATTGAGCTGTTTTGAAACACTCTTTTTCTAGAATCTGCAAGTGGATAATTGGGGAGATTTGAGGCATATTGTGGAAAAGCAAATATCTTCATATAGAAACTATACAGAAACCTTCTGAGAAACATCTTTGTGATGTGTGCATTCAGCTCACAGAGCTGGACCTAACTTTTGAGTGACCAGTTTTGAATCTCTCTTTTTGTACAATATGCAAGTGGATATTTGGAGCGATTTGAGGCCTACATTTGAAAATCAAATATCTTCCCTTAAAAACTACACAGAAACATTCTCAGAAATTGTTTGTCATGTGTGCTTTCCAATTACCAAGTTGAACCTATCTTGTGATTGAGCAGTTTTGAATCTCTCTTTTTGTGGAATCGGCAAGTGGATATTTTTAGCCCTTTGCGGACTGTGGTGGAAAAGGAATTATCTTCAAATCAATTCTACACAGAAGCATTCAGACAAACTTCTTTGTGATGAGTGCATTGGTCACACAGAATTGAACCTTCCCTTTGATTGAGCAATTCTGAAACACTCTTTTGGAGGGTCTGCAAGTGGACATTTTAGAGCTTTGGGACAACTGTGGAAAAGTAAATATCTTCACATAAAAACTACACGGAAGCATTCTGAGAAACTTCTTTGGAGGTGTGCATTCAACTCACAAGAGTTGAACCTATCTTTTCATTGAGCAGTTTTGAATCTCTCATTTTGTAGACTCTGCTCGCAGATATTTGGAGAGCTTTGAGGCCTATTGTGGAAAAGGAAATATCTTCACATAAAAACACACAGAAGCACTCTGAGAAACTTCTTTGTGAGGTGTGCTTTCAACTCACAGAGTTGAACCTATCTTTTGATTGAGAAGTTTTGAATCTCTCTTTTTGTAGAAGCTGCATGTGGATATTTGGAGACGTTTGTGGCCTATGGTAGAAAAGGAAATATCTTCAAATAAAAACTAGACAGACGCATTTTGAGAAAATTCTCTGTGCTGTGTGCATTCATATCACATGGTTGAAACTACCTTTGGATTGAGCAGTTTTGAATCTCACTTTTTGTACCATCTGCAATGGATATTTGGAGCCCTTTCTGGTCTGTGGTGGAAAAGGAACTATCCTCAAATAGAAACTACACAGAAGTACTCTGAGAAACTTCTTTGTGATGTGGGCATTCATCTCACAGAGTTGAACCTTTGGTTTGATTGAGCAGTTTTGAGACAATCTTTCCATAGAATCTGGAAGTGAATATTTGGAGAACTTTGAGATCCATTTTGGAGAAGGAGATATCTTTATATGAAAACTACACAGAAGCATTCTGAGAAACATCCTTGTGAGGTGTGCACTGAAGTCACAGAGTTGAAACTGTCTTTTGATTCAGCAGTTTTGAATCTCTCTTTTTGCAGAGTCTGTGAGCGGATATTTGGAGCGCTTTGAGGCCTACTGTGGAAAACCAAATATGTTCACATAAAAACTACACAGAAGCATCCTGAGAAACTTTTTTTGTGATGTGGTCTTTCAGCTAATGGAGTAGAAACTATCTTTTGATTGAGCAGTTTTGAATCTCTCTTTTTGCAGAATCTACGAGTGGATAATTGGAGAACTTTGAGGCGTACTGTGGAAAATCGAATATCTTCGCATAAAAACTACACAGAAGCATTCTGAGAAACTTCTCTGTCATACGTACATTCATCTCACAGGGTTGATCCTATTTCATGATTGAGCAGTTTTGGAACACTCTTTTTGTAGAATCTGCAAGTGAATATTTGGAGCTCTTTGGGGCCTACTGTGGAAAAACAAATATCTTCACATAAAAACTACACAGAAGCATTCTGAGAAACTACTTTGTGATGTGTGCATTCATCCCACAGAGTAGAACCTTTCTTTTGATTGAGCAGTTTCGAAACACTCTTTTGGTGGAATCTGCAAGTGGACATTTGGAAAGCTTTGAGGCCTATTGTGGAAAGGGAAATATCTTCAAATAAAAACCACCCAGAAGTACTCTGTGAAACTTCTTTGCGATGTATGCATTCAACTCACAGTGTTGAACCTATGTTTTGATTGAGCAGTTTGGAATCTCTCTTTCTGTAGAATCTGCAAGTGAATATTTGGAGCCCTATTTCGCCCTATACTGGAAAAGCAATTATCTTCAAATAAAAACTGCACAGAAGCACTCAGAGAAGCTTCTTTGTGATGAATGCATTCATCACACAGAGTTGAACCTTTGTTTTGATTTAGCAGTTTGAGACAATCTTTCCGTAGAATCTTGAAGTGAATATTTAGAGGGCTTGGAGTTCTGTTTTAGAGAAGAAGATATTTTCATCAAAAACTACACAGAAGCTTTCTGAGAAACTTCTTTGTGATGTGTGCATTCAACTATCGGAGTTGAACCTATCTTATGATTGAGGAGTTTGGAAACACTCTTTGTAGAGTCTGCAAGTGGATATTTACAGAGATTTGAGGCCTATTGTGGAAAAGGAAGTATCTTCACATAAAAACCACACAGAAGCACTCTGAAAAACATCTTTGGGATGTGTGCATTCAACTAACCGTGTTGAAACAATGTTTTGATTGAGCAGCTTAGAATCTCTCTTTTTGTAGGAAATGCAAGTGTATATTTGGAGCCCCATTTCGCCCTATGGTGGAAAACGAAACATACTCACAAAAAAGCTGCAGAGAAGCATTCTGAGAAACTTCTTTGCGATGTTGGCATTCAACTCACAGAGTCGAATCTATCTTTTGATAGAGCAGTTTTGTATCTCTCTTTTTGCAGAATCTGCAAGTGGATATTTGGAAAGCTTTGAGGCCTATTGTGGAAAGGGAAATATCCTCAAATAAAAACTACCCAGAAGCACTCTGTGAAACTTCTTTGTGATGTGTGCATTCAACTCACAGTGTTGAACCTATGTTTTGATTGAGCAGTTTGGAATCTCTCCTTTTGTAGAATCTGCAAGTGAATATTTGGAGCCCTATTTCGCCCTATACTGGAAAAGCAAATATCTTCAAATAAAAACTACACAGAGGCATTCAGAGAAACTACTCTGTGATGAGTGCATTCATCACACAGAGTTGAACATTTGTTTAGATTTAGCAGTGTTGAGACAATCTTTCCGTAGAATCTTGAAGTGAATATTTGGAGGGCTTTGAGACCTGCTTTGGAGAAGGAGATATCTTCATATAAAAACTACACAGAAGCTTTCTGAGAAACACCCTTGTGAGGTGTGCATTGAAGTCACAGAGTTAAACCTATCTTTTGATTCAGCAGATTTGAATCTCTCTTTTTGCAGAATCTGCGAGTGGATATTTGGAGTGCTTGGAAGCCTGCTGTGGAAAATCAAATATCTTCACAAAAAAAACTACACAGAAGCATTCTGAGAAACTTCTTTGTGATGTGTGCATTGATCTCACAGAGTTGAAAGTTTATTTTGATTGAGCTGTTTTGAAACACTCTTTTTCTAGAATCTGCAAGTGGATAATTGGGGAGATTTGAGGCATATTGTGGAAAAGCAAATATCTTCATATAGAAACTATACAGAAACCTTCTGAGAAACATCTTTGTGATGTGTGCATTCAGCTCACAGAGCTGGACCTAACTTTTGAGTGACCAGTTTTGAATCTCTCTTTTTGTACAATATGCAAGTGGATATTTGGAGCGATTTGAGGCCTACATTTGAAAATCAAATATCTTCCCTTAAAAACTACACAGAAATATTCTCAGAAATTGTTTGTCATGTGTGCTTTCCAATTACCAAGTTGAACCTATCTTGTGATTGAGCAGTTTTGAATCTCTCTTTTTGTGGAATCGGCAAGTGGATATTTTTAGCCCTTTGCGGACTGTGGTGGAAAAGGAATTATCTTCAAATCAATTCTACACAGAAAGCATTCAGACAAACTTCTTTGTGATGAGTGCATTGGTCACACAGAATTGAACCTTCCCTTTGATTGAGCAATTCTGAAACACTCTTTTGGAGGGTCTGCAAGTGGACATTTTAGAGCTTTGGGACAACTGTGGAAAAGTAAATATCTTCACATAAAAACTACACGGAAGCATTCTGAGAAACTTCTTTGGAGGTGTGCATTCAACTCACAGAGTTGAACCTATCTTTTCATTGAGCAGTTTTGAATCTCTCATTTTGTAGACTCTGCTCGCAGATATTTGGAGAGCTTTGAGGCCTGTTGTGGAAAAGGAAATATCTTCACATAAAAACACACAGAAGCACTCTGAGAAACTTCTTTGTGAGGTGTGCTTTCAACTCACAGAGTTGAACCTATCTTTTGATTGAGAAGTTTTGAATCTCTCTTTTTGTAGAAGCTGCATGTGGATATTTGGAGACGTTTGTGGCCTATGGTAGAAAAGGAAATATCTTCAAATAAAAACTAGACAGACGCATTTTGAGAAAATTCTCTGTGCTGTGTGCATTCATATCACATGGTTGAAACTACCTTTGGATTGAGCAGTTTTGAATCTCACTTTTTGTACCATCTGCAATGGATATTTGGAGCCCTTTCTGGTCTGTGGTGGAAAAGGAACTATCCTCAAATAGAAACTACACAGAAGTACTCTGAGAAACTTCTTTGTGATGTGGGCATTCATCTCACAGAGTTGAACCTTTGGTTTGATTGAGCAGTTTTGAGACAATCTTTCCATAGAATCTGGAAGTGAATATTTGGAGAACTTTGAGATCCATTTTGGAGAAGGAGATACCTTTATATGAAAACTACACAGAAGCATTCTGAGAAACATCCTTGTGAGGTGTGCACTGAAGTCACAGAGTTGAAACTGTCTTTTGATTCAGCAGTTTTGAATCTCTCTTTTTGCAGAATCTGTGAGTGGATATTTGGAGCGCTTTGAGGCCTACTGTGGAAAACCAAATATCTTCACATAAAAACTACACAGAAGCATCCTGAGAAACTTTTTTTGTGATGTGGTCTTTCAGCTAATGGAGTAGAAACTATCTTTTGATTGAGCAGTTTTGAATCTCTCTTTTTGCAGAATCTACGAGTGGATAATTGGAGAACTTTGAGGCGTACTGTGGAAAATCGAATATCTTCGCATAAAAACTACACAGAAGCATTCTGAGAAACTTCTCTGTCATACGTACATTCATCTCACAGGGTTGATCCTATTTCATGATTGAGCAGTTTTGGAACACTCTTTTTGTAGAATCTGCAAGTGAATATTTGGAGCTCTTTGGGGCCTACTGTGGAAAAACAAATATCTTCACATAAAAACTACACAGAAGCATTCTGAGAAACTACTTTGTGATGTGTGCATTCATCCCACAGAGTAGAACCTTTCTTTTGATTGAGCAGTTTCGAAACACTCTTTTGGTGGAATCTGCAAGTGGACATTTGGAAAGCTTTGAGGCCTATTGTGGAAAGGGAAATATCTTCAAATAAAAACCACCCAGAAGTACTCTGTGAAACTTCTTTGCGATGTATGCATTCAACTCACAGTGTTGAACCTATGTTTTGATTGAGCAGTTTGGAATCTCTCTTTCTGTAGAATCTGCAAGTGAATATTTGGAGCCCTATTTCGCCTTATACTGGAAAAGCAATTATCTTCAAATAAAAACTGCACAGAAGCATTCAGAGAAACTTCTTTGTGATGAATGCATTCATCCCACAGAGTTGAACCTTTGTTTTGATTTAGCAGTTTTGAGACAATCTTTCCGTAGAATCTTGAAGTGAATATTTGGACGGCTTGGAGTTCTGTTTTAGAGAAGAAGATATCTTCATCAAAAACTACACAGAAGCTTTCTGAGAAACTTCTTTGTGATGTGTGCATTCAACTATCGGTGTTGAACCTATCTTATGATTGAGCAGTTTGGAAACAGGCTTTGTAGAGTCTGCAAGTGGATATTTACAGAGATTTGAGGCCTATTGTGGAAAAGGAAATATCTTCACTTAAAAACTAAACAGAACATTTCTGAGAAACTTCTGTGGGAAGTGTGCATTCAACTAACAGTGTTGAAACTATCTTTTGATTGGGCAGCTTAGAATCTCTCTTTTTGTAGAAAATGCAAGTGGATATTTGGAGCCCCATTTCGCCCTATTGTGGGAAACGAAACATATTCACAAAAGAGCTACACAGAAGCATTCTGAGAAACTTCTTTCCGACGTTTGCATTCAACTCACAGAGTCGAATCTATCTTTTGATAGAGCAGTTTTGTATCTCTCTTTTTGCAGAATCTGCAAGTGGATATTTGGAAAGCTTTGAGGCCTATTGTGGAAAGGGAAATATCCTCAAATTAAAACTACCCAGAAGCACTCTGTGAAACTTCTTTGCGATGTGTGCATTCAACTCACATTGCTGAACCTATGTTTTGATTGAGCGGTTTGGAATCTCTCCTTTCGTAGAATCTGCAAGTGAATATTTGGAGCCCTGTTTCGCCCTATACTGGAAAGGCAAATATCGTCAAATAAAAACTACACAGAGGCATTCAGAGAAACTTCTCTGTGATGAGTGCATTCATCACACAGAAGTTGAACATTTGTTTAGATTTAGCAGTGTTGAGACAATCTTTCCGTAGAATCTTGAAGTGAATATTTGGAGGGCTTTGAGACCTGCTTTGGAGAAGGAGATATCTTCATATAAAAACTACACAGAAGCTTTCTGAGAAACACCCTTGTGAGGTGTGCATTGAAGTCACAGAGTTAAACCTATCTTTTGATTCAGCAGATTTGAATCTCTCTTTTTGCAGAATCTGCGAGTGGATATTTGGAGTGCTTTGAAGCCTACTGTGGAAATTCAAATATCTTCACAAAAAAAACTACACAGAAGCATTCTGAGAAACTTCTTTGTGATGTGTGCATTGATCTCACAGAGTTGAAAGTTTATTTGGATTGAGCTGTTTTGAAACACTCTTTTTCTAGAATCTGCAAGTGGATAATTGGGGAGATTTGAGGCATATTGTGGAAAAGCAAATATCTTCATATAGAAACTATACAGAAAACCTTCTGAGAAACATCTTTGTGATGTGTGCATTCAGCTCACAGAGCTGGACCTAACTTTTGAGTGACCAGTTTTGAATCTCTCTTTTTGTACAATATGCAAGTGGATATTTGGAGCGATTTGAGGCCTACATTTGAAAATCAAATATCTTCCCTTAAAAACTACACAGAAACATTCTCAGAAATTGTTTGTCATGTGTGCTTTCCAATTACCAAGTTGAACCTATCTTGTGATTGAGCAGTTTTGAATCTCTCTTTTTGTGGAATCGGCAAGTGGATATTTTTAGCCCTTTGCGGACTGTGGTGGAAAAGGAATTATCTTCAAATCAATTCTACACAGAAGCATTCAGACAAACTTCTTTGTGATGAGTGCATTGGTCACACAGAATTGAACCTTCCCTTTGATTGAGCAATTCTGAAACACTCTTTTGGAGGGTCTGCAAGTGGACATTTTAGAGCTTTGGGACAACTGTGGAAAAGTAAATATCTTCACATAAAAACTACACGGAAGCATTCTGAGAAACTTCTTTGGAGGTGTGCATTCAACTCACAGAGTTGAACCTATCTTTTCATTGAGCAGTTTTGAATCTCTCATTTTGTAGACTCTGCTCGCAGATATTTGGAGAGCTTTGAGGCCTGTTGTGGAAAAGGAAATATCTTCACATAAAAACACACAGAAGCACTCTGAGAAACTTCTTTGTGAGGTGTGCTTTCAACTCACAGAGTTGAACCTATCTTTTGATTGAGAAGTTTTGAATCTCTCTTTTTGTAGAAGCTGCATGTGGATATTTGGAGACGTTTGTGGCCTATGGTAGAAAAGGAAATATCTTCAAATAAAAACTAGACAGGCGCATTTTGAGAAAATTCTCTGTGCTGTGTGCATTCATATCACATGGTTGAAACTACCTTTGGATTGAGCAGTTTTGAATCTCACTTTTTGTACCATCTGCAATGGATATCTGGAGCCCTTTCTGGTCTGTGGTGGAAGAGGAACTATCCTCAAGTAGAAACTACACAGAAGTACTCTGAGAAACTTCTTTGTGATGTGTGCATTCATCTCACAGAGTTGAACCTTTGGTTTGATTGAGCAGTTTTGAGACAATCTTTCCATAGAATCTGGAAGTGAATATTTGGAGAACTTTGAGATCCATTTTGGAGAAGGAGATATCTTTATATAAAAACTACACAGAAGCATTCTGAGAAACATCCTTGTGAGGTGTGCACTGAAGTCACAGAGTTGAAACTGTCTTTTGATTCAGCAGTTTTGAATCTCTCTTTTTGCAGAATCTGTGAGTGGATATTTGGAGCGCTTTGAGGCCTACTGTGGAAAACCAAATATCTTCACATAAAAACTACACAGAAGCATCCTGAGAAACTTTTTTTGTGATGTGGTCTTTCAGCTAATGGAGTAGAAACTATCTTTTGATTGAGCAGTTTTGAATCTCTCTTTTTGCAGAATCTACGAGTGGATAATTGGAGAACTTTGAGGCGTACTGTGGAAAATCGAATATCTTCGCATAAAAACTACACAGAAGCATTCTGAGAAACTTCTCTGTCATACGTACATTCATCTCACAGGGTTGATCCTATTTCATGATTGAGCAGTTTTGGAACACTCTTTTTGTAGAATCTGCAAGTGAATATTTGGAGCTCTTTGGGGCCTACTGTGGAAAAACAACTATCTTCACATAAAAACTGCACAGAAGCATTCTGAGAAACTACTTTGTGATGTGTGCATTCATCCCACAGAGTAGAACCTTTCTTTTGATTGAGCAGTTTCGAAACACTCTTTTGGTGGAATCTGCAAGTGGACATTTGGAAAGCTTTGAGGCCTATTGTGGAAAGGGAAATATCTTCAAATAAAAACCACCCAGAAGTACTCTGTGAAACTTCTTTGCGATGTATGCATTCAACTCACAGTGTTGAACCTATGTTTTGATTGAGCAGTTTGGAATCTCTCTTTCTGTAGAATCTGCAAGTGAATATTTGGAGCCCTATTTCGCCCTATACTGGAAAAGCAATTATCTTCAAATAAAAACTGCACAGAAGCACTCAGAGAAACTTCTTTGTGATGAATGCATTCATCACACAGAGTTGAACCTTTGTTTTGATTTAGCAGTTTGAGACAATCTTTCCGTAGAATCTTGAAGTGAATATTTGGAGGGCTTGGAGGTCTGTTTTAGAGAAGGAGATATCTTCATCAAAAACTGCACAGAAGCTTTCCGAGAAGCTTCTTTGTGATGTGTGCATTCAACTATCGGAGTTGAACCTATCTTATGATTGAGGAGTTTGGAAACACTCTTTGTAGAGTCTGCAAGTGGATATTTACAGAGATTTGAGGCCTATTGTGGAAAAGGAAGTATCTTCACATAAAAACCACACAGAAGCACTCTGAAAAACATCTTTGGGATGTGTGCATTCAACTAACCGTGTTGAAACAATGTTTTGATTGAGCAGCTTAGAATCTCTCTTTTTGTAGGAAATGCAAGTGGATATTTGGAGCCCCATTTCGCCCTATGGTGGAAAACGAAACATACTCACAAAAAAGCTGCAGAGAAGCATTCTGAGAAACTTCTTTGCGATGTTGGCATTCAACTCACAGAGTCGAATCTATCTTTTGATAGAGCAGTTTTGTATCTCTCTTTTTGCAGAATCTGCAAGTGGATATTTGGAAAGCTTTGAGGCCTATTGTGGAAAGGGAAATATCCTCAAATAAAAACTACCCAGAAGCACTCTGTGAAACTTCTTTGTGATGTGTGCATTCAACTCACAGTGTTGAACCTATGTTTTGATTGAGCAGTTTGGAATCTCTCCTTTTGTAGAATCTGCAAGTGAATATTTGGAGCCCTATTTCGCCCTATACTGGAAAAGCAAATATCTTCAAATAAAAACTACACAGAGGCATTCAGAGAAACTTCTCTGTGATGAGTGCATTCATCACACAGAGTTGAACATTTGTTTAGATTTAGCAGTGTTGAGACAATCTTTCCGTAGAATCTTGAAGTGAATATTTGGAGGGCTTTGAGACCTGCTTTGGAGAAGGAGATATCTTCATATAAAAACTACACAGAAGCTTTCTGAGAAACACCCTTGTGAGGTGTGCATTGAAGTCACAGAGTTAAACCTATCTTTTGATTCAGCAGATTTGAATCTCTCTTTTTGCAGAATCTGCGAGTGGATATTTGGAGTGCTTGGAAGCCTGCTGTGGAAAATCAAATATCTTCACAAAAAAAACTACACAGAAGCATTCTGAGAAACTTCTTTGTGATGTGTGCATTGATCTCACAGAGTTGAAAGTTTATTTTGATTGAGCTGTTTTGAAACACTCTTTTTCTAGAATCTGCAAGTGGATAATTGGGGAGATTTGAGGCATATTGTGGAAAAGCAAATATCTTCATATAAAAACTATACAGAAACCTTCTGAGAAACATCTTTGTGATGTGTGCATTCAGCTCACAGAGCTGGACCTAACTTTCGAGTGACCAGTTTTGAATCTCTCTTTTTGTACAATATGCAAGTGGATATTTGGAGCGATTTGAGGCCTACATTTGAAAATCAAATATCTTCCCTTAAAAACTACACAGAAACATTCTCAGAAATTGTTTGTCATGTGTGCTTTCCAATTACCAAGTTGAACCTATCTTGTGATTGAGCAGTTTTGAATCTCTCTTTTTGTGGAATCGGCAAGTGGATATTTTTAGCCCTTTGCGGACTGTGGTGGAAAAGGAATTATCTTCAAATCAATTCTACACAGAAGCATTCAGACAAACTTCTTTGTGATGAGTGCATTGGTCACACAGAATTGAACCTTCCCTTTGATTGAGCAATTCTGAAACACTCTTTTGGAGGGTCTGCAAGTGGATATTTTAGAGCTTTGGGACAACTGTGGAAAAGTAAATATCTTCACATAAAAACTACACGGAAGCATTCTGAGAAACTTCTTTGGAGGTGTGCATTCAACTCACAGAGTTGAACCTATCTTTTCATTGAGCAGTTTTGAATCTCTCATTTTGTAGACTCTGCTCGCAGATATTTGGAGAGCTTTGAGGCCTATTGTGGAAAAGGAAATATCTTCACATAAAAACACACAGAAGCACTCTGAGAAACTTCTTTGTGAGGTGTGCTTTCAACTCACAGAGTTGAACCTATCTTTTGATTGAGAAGTTTTGAATCTCTCTTTTTGTAGAAGCTGCATGTGGATATTTGGAGACGTTTGTGGCCTATGGTAGAAAAGGAAATATCTTCAAATAAAAACTAGACAGACGCATTTTGAGAAAATTCTCTGTGCTGTTTGCATTCATATCACATGGTTGAAACTACCTTTGGATTGAGCAGTTTTGAATCTCACTTTTTGTACCATCTGCAATGGATATTTGGAGCCCTTTCTGGTCTGTGGTGGAAAAGGAACTATCCTCAAATAGAAACTACACAGAAGTATTCTGAGAAACTTCTTCGTGATGTGTGCATTCTTCTCACAGAGTTGAACCTTTGTTTTGCTTGAGCAGTTTTGAGACCATCTTTCCATAGGATCTGGAAGTGAATATTTGGAGGGCTTTGAGATCTATTTTGGAGAAGGAGATATCTTCATATAAAAACTACAGAGAAGCATTCTGAGAAACATCTTTGTGAGGTGTGCACTGAAGTCACAGAGTTCAAACTATCTTTTGATTCAGCAATTTTGAATCTCTCTTTTTGCAGAATCTGTGAGTGGATATTCGGAGCGCTTTGTGGCCTACTGTGGAAAACCAAATATCTTCACATAAAAACTACACAGAAGCATCCTGAGAAACTTCTTGGTGATGTGGTCTTTCAACTAATAGAGTTGAACCTATCTTTTGATTGAGCAGTTTTGAATCTCTCTTTTTGCATAATCTGCAAGTGGATATTTGGAGAACTTTGAGGCCTACTGTGGAAAATCAAATATCTTCCCATAAAAACTACACAGAAGCATTCTGAGAAACCTCTTTGTCATACATACATTCATCTCACAGGGTTGATCCTATTTTATGATTGAGCACTTTTGAAACACTCTTTTTGTAGAATCTGCAAGTGAATATTTGGAGCTTATTGGGGGCTACTGTGGAAAAACCAATATCTTCACATAAAAACTACACAGAAGCATTCTGAGAAACTGCTTTGTGATGTGTGCATTCATCTCACAGAGTAGAACCTTTCTTTTGATTGAGCAGTTCTGAAACACTCTTTTTGTAGAATCTGCAAGTGGATATTTGGAAAGTTTTGAGGCCTATTGTGGAAAGGGAAATATCTTCAAATAAAAACTACCCAGAAGCACTCTGTGAAACTTCTTTGTGATGTGTGCATTCAACTAACAGTGTTGAACCTATCTTTTGATTGAGCAGTTTGGAATCTCTCTTTTTGTAGAATCTGCAAGTGAATATTTGGAGCCCTATTTCGCCCTATAGTGGAAAAGCAAATATCTTCAAATAAAACTACACAGAAGCATTCAGAGAAACTTCTTTGTGATGAATGCATTCATCACACAGATTTGAAACTTTATTTTGATTTAGCAGTTTTGAGACAATCTTTCCGTAGAATCTTGAAGTGAATATTTGGAGGGCTTCGAGTTCTGTTTTGGAGAAGGAGATATCTTCATATAAAAACTACACAGAAGCATTCTGAGAAACTACTTTGTGATGTGTGCATTCATCCCACAGCAGTAGAACCTTTCTTTTGATTGAGCAGTTTCGAAACACTCTTTTGGTGGAATCTGCAAGTGGACATTTGGAAAGCTTTGAGGCCTATTGTGGAAAGGGAAATATCTTCAAATAAAAACCACCCAGAAGCACTCTGAGAAACTTCTTTGTGAGGTGTGCTTTCAACTCACAGAGTTGAACCTATCTTTTGATTGAGAAGTTTTGAATCTCTCTTTTTGTAGAAGCTGCATGTGGATATTTGGAGACGTTTGTGGCCTATGGTAGAAAAGGAAATATCTTCAAATAAAAACTAGACAGACGCATTTTGAGAAAATTCTCTGTGCTGTGTGCATTCATATCACATGGTTGAAACTACCTTTGGATTGAGCAGTTTTGAATCTCACTTTTTGTACCATCTGCAATGGATATTTGGAGCCCTTTCTGGTCCTGTGGTGGAAAAGGAACTATCCTCAAATAGAAACTACACAGAAGTACTGCTGAGAAACTTCTTTGTGATGTGGGCATTCATCTCACAGAGTTGAACCTTTGGTTTGATTGAGCAGTTTTGAGACAATCTTTCCATAGAATCTGGAAGTGAATATTTGGAGAACTTTGAGATCCATTTTGGAGAAGGAGATATCTTTATATGAAAACTACACAGAAGCATTCTGAGAAACATCCTTGTGAGGTGTGCACTGAAGTCACAGAGTTGAAACTGTCTTTTGATTCAGCAGTTTTGAATCTCTCTTTTTGCAGAATCTGTGAGTGGATATTTGGAGCGCTTTGAGGCCTACTGTGGAAAACCAAATATCTTCACATAAAAACTACACAGAAGCATCCTGAGAAACTTTTTTTGTGATGTGGTCTTTCAGCTAATGGAGTAGAAACTATCTTTTGATTGAGCAGTTTTGAATCTCTCTTTTTGCAGAATCTACGAGTGGATAATTGGAGAACTTTGAGGCGTACTGTGGAAAATCGAATATCTTCGCATAAAAACTACACAGAAGCATTCTGAGAAACTTCTCTGTCATACGTACATTCATCTCACAGGGTTGATCCTATTTCATGATTGAGCAGTTCTGGAACACTCTTTTTGTAGAATCTGCAAGTGAATATTTGGAGCTCTTTGGGGCCTACTGTGGAAAAACAAATATCTTCACATAAAAACTACACAGAAGCATTCTGAGAAACTACTTTGTGATGTGTGCATTCATCCCACAGAGTAGAACCTTTCATTTGATTGAGCAGTTTCGAAACACTCTTTTGGTGGAATCTGCAAGTGGACATTTGGAAAGCTTTGAGGCCTATTGTGGAAAGGGAAATATCTTCAAATAAAAACCACCCAGAAGTACTCTGTGAAACTTCTTTGCGATGTATGCATTCAACTCACAGTGTTGAACCTATGTTTTGATTGAGCAGTTTGGAATCTCTCTTTCTGTAGAATCTGCAAGTGAATATTTGGAGCCCTATTTCGCCCTATACTGGAAAAGCAATTATCTTCAAATAAAAACTGCACAGAAGCACTCAGAGAAACTTCTTTGTGATGAATGCATTCATCACACAGAGTTGAACCTTTGTTTTGATTTAGCAGTTTGAGACAATCTTTCCGTAGAATCTTGAAGTGAATATTTGGAGGGCTTGGAGTTCTGTTTTAGAGAAGGAGATATCTTCATCAAAAACTACACAGAAGCTTTCTGAGAAACTTCTTTGTGATGTGTGCATTCAGCTATCGGAGTTGAACCTATCTTATGATTGAGCAGTTTGGAAACACTCTTTGTAGAGTCTGCAAGTGGATATTTACAGAGATTTGAGGCCTATTGTGGAAAAGGAAGTATCTTCACATAAAAACCACACAGAAGCACTCTGAAAAACATCTTTGGGATGTGTGCATTCAACTAACCGTGTTGAAACAATGTTTTGATTGAGCAGCTTAGAATCTCTCTTTTTGTAGGAAATGCAAGTGGATATTTGGAGCCCCATTTCGCCCTATGGTGGAAAACGAAACATACTCACAAAAAAGCTGCAGAGAAGCATTCTGAGAAACTTCTTTGCGATGTTGGCATTCAACTCACAGAGTCGAATCTATCTTTTGATAGAGCAGTTTTGTATCTCTCTTTTTGCAGAATCTGCAAGTGGATATTTGGAAAGCTTTGAGGCCTATTGTGGAAAGGGAAATATCCTCAAATAAAAACTACCCAGAAGCACTCTGTGAAACTTCTTTGTGATGTGTGCATTCAACTCACAGTGTTGAACCTATGTTTTGATTGAGCAGTTTGGAATCTCTCCTTTTGTAGAATCTGCAAGTGAATATTTGGAGCCCTATTTCGCCCTATACTGGAAAAGCAAATATCTTCAAATAAAAACTACACAGAGGCATTCAGAGAAACTTCTCTGTGATGAGTGCATTCATCACACAGAGTTGAACATTTGTTTAGATTTAGCAGTGTTGAGACAATCTTTCCGTAGAATCTTGAAGTGAATATTTGGAGGGCTTTGAGACCTGCTTTGGAGAAGGAGATATCTTCATATAAAAACTACACAGAAGCTTTCTGAGAAACACCCTTGTGAGGTGTGCATTGAAGTCACAGAGTTAAACCTATCTTTTGATTCAGCAGATTTGAATCTCTCTTTTTGCAGAATCTGCGAGTGGATATTTGGAGTGCTTGGAAGCCTGCTGTGGAAAATCAAATATCTTCACAAAAAAAACTACACAGAAGCATTCTGAGAAACTTCTTTGTGATGTGTGCATTGATCTCACAGAGTTGAAAGTTTATTTTGATTGAGCTGTTTTGAAACACTCTTTTTCTAGAATCTGCAAGTGGATAATTGGGGAGATTTGAGGCATATTGTGGAAAAGCCAATATCTTCATATAGAAACTATACAGAAACCTTCTGAGAAACATCTTTGTGATGTGTGCATTCAGCTCACAGAGCTGGACCTAACTTTTGAGTGACCAGTTTTGAATCTCTCTTTTTGTACAATATGCAAGTGGATATTTGGAGCGATTTGAGGCCTACATTTGAAAATCAAATATCTTCCCTTAAAAACTACACAGAAACATTCTCAGAAATTGTTTGTCATGTGTGCTTTCCAATTACCAAGTTGAACCTATCTTGTGATTGAGCAGTTTTGAATCTCTCTTTTTGTGGAATCGGCAAGTGGATATTTTTAGCCCTTTGCGGACTGTGGTGGAAAAGGAATTATCTTCAAATCAATTCTACACAGAAGCATTCAGACAAACTTCTTTGTGATGAGTGCATTGGTCACACAGAAATTGAACCTTCCCTTTGATTGAGCAATTCTGAAACACTCTTTTGGAGGGTCTGCAAGTGGACATTTTAGAGCTTTGGGACAACTGTGGAAAAGTAAATATCTTCACATAAAAACTGCACGGAAGCATTCTGAGAAACTTCTTTGGAGGTGTGCATTCAACTCACAGAGTTGAACCTATCTTTTCATTGAGCAGTTTTGAATCTCTCATTTTGTAGACTCTGCTCGCAGATATTTGGAGAGCTTTGAGGCCTATTGTGGAAAAGGAAATATCTTCACATAAAAACACACAGAAGCACTCTGAGAAACTTCTTTGTGAGGTGTGCTTTCAACTCACAGAGTTGAACCTATCTTTTGATTGAGAAGTTTTGAATCTCTCTTTTTGTAGAAGCTGCATGTGGATATTTGGAGACGTTTGTGGCCTATGGTAGAAAAGGAAATATCTTCAAATAAAAACTAGACAGACGCATTTTGAGAAAATTCTCTGTGCTGTGTGCATTCATATCACATGGTTGAAACTACCTTTGGATTGAGCAGTTTTGAATCTCACTTTTTGTACCATCTGCAATGGATATTTGGAGCCCTTTCTGGTCTGTGGTGGAAAAGGAACTATCCTCAAATAGAAACTACACAGAAGTACTCTGAGAAACTTCTTTGTGATGTGTGCATTCATCTCACAGAGTTGAACCTTTGGTTTGATTGAGCAGTTTTGAGACAATCTTTCCATAGAATCTGGAAGTGAATATTTGGAGAACTTTGAGATCCATTTTGGAGAAGGAGATATCTTTATATAAAAACTACACAGAAGCATTCTGAGAAACATCCTTGTGAGGTGTGCACTGAAGTCACAGAGTTGAAACTGTCTTTTGATTCAGCAGTTTTGAATCTCTCTTTTTGCAGAATCTGTGAGTGGATATTTGGAGCGCTTTGAGGCCTACTGTGGAAAACCAAATATCTTCACATAAAAACTACACAGAAGCATCCTGAGAAACTTTTTTTGTGATGTGGTCTTTCAGCTAATGGAGTAGAAACTATCTTTTGATTGAGCAGTTTTGAATCTCTCTTTTTGCAGGATCTACGAGTGGATAATTGGAGAACTTTGAGGCGTACTGTGGAAAATCGAATATCTTCGCATAAAAACTACACAGAAGCATTCTGAGAAACTTCTCTGTCATACGTACATTCATCTCACAGGGTTGATCCTATTTCATGATTGAGCAGTTTTGGAACACTCTTTTTGTAGAATCTGCAAGTGAATATTTGGAGCTCTTTGGGGCCTACTGTGGAAAAACAAATATCTTCACATAAAAACTACACAGAAGCATTCTGAGAAACTACTTTGTGATGTGTGCATTCATCCCACAGAGTAGAACCTTTCTTTTGATTGAGCAGTTTCGAAACACTCTTTTGGTGGAATCTGCAAGTGGACATTTGGAAAGCTTTGAGGCCTATTGTGGAAAGGGAAATATCTTCAAATAAAAACCACCCAGAAGTACTCTGTGAAACTTCTTTGCGATGTATGCATTCAACTCACAGTGTTGAACCTATGTTTTGATTGAGCAGTTTGGAATCTCTCTTTCTGTAGAATCTGCAAGTGAATATTTGGAGCCCTATTTCGCCCTATACTGGAAAAGCAATTATCTTCAAATAAAAACTGCACAGAAGCATTCAGAGAAACTTCTTTGAGATGAATGCATTCATGACACAGAGTTGAAACTTTGTTTTGATTTAGGAGTTTTGAGACAATCTTTCCGTAGAATCTTGAAGTGAATATTTGGAGGGCTTGGAGTTCTGTTTTAGAGAAGGAGATATCTTCATCAAAAACTACACAGAAGCTTTCTGAGAAACTTCTTTGTGATGTGTGCATTCAACTATCGGAGTTGAACCTATCTTATGATTGAGCAGTTTGGAAACACTCTTTGTAGAGTCTGCAAGTGGATATTTACAGAGATTTGAGGCCTATTGTGGAAAAGGAAGTATCTTCACATAAAAACCACACAGAAGCACTCTGAAAAACATCTTTGGGATGTGTGCATTCAACTAACCGTGTTGAAACAATGTTTTGATTGAGCAGCTTAGAATCTCTCTTTTTGTAGGAAATGCAAGTGGATATTTGGAGCCCCATTTCGCCCTATGGTGGAAAACGAAACATACTCACAAAAAAGCTGCAGAGAAGCATTCTGAGAAACTTCTTTGCGATGTTGGCATTCAACTCACAGAGTCGAATCTATCTTTTGATAGAGCAGTTTTGTATCTCTCTTTTTGCAGAATCTGCAAGTGGATATTTGGAAAGCTTTGAGGCCTATTGTGGAAAGGGAAATATCCTCAAATAAAAACTACCCAGAAGCACTCTGTGAAACTTCTTTGTGATGTGTGCATTCAACTCACAGTGTTGAACCTATGTTTTGATTGAGCAGTTTGGAATCTCTCCTTTTGTAGAATCTGCAAGTGAATATTTGGAGCCCTATTTCGCCCTATACTGGAAAAGCAAATATCTTCAAATAAAAACTACACAGAGGCATTCAGAGAAACTTCTCTGTGATGAGTGCATTCATCACACAGAGTTGAACATTTGTTTAGATTTAGCAGTGTTGAGACAATCTTTCCGTAGAATCTTGAAGTGAATATTTGGAGGGCTTTGAGACCTGCTTTGGAGAAGGAGATATCTTCATATAAAAACTACACAGAAGCTTTCTGAGAAACACCCTTGTGAGGTGTGCATTGAAGTCACAGAGTTAAACCTATCTTTTGATTCAGCAGATTTGAATCTCTCTTTTTGCAGAATCTGCGAGTGGATATTTGGAGTGCTTGGAAGCCTGCTGTGGAAAATCAAATATCTTCACAAAAAAAACTACACAGAAGCATTCTGAGAAACTTCTTTGTGATGTGTGCATTGATCTCACAGAGTTGAAAGTTTATTTTGATTGAGCTGTTTTGAAACACTCTTTTTCTAGAATCTGCAAATGGATAATTGGGGAGATTTGAGGCATATTGTGGAAAAGCAAATATCTTCATATAAAAACTATACAGAAACCTTCTGAGAAACATCTTTGTGATGTGTGCATTCAGCTCACAGAGCTGGACCTAACTTTTGAGTGACCAGTTTTGAATCTCTCTTTTTGTACAATATGCAAGTGGATATTTGGAGCGATTTGAGGCCTACATTTGAAAATCAAATATCTTCCCTTAAAAACTACACAGAAACATTCTCAGAAATTGTTTGTCATGTGTGCTTTCCAATTACCAAGTTGAACCTATCTTGTGATTGAGCAGTTTTGAATCTCTCTTTTTGTGGAATCGGCAAGTGGATATTTTTAGCCCTTTGCGGACTGTGGTGGAAAAGGAATTATCTTCAAATCAATTCTACACAGAAGCATTCAGACAAACTTCTTTGTGATGAGTGCATTGGTCACACAGAATTGAACCTTCCCTTTGATTGAGCAATTCTGAAACACTCTTTTGGAGGGTCTGCAAGTGGACATTTTAGAGCTTTGGGACAACTGTGGAAAAGTAAATATCTTCACATAAAAACTACACGGAAGCATTCTGAGAAACTTCTTTGGAGGTGTGCATTCAACTCACAGAGTTGAACCTATCTTTTCATTGAGCAGTTTTGAATCTCTCATTTTGTAGACTCTGCTCGCAGATATTTGGAGAGCTTTGAGGCCTATTGTGGAAAAGGAAATATCTTCACATAAAAACACACAGAAGCACTCTGAGAAACTTCTCTGTGAGGTGTGCTTTCAACTCACAGAGTTGAACCTATCTTTTGATTGAGAAGTTTTGAATCTCTCTTTTTGTAGAAGCTGCATGTGGATATTTGGAGACGTTTGTGGCCTATGGTAGAAAAGGAAATATCTTCAAATAAAAACTAGACAGACGCATTTTGAGAAAATTCTCTGTGCTGTGTGCATTCATATCACATGGTTGAAACTACCTTTGGATTGAGCAGTTTTGAATCTCACTTTTTGTACCATCTGCAATGGATATTTGGAGCCCTTTCTGGTCTGTGGTGGAAAAGGAACTATCCTCAAATAGAAACTACACAGAAGTACTCTGAGAAACTTCTTTGTGATGTGGGCATTCATCTCACAGAGTTGAACCTTTGGTTTGATTGAGCAGTTTTGAGACAATCTTTCCATAGAATCTGGAAGTGAATATTTGGAGAACTTTGAGATCCATTTTGGAGAAGGAGATACCTTTATATGAAAACTACACAGAAGCATTCTGAGAAACATCCTTGTGAGGTGTGCACTGAAGTCACAGAGTTGAAACTGTCTTTTGATTCAGCAGTTTTGAATCTCTCTTTTTGCAGAATCTGTGAGTGGATATTTGGAGCGCTTTGAGGCCTACTGTGGAAAACCAAATATCTTCACATAAAAACTACACAGAAGCATCCTGAGAAACTTTTTTTGTGATGTGGTCTTTCAGCTAATGGAGTAGAAACTATCTTTTGATTGAGCAGTTTTGAATCTCTCTTTTTGCAGGATCTACGAGTGGATAATTGGAGAACTTTGAGGCGTACTGTGGAAAGTCGAATATCTTCGCATAAAAACTACACAGAAGCATTCTGAGAAACTTCTCTGTCATACGTACATTCATCTCACAGGGTTGATCCTATTTCATGATGGAGCAGTTTTGGAACACTCTTTTTGTAGAATCTGCAAGTGAATATTTGGAGCTCTTTGGGGCCTACTGTGGAAAAACAAATATCTTCACATAAAAACTACACAGAAGCATTCTGAGAAACTACTTTGTGATGTGTGCATTCATCCCACAGAGTAGAACCTTTCTTTTGATTGAGCAGTTTCGAAACACTCTTTTGGTGGAATCTGCAAGTGGACATTTGGAAAGCTTTGAGGCCTATTGTGGAAAGGGAAATATCTTCAAATAAAAACCACCCAGAAGTACTCTGTGAAACTTCTTTGCGATGTATGCATTCAACTCACAGTGTTGAACCTATGTTTTGATTGAGCAGTTTGGAATCTCTCTTTCTGTAGAATCTGCAAGTGAATATTTGGAGCCCTATTTCGCCCTATACTGGAAAAGCAATTATCTTCAAATAAAAACTGCACAGAAGCACTCAGAGAAACTTCTTTGTGATGAATGCATTCATCACACAGAGTTGAACCTTTGTTTTGATTTAGCAGTTTGAGACAATCTTTCCGTAGAATCTTGAAGTGAATATTTGGAGGGCTTGGAGTTCTGTTTTAGAGAAGAAGATATCTTCATCAAAAACTACACAGAAGCTTTCTGAGAAACTTCTTTGTGATGTGTGCATTCAACTATCGGAGTTGAACCTATCTTATGATTGAGCAGTTTGGAAACACTCTTTGTAGAGTCTGCAAGTGGATATTTACAGAGATTTGAGGCCTATTGTGGAAAAGGAAGTATCTTCACATAAAAACCACACAGAAGCACTCTGAAAAACATCTTTGGGATGTGTGCATTCAACTAACCGTGTTGAAACAATGTTTTGATTGAGCAGCTTAGAATCTCTCTTTTTGTAGGAAATGCAAGTGGATATTTGGAGCCCCATTTCGCCCTATGGTGGAAAACGAAACATACTCACAAAAAAGCTGCAGAGAAGCATTCTGAGAAACTTCTTTGCGATGTTGGCATTCAACTCACAGAGTCGAATCTATCTTTTGATAGAGCAGTTTTGTATCTCTCTTTTTGCAGAATCTGCAAGTGGATATTTGGAAAGCTTTGAGGCCTATTGTGGAAAGGGAAATATCCTCAAATAAAAACTACCCAGAAGCACTCTGTGAAACTTCTTTGTGATGTGTGCATTCAACTCACAGTGTTGAACCTATGTTTTGATTGAGCAGTTTGGAATCTCTCCTTTTGTAGAATCTGCAAGTGAATATTTGGAGCCCTATTTCGCCCTATACTGGAAAAGCAAATATCTTCAAATGAAAACTACACAGAGGCATTCAGAGAAACTTCTCTGTGATGAGTGCATTCATCACACAGAGTTGAACATTTGTTTAGATTTAGCAGTGTTGAGACAATCTTTCCGTAGAATCTTGAAGTGAATATTTGGAGGGCTTTGAGACCTGCTTTGGAGAAGGAGATATCTTCATATAAAAACTACACAGAAGCTTTCTGAGAAACACCCTTGTGAGGTGTGCATTGAAGTCACAGAGTTAAACCTATCTTTTGATTCAGCAGATTTGAATCTCTCTTTTTGCAGAATCTGCGAGTGGATATTTGGAGTGCTTGGAAGCCTGCTGTGGAAAATCAAATATCTTCACAAAAAAAACTACACAGAAGCATTCTGAGAAACTTCTTTGTGATGTGTGCATTGATCTCACAGAGTTGAAAGTTTATTTTGATTGAGCTGTTTTGAAACACTCTTTTTCTAGAATCTGCAAGTGGATAATTGGGGAGATTTGAGGCATATTGTGGAAAAGCAAATATCTTCATATAGAAACTATACAGAAACCTTCTGAGAAACATCTTTGTGATGTGTGCATTCAGCTCACAGAGCTGGACCTAACTTTTGAGTGACCAGTTTTGAATCTCTCTTTTTGTACAATATGCAAGTGGATATTTGGAGCGATTTGAGGCCTACATTTGAAAATCAAATATCTTCCCTTAAAAACTACACAGAAACATTCTCAGAAATTGTTTGTCATGTGTGCTTTCCAATTACCAAGTTGAACCTATCTTGTGATTGAGCAGTTTTGAATCTCTCTTTTTGTGGAATCGGCAAGTGGATATTTTTAGCCCTTTGCGGACTGTGGTGGAAAAGGAATTATCTTCAAATCAATTCTACACAGAAGCATTCAGACAAACTTCTTTGTGATGAGTGCATTGGTCACACAGAATTGAACCTTCCCTTTGATTGAGCAATTCTGAAACACTCTTTTGGAGGGTCTGCAAGTGGACATTTTAGAGCTTTGGGACAACTGTGGAAAAGTAAATATCTTCACATAAAAACTACACGGAAGCATTCTGAGAAACTTCTTTGGAGGTGTGCATTCAACTCACAGAGTTGAACCTATCTTTTCATTGAGCAGTTTTGAATCTCTCATTTTGTAGACTCTGCTCGCAGATATTTGGAGAGCTTTGAGGCCTATTGTGGAAAAGGAAATATCTTCACATAAAAACACACAGAAGCACTCTGAGAAACTTCTCTGTGAGGTGTGCTTTCAACTCACAGAGTTGAACCTATCTTTTGATTGAGAAGTTTTGAATCTCTCTTTTTGTAGAAGCTGCATGTGGATATTTGGAGACGTTTGTGGCCTATGGTAGAAAAGGAAATATCTTCAAATAAAAACTAGACAGACGCATTTTGAGAAAATTCTCTGTGCTGTGTGCATTCATATCACATGGTTGAAACTACCTTTGGATTGAGCAGTTTTGAATCTCACTTTTTGTACCATCTGCAATGGATATTTGGAGCCCTTTCTGGTCTGTGGTGGAAAAGGAACTATCCTCAAATAGAAACTACACAGAAGTACTCTGAGAAACTTCTTTGTGATGTGGGCATTCATCTCACAGAGTTGAAACTTTGGTTTGATTGAGCAGTTTTGAGACAATCTTTCCATAGAATCTGGAAGTGAATATTTGGAGAACTTTGAGATCCATTTTGGAGAAGGAGATATCTTTATATAAAAACTACACAGAAGCATTCTGAGAAACATCCTTGTGAGGTGTGCACTGAAGTCACAGAGTTGAAACTGTCTTTTGATTCAGCAGTTTTGAATCTCTCTTTTTGCAGAATCTGTGAGTGGATATTTGGAGCGCTTTGAGGCCTACTGTGGAAAACCAAATATCTTCACATAAAAACTACACAGAAGCATCCTGAGAAACTTTTTTTGTGATGTGGTCTTTCAGCTAATGGAGTAGAAACTATCTTTTGATTGAGCAGTTTTGAATCTCTCTTTTTGCAGAATCTACGAGTGGATAATTGGAGAACTTTGAGGCGTACTGTGGAAAATCGAATATCTTCGCATAAAAACTACACAGAAGCATTCTGAGAAACTTCTCTGTCATACGTACATTCATCTCACAGGGTTGATCCTATTTCATGATTGAGCAGTTTTGGAACACTCTTTTTGTAGAATCTGCAAGTGAATATTTGGAGCTCTTTGGGGCCTACTGTGGAAAAACAAATATCTTCACATAAAAACTACACAGAAGCATTCTGAGAAACTACTTTGTGATGTGTGCATTCATCCCACAGAGTAGAACCTTTCTTTTGATTGAGCAGTTTCGAAACACTCTTTTGGTGGAATCTGCAAGTGGACATTTGGAAAGCTTTGAGGCCTATTGTGGAAAGGGAAATATCTTCAAATAAAAACCACCCAGAAGTACTCTGTGAAACTTCTTTGCGATGTATGCATTCAACTCACAGTGTTGAACCTATGTTTTGATTGAGCAGTTTGGAATCTCTCTTTCTGTAGAATCTGCAAGTGAATATTTGGAGCCCTATTTCGCCCTATACTGGAAAAGCAATTATCTTCAAATAAAAACTGCACAGAAGCACTCAGAGAAACTTCTTTGTGATGAATGCATTCATCACACAGAGTTGAACCTTTGTTTTGATTTAGCAGTTTGAGACAATCTTTCCGTAGAATCTTGAAGTGAATATTTGGAGGGCTTGGAGTTCTGTTTTAGAGAAGAAGATATCTTCATCAAAAACTACACAGAAGCTTTCTGAGAAACTTCTTTGTGATGTGTGCATTCAACTATCGGAGTTGAACCTATCTTATGATTGAGCAGTTTGGAA
Source organism: Homo sapiens (assembly GCF_000001405.40). NCBI lineage: Eukaryota > Metazoa > Chordata > Mammalia > Primates > Hominidae > Homo > Homo sapiens. The sequence goes on from NC_000015.10 coordinate 17,967,854, forward strand.
ACACTCTTTGTGGAGTCTGCAAGTGGATATTTACAGAGATTTGAGGCCTATTGTGGAAAAGGAAGTATCTTCACATAAAAACCACACAGAAGCACTCTGAAAAACATCTTTGGGATGTGTGCATTCAACTAACCGTGTTGAAACAATGTTTTGATTGAGCAGCTTAGAATCTCTCTTTTTGTAGGAAATGCAAGTGGATATTTGGAGCCCCATTTCGCCCTATGGTGGAAAACGAAACATACTCACAAAAAAGCTGCAGAGAAGCATTCTGAGAAACTTCTTTGCGATGTTGGCATTCAACTCACAGAGTCGAATCTATCTTTTGATAGAGCAGTTTTGTATCTCTCTTTTTGCAGAATCTGCAAGTGGATATTTGGAAAGCTTTGAGGCCTATTGTGGAAAGGGAAATATCCTCAAATAAAAACTACCCAGAAGCACTCTGTGAAACTTCTTTGTGATGTGTGCATTCAACTCACAGTGTTGAACCTATGTTTTGATTGAGCAGTTTGGAATCTCTCCTTTTGTAGAATCTGCAAGTGAATATTTGGAGCCCTATTTCGCCCTATACTGGAAAAGCAAATATCTTCAAATAAAAACTACACAGAGGCATTCAGAGAAACTTCTCTGTGATGAGTGCATTCATCACACAGAGTTGAACATTTGTTTAGATTTAGCAGTGTTGAGACAATCTTTCCGTAGAATCTTGAAGTGAATATTTGGAGGGCTTTGAGACCTGCTTTGGAGAAGGAGATATCTTCATATAAAAACTACACAGAAGCTTTCTGAGAAACACCCTTGTGAGGTGTGCATTGAAGTCACAGAGTTAAACCTATCTTTTGATTCAGCAGATTTGAATCTCTCTTTTTGCAGAATCTGCGAGTGGATATTTGGAGTGCTTGGAAGCCTGCTGTGGAAAATCAAATATCTTCACAAAAAAAACTACACAGAAGCATTCTGAGAAACTTCTTTGTGATGTGTGCATTGATCTCACAGAGTTGAAAGTTTATTTTGATTGAGCTGTTTTGAAACACTCTTTTTCTAGAATCTGCAAGTGGATAATTGGGGAGATTTGAGGCATATTGTGGGAAAGCAAATATCTTCATATAGAAACTATACAGAAACCTTCTGAGGAAACATCTTTGTGATGTGTGCATTCAGCTCACAGAGCTGGACCTAACTTTTGAGTGACCAGTTTTGAATCTCTCTTTTTGTACAATATGCAAGTGGATATTTGGAGCGATTTGAGGCCTACATTTGAAAATCAAATATCTTCCCTTAAAAACTACACAGAAACATTCTCAGAAATTGTTTGTCATGTGTGCTTTCCAATTACCAAGTTGAACCTATCTTGTGATTGAGCAGTTTTGAATCTCTCTTTTTGTGGAATCGGCAAGTGGATATTTTTAGCCCTTTGCGGACTGTGGTGGAAAAGGAATTATCTTCAAATCAATTCTACACAGAAGCATTCAGACAAACTTCTTTGTGATGAGTGCATTGGTCACACAGAATTGAACCTTCCCTTTGATTGAGCAATTCTGAAACACTCTTTTGGAGGGTCTGCAAGTGGATATTTTAGAGCTTTGGGACAACTGTGGAAAAGTAAATATCTTCACATAAAAACTACACGGAAGCATTCTGAGAAACTTCTTTGGAGGTGTGCATTCAACTCACAGAGTTGAACCTATCTTTTCATTGAGCAGTTTTGAATCTCTCATTTTGTAGACTCTGCTCGCAGATATTTGGAGAGCTTTGAGGCCTATTGTGGAAAAGGAAATATCTTCACATAAAAACACACAGAAGCACTCTGAGAAACTTCTTTGTGAGGTGTGCTTTCAACTCACAGAGTTGAACCTATCTTTTGATTGAGAAGTTTTGAATCTCTCTTTTTGTAGAAGCTGCATGTGGATATTTGGAGACGTTTGTGGCCTATGGTAGAAAAGGAAATATCTTCAAATAAAAACTAGACAGACGCATTTTGAGAAAATTCTCTGTGCTGTGTGCATTCATATCACATGGTTGAAACTACCTTTGGATTGAGCAGTTTTGAATCTCACTTTTTGTACCATCTGCAATGGATATTTGGAGCCCTTTCTGGTCTGTGGTGGAAAAGGAACTATCCTCAAATAGAAACTACACAGAAGTACTCTGAGAAACTTCTTTGTGATGTGGGCATTCATCTCACAGAGTTGAACCTTTGGTTTGATTGAGCAGTTTTGAGACAATCTTTCCATAGAATCTGGAAGTGAATATTTGGAGAACTTTGAGATCCATTTTGGAGAAGGAGATATCTTTATATGAAAACTACACAGAAGCATTCTGAGAAACATCCTTGTGAGGTGTGCACTGAAGTCACAGAGTTGAAACTGTCTTTTGATTCAGCAGTTTTGAATCTCTCTTTTTGCAGAATCTGTGAGTGGATATTTGGAGCGCTTTGAGGCCTACTGTGGAAAACCAAATATCTTCACATAAAAACTACACAGAAGCATCCTGAGAAACTTTTTTTGTGATGTGGTCTTTCAGCTAATGGAGTAGAAACTATCTTTTGATTGAGCAGTTTTGAATCTCTCTTTTTGAAGGATCTACGAGTGGATAATTGGAGAACTTTGAGGCGTACTGTGGAAAATCGAATATCTTCGCATAAAAACTACACAGAAGCATTCTGAGAAACTTCTCTGTCATACGTACATTCATCTCACAGGGTTGATCCTATTTCATGATTGAGCAGTTTTGGAACACTCTTTTTGTAGAATCTGCAAGTGAATATTTGGAGCTCTTTGGGGCCTACTGTGGAAAAACAAATATCTTCACATAAAAACTACACAGAAGCATTCTGAGAAACTACTTTGTGATGTGTGCATTCATCCCACAGAGTAGAACCTTTCTTTTGATTGAGCAGTTTCGAAACACTCTTTTGGTGGAATCTGCAAGTGGACATTTGGAAAGCTTTGAGGCCTATTGTGGAAAGGGAAATATCTTCAAATAAAAACCACCCAGAAGTACTCTGTGAAACTTCTTTGCGATGTATGCATTCAACTCACAGTGTTGAACCTATGTTTTGATTGAGCAGTTTGGAATCTCTCTTTCTGTAGAATCTGCAAGTGAATATTTGGAGCCCTATTTCGCCCTATACTGGAAAAGCAATTATCTTCAAATAAAAACTGCACAGAAGCACTCAGAGAAACTTCTTTGTGATGAATGCATTCATCACACAGAGTTGAACCTTTGTTTTGATTTAGCAGTTTGAGACAATCTTTCCGTAGAATCTTGAAGTGAATATTTGGAGGGCTTGGAGTTCTGTTTTAGAGAAGAAGATATCTTCATCAAAAACTACACAGAAGCTTTCTGAGAAACTTCTTTGTGATGTGTGCATTCAACTATCGGAGTTGAACCTATCTTATGATTGAGCAGTTTGGAAACACTCTTTGTGGAGTCTGCAAGTGGATATTTACAGAGATTTGAGGCCTATTGTGGAAAAGGAAGTATCTTCACATAAAAACCACACAGAAGCACTCTGAAAAACATCTTTGGGATGTGTGCATTCAACTAACCGTGTTGAAACAATGTTTTGATTGAGCAGCTTAGAATCTCTCTTTTTGTAGGAAATGCAAGTGGATATTTGGAGCCCCATTTCGCCCTATGGTGGAAAACGAAACATACTCACAAAAAAGCTGCAGAGAAGCATTCTGAGAAACTTCTTTGCGATGTTGGCATTCAACTCACAGAGTCGAATCTATCTTTTGATAGAGCAGTTTTGTATCTCTGTTTTTGCAGAATCTGCAAGTGGATATTTGGAAAGCTTTGAGGCCTATTGTGGAAAGGGAAATATCCTCAAATAAAAACTACCCAGAAGCACTCTGTGAAACTTCTTTGTGTTGTGTGCATTCAACTCACAGTGTTGAACCTATGTTTTGATTGAGCAGTTTGGAATCTCTCCTTTTGTAGAATCTGCAAGTGAATATTTGGAGCCCTATTTCGCCCTATACTGGAAAAGCAAATATCTTCAAATAAAAACTACACAGAGGCATTCAGAGAAACTTCTCTGTGATGAGTGCATTCATCACACAGAGTTGAACATTTGTTTAGATTTAGCAGTGTTGAGACAATCTTTCCGTAGAATCTTGAAGTGAATATTTGGAGGGCTTTGAGACCTGCTTTGGAGAAGGAGATATCTTCATATAAAAACTACACAGAAGCTTTCTGAGAAACACCCTTGTGAGGTGTGCATTGAAGTCACAGAGTTAAACCTATCTTTTGATTCAGCAGATTTGAATCTCTCTTTTTGCAGAATCTGCGAGTGGATATTTGGAGTGCTTGGAAGCCTGCTGTGGAAAATCAAATATCTTCACAAAAAAACTACACAGAAGCATTCTGAGAAACTTCTTTGTGATGTGTGCATTGATCTCACAGAGTTGAAAGTTTATTTTGATTGAGCTGTTTTGAAACACTCTTTTTCTAGAATCTGCAAGTGGATAATTGGGGAGATTTGAGGCATATTGTGGAAAAGCAAATATCTTCATATAAAAACTATACAGAAACCTTCTGAGAAACATCTTTGTGATGTGTGCATTCAGCTCACAGAGCTGGACCTAACTTTTGAGTGACCAGTTTTGAATCTCTCTTTTTGTACAATATGCAAGTGGATATTTGGAGCGATTTGAGGCCTACATTTGAAAATCAAATATCTTCCCTTAAAAACTACACAGAAACATTCTCAGAAATTGTTTGTCATGTGTGCTTTCCAATTACCAAGTTGAACCTATCTTGTGATTGAGCAGTTTTGAATCTCTCTTTTTGTGGAATCGGCAAGTGGATATTTTTAGCCCTTTGCGGACTGTGGTGGAAAAGGAATTATCTTCAAATCAATTCTACACAGAAGCATTCAGACAAACTTCTTTGTGATGAGTGCATTGGTCACACAGAATTGAACCTTCCCTTTGATTGAGCAATTCTGAAACACTCTTTTGGAGGGCCTGCAAGTGGACATATTAGAGCTTTGGGACAACTGTGGAAAAGTAAATATCTTCACATAAAAACTACACGGAAGCATTCTGAGAAACTTCTTTGGAGGTGTGCATTCAACTCACAGAGTTGAACCTATCTTTTCATTGAGCAGTTTTGAATCTCTCATTTTGTAGACTCTGCTCGCAGATATTTGGAGAGCTTTGAGGCCTATTGTGGAAAAGGAAATATCTTCACATAAAAACACACAGAAGCACTCTGAGAAACTTCTCTGTGAGGTGTGCTTTCAACTCACAGAGTTGAACCTATCTTTTGATTGAGAAGTTTTGAATCTCTCTTTTTGTAGAAGCTGCATGTGGATATTTGGAGACGTTTGTGGCCTATGGTAGAAAAGGAAATATCTTCAAATAAAAACTAGACAGACGCATTTTGAGAAAATTCTCTGTGCTGTGTGCATTCATATCACATGGTTGAAACTACCTTTGGATTGAGCAGTTTTGAATCTCACTTTTTGTACCATCTGCAATGGATATTTGGAGCCCTTTCTGGTCTGTGGTGGAAAAGGAACTATCCTCAAATAGAAACTACACAGAAGTACTCTGAGAAACTTCTTTGTGATGTGGGCATTCATCTCACAGAGTTGAACCTTTGGTTTGATTGAGCAGTTTTGAGACAATCTTTCCATAGAATCTGGAAGTGAATATTTGGAGAACTTTGAGATCCATTTTGGAGAAGGAGATATCTTTATATAAAAACTACACAGAAGCATTCTGAGAAACATCCTTGTGAGGTGTGCACTGAAGTCACAGAGTTGAAACTGTCTTTTGATTCAGCAGTTTTGAATCTCTCTTTTTGCAGAATCTGTGAGTGGATATTTGGAGCGCTTTGAGGCCTACTGTGGAAAACCAAATATCTTCACATAAAAACTACACAGAAGCATCCTGAGAAACTTTTTTTGTGATGTGGTCTTTCAGCTAATGGAGTAGAAACTATCTTTTGATTGAGCAGTTTTGAATCTCTCTTTTTGCAGAATCTACGAGTGGATAATTGGAGAACTTTGAGGCGTACTGTGGAAAATCGAATATCTTCGCATAAAAACTACACAGAAGCATTCTGAGAAACTTCTCTGTCATACGTACATTCATCTCACAGGGTTGATCCTATTTCATGATTGAGCAGTTTTGGAACACTCTTTTTGTAGAATCTGCAAGTGAATATTTGGAGCTCCTTGGGGCCTACTGTGGAAAAACAAATATCTTCACATAAAAACTACACAGAAGCATTCTGAGAAACTACTTTGTGATGTGTGCATTCATCCCACAGAGTAGAACCTTTCTTTTGATTGAGCAGTTTCGAAACACTCTTTTGGTGGAATCTGCAAGTGGACATTTGGAAAGCTTTGAGGCCTAGTGTGGAAAGGGAAATATCTTCAAATAAAAACCACCCAGAAGTACTCTGTGAAACTTCTTTGCGATGTATGCATTCAACTCACAGTGTTGAACCTATGTTTTGATTGAACAGTTTGGAATCTCTCTTTCTGTAGAATCTGCAAGTGAATATTTGGAGCCCTATTTCGCCCTATACTGGAAAAGCAATTATCTTCAAATAAAAACTGCACAGAAGCATTCAGAGAAACTTCTTTGAGATGAATGCATTCATGACACAGAGTTGAAACTTTGTTTTGATTTAGGAGTTTTGAGACAATCTTTCCGTAGAATCTTGAAGTGAATATTTGGAGGGCTTGGAGTTCTGTTTTAGAGAAGAAGATATCTTCATCAAAAACTACACAGAAGCTTTCTGAGAAACTTCTTTGTGATGTGTGCATTCAACTATCGGAGTTGAACCTATCTTATGATTGAGCAGTTTGGAAACACTCTTTGTAGAGTCTGCAAGTGGATATTTACAGAGATTTGAGGCCTATTGTGGAAAAGGAAGTATCTTCACATAAAAACCACACAGAAGCACTCTGAAAAACATCTTTGGGATGTGTGCATTCAACTAACCGTGTTGAAACAATGTTTTGATTGAGCAGCTTAGAATCTCTCTTTTTGTAGGAAATGCAAGTGGATATTTGGAGCCCCATTTCGCCCTATGGTGGAAAACGAAACATACTCACAAAAAAGCTGCAGAGAAGCATTCTGAGAAACTTCTTTGCGATGTTGGCATTCAACTCACAGAGTCGAATCTATCTTTTGATAGAGCAGTTTTGTATCTCTCTTTTTGCAGAATCTGCAAGTGGATATTTGGAAAGCTTTGAGGCCTATTGTGGAAAGGGAAATATCCTCAAATAAAAACTACCCAGAAGCACTCTGTGAAACTTCTTTGTGATGTGTGCATTCAACTCACAGTGTTGAACCTATGTTTTGATTGAGCAGTTTGGAATCTCTCCTTTTGTAGAATCTGCAAGTGAATATTTGGAGCCCTATTTCGCCCTATACTGGAAAAGCAAATATCTTCAAATAAAAACTACACAGAGGCATTCAGAGAAACTTCTCTGTGATGAGTGCATTCATCACACAGAGTTGAACATTTGTTTAGATTTAGCAGTGTTGAGACAATCTTTCCGTAGAATCTTGAAGTGAATATTTGGAGGGCTTTGAGACCTGCTTTGGAGAAGAGATATCTTCATATAAAAACTACACAGAAGCTTTCTGAGCAAACACCCTTGTGAGGTGTGCATTGAAGTCACAGAGTTAAACCTATCTTTTGATTCAGCAGATTTGAATCTCTCTTTTTGCAGAATCTGCGAGTGGATATTTGGAGTGCTTGGAAGCCTGCTGTGGAAAATCAAATATCTTCACAAAAAAAACTACACAGAAGCATTCTGAGAAACTTCTTTGTGATGTGTGCATTGATCTCACAGAGTTGAAAGTTTATTTTGATTGAGCTGTTTTGAAACACTCTTTTTCTAGAATCTGCAAGTGGATAATTGGGGAGATTTGAGGCATATTGTGGAAAAGCAAATATCTTCATATAAAAACTATGCAGAAACCTTCTGAGAAACATCTTTGTGATGTGTGCATTCAGCTCACAGAGCTGGACCTAACTTTTGAGTGACCAGTTTTGAATCTCTCTTTTTGTACAATATGCAAGTGGATATTTGGAGCGATTTGAGGCCTACATTTGAAAATCAAATATCTTCCCTTAAAAACTACACAGAAACATTCTCAGAAATTGTTTGTCATGTGTGCTTTCCAATTACCAAGTTGAACCTATCTTGTGATTGAGCAGTTTTGAATCTCTCTTTTTGTGGAATCAGCAAGTGGATATTTTTAGCCCTTTGCGGACTGTGGTGGAAAAGGAATTATCTTCAAATCAATTCTACACAGAAGCATTCAGACAAACTTCTTTGTGATGAGTGCATTGGTCACACAGAATTGAACCTTCCCTTTGATTGAGCAATTATGAAACACTCTTTTGGAGGGTCTGCAAGTGGATATTTTAGAGCTTTGGGACAACTGTGGAAAAGTAAATATCTTCACATAAAAACTACACGGAAGCATTCTGAGAAACTTCTTTGGAGGTGTGCATTCAACTCACAGAGTTGAACCTATCTTTTCATTGAGCAGTTTTGAATCTCTCATTTTGTAGACTCTGCTCGCAGATATTTGGAGAGCTTTGAGGCCTATTGTGGAAAAGGAAATATCTTCACATAAAAACACACAGAAGCACTCTGAGAAACTTCTTTGTGAGGTGTGCTTTCAACTCACAGAGTTGAACCTATCTTTTGATTGAGAAGTTTTGAATCTCTCTTTTTGTAGAAGCTGCATGTGGATATTTGGAGACGTTTGTGGCCTATGGTAGAAAAGGAAATATCTTCAAATAAAAACTAGACAGACGCATTTTGAGAAAATTCTCTGTGCTGTGTGCATTCATATCACATGGTTGAAACTACCTTTGGATTGAGCAGTTTTGAATCTCACTTTTTGTACCATCTGCAATGGATATTTGGAGCCCTTTCTGGTCTGTGGTGGAAAAGGAACTATCCTCAAATAGAAACTACACAGAAGTACTCTGAGAAACTTCTTTGTGATGTGGGCATTCATCTCACAGAGTTGAACCTTTGGTTTGATTGAGCAGTTTTGAGACAATCTTTCCAAAGAATCTGGAAGTGAATATTTGGAGAACTTTGAGATCCATTTTGGAGAAGGAGATATCTTTATATGAAAACTACACAGAAGCATTCTGAGAAACATCCTTGTGAGGTGTGCACTGAAGTCACAGAGTTGAAACTGTCTTTTGATTCAGCAGTTTTGAATCTCTCTTTTTGCAGAATCTGTGAGTGGATATTTGGAGCGCTTTGAGGCCTACTGTGGAAAACCAAATATCTTCACATAAAAACTACACAGAAGCATCCTGAGAAACTTTTTTTGTGATGTGGTCTTTCAGCTAATGGAGTAGAAACTATCTTTTGATTGAGCAGTTTTGAATCTCTCTTTTTGCAGAATCTACGAGTGGATAATTGGAGAACTTTGAGGCGTACTGTGGAAAGTCGAATATCTTCGCATAAAAACTACACAGAAGCATTCTGAGAAACTTCTCTGTCATACGTACATTCATCTCACAGGGTTGATCCTATTTCATGATTGAGCAGTTTCGGAACACTCTTTTTGTAGAATCTGCAAGTGAATATTTGGAGCTCCTTGGGGCCTACTGTGGAAAAACAAATATCTTCACATAAAAACTACACAGAAGCATTCTGAGAAACTACTTTGTGATGTGTGCATTCATCCCACAGAGTAGAACCTTTCTTTTGATTGAGCAGTTTCGAAACACTCTTTTGGTGGAATCTGCAAGTGGACATTTGGAACGCTTTGAGGCCTATTGTGGAAAGGGAAATATCTTCAAATAAAAACCACCCAGAAGTACTCTGTGAAACTTCTTTGCGATGTATGCATTCAACTCACAGTGTTGAACCTATGTTTTGATTGAGCAGTTTGGAATCTCTCTTTCTGTAGAATCTGCAAGTGAATATTTGGAGCCCTATTTCGCCCTATACTGGAAAAGCAATTATCTTCAAATAAAAACTGCACAGAAGCACTCAGAGAAACTTCTTTGTGATGAATGCATTCATCACACAGAGTTGAACCTTTGTTTTGATTTAGCAGTTTGAGACAATCTTTCCGTAGAATCTTGAAGTGAATATTTGGAGGGCTTGGAGTTCTGTTTTAGAGAAGAAGATATCTTCATCAAAAACTACACAGAAGCTTTCCGAGAAACTTCTTTGTGATGTGTGCATTCAACTATCGGAGTTGAACCTATCTTATGATTGAGGAGTTTGGAAACACTCTTTGTAGAGTCTGCAAGTGGATATTTACAGAGATTTGAGGCCTATTGTGGAAAAGGAAGTATCTTCACATAAAAACCACACAGAAGCACTCTGAAAAACATCTTTGGGATGTGTGCATTCAACTAACCGTGTTGAAACAATGTTTTGATTGAGCAGCTTAGAATCTCTCTTTTTGTAGGAAATGCAAGTGGATATTTGGAGCCCCATTTCGCCCTATGGTGGAAAACGAAACATACTCACAAAAAAGCTGCAGAGAAGCATTCTGAGAAACTTCTTTGCGATGTTGGCATTCAACTCACAGAGTCGAATCTATCTTTTGATAGAGCAGTTTTGTATCTCTCTTTTTGCAGAATCTGCAAGTGGATATTTGGAAAGCTTTGAGGCCTATTGTGGAAAGGGAAATATCCTCAAATAAAAACTACCCAGAAGCACTCTGTGAAACTTCTTTGTGATGTGTGCATTCAACTCACAGTGTTGAACCTATGTTTTGATTGAGCAGTTTGGAATCTCTCCTTTTGTAGAATCTGCAAGTGAATATTTGGAGCCCTATTTCGCCCTATACTGGAAAAGCAAATATCTTCAAATAAAAACTACACAGAGGCATTCAGAGAAACTTCTCTGTGATGAGTGCATTCATCACACAGAGTTGAACATTTGTTTAGATTTAGCAGTGTTGAGACAATCTTTCCGTAGAATCTTGAAGTGAATATTTGGAGGGCTTTGAGACCTGCTTTGGAGAAGGAGATATCTTCATATAAAAACTACACAGAAGCTTTCTGAGAAACACCCTTGTGAGGTGTGCATTGAAGTCACAGAGTTAAACCTATCTTTTGATTCAGCAGATTTGAATCTCTCTTTTTGCAGAATCTGCGAGTGGATATTTGGAGTGCTTGGAAGCCTGCTGTGGAAAATCAAATATCTTCACAAAAAAAACTACACAGAAGCATTCTGAGAAACTTCTTTGTGATGTGTGCATTGATCTCACAGAGTTGAAAGTTTATTTTGATTGAGCTGTTTTGAAACACTCTTTTTCTAGAATCTGCAAGTGGATAATTGGGGAGATTTGAGGCATATTGTGGAAAAGCCAATATCTTCATATAGAAACTATACAGAAACCTTCTGAGAAACATCTTTGTGATGTGTGCATTCAGCTCACAGAGCTGGACCTAACTTTTGAGTGACCAGTTTTGAATCTCTCTTTTTGTACAATATGCAAGTGGATATTTGGAGCGATTTGAGGCCTACATTTGAAAATCAAATATCTTCCCCTTAAAAACTACACAGAAACATTCTCAGAAATTGTTTGTCATGTGTGCTTTCCAATTACCAAGTTGAACCTATCTTGTGATTGAGCAGTTTTGAATCTCTCTTTTTGTGGAATCGGCAAGTGGATATTTTTAGCCCTTTGCGGACTGTGGTGGAAAAGGAATTATCTTCAAATCAATTCTACACAGAAGCATTCAGACAAACTTCTTTGTGATGAGTGCATTGGTCACACAGAATTGAACCTTCCCTTTGATTGAGCAATTATGAAACACTCTTTTGGAGGGTCTGCAAGTGGATATTTTAGAGCTTTGGGACAACTGTGGAAAAGTAAATATCTTCACATAAAAACTACACGGAAGCATTCTGAGAAACTTCTTTGGAGGTGTGCATTCAACTCACAGAGTTGAACCTATCTTTTCATTGAGCAGTTTTGAATCTCTCATTTTGTAGACTCTGCTCGCAGATATTTGGAGAGCTTTGAGGCCTATTGTGGAAAAGGAAATATCTTCACATAAAAACACACAGAAGCACTCTGAGAAACTTCTTTGTGAGGTGTGCTTTCAACTCACAGAGTTGAACCTATCTTTTGATTGAGAAGTTTTGAATCTCTCTTTTTGTAGAAGCTGCATGTGGATATTTGGAGACGTTTGTGGCCTATGGTAGAAAAGGAAATATCTTCAAATAAAAACTAGACAGACGCATTTTGAGAAAATTCTCTGTGCTGTGTGCATTCATATCACATGGTTGAAACTACCTTTGGATTGAGCAGTTTTGAATCTCACTTTTTGTACCATCTGCAATGGATATTTGGAGCCCTTTCTGGTCTGTGGTGGAAAAGGAACTATCCTCAAATAGAAACTACACAGAAGTACTCTGAGAAACTTCTTTGTGATGTGGGCATTCATCTCACAGAGTTGAACCTTTGGTTTGATTGAGCAGTTTTGAGACAATCTTTCCATAGAATCTGGAAGTGAATATTTGGAGAACTTTGAGATCCATTTTGGAGAAGGAGATATCTTTATATAAAAACTACACAGAAGCATTCTGAGAAACATCCTTGTGAGGTGTGCACTGAAGTCACAGAGTTGAAACTGTCTTTTGATTCAGCAGTTTTGAATCTCTCTTTTTGCAGAATCTGTGAGTGGATATTTGGAGCGCTTTGAGGCCTACTGTGGAAAACCAAATATCTTCACATAAAAACTACACAGAAGCATCCTGAGAAACTTTTTTTGTGATGTGGTCTTTCAGCTAATGGAGTAGAAACTATCTTTTGATTGAGCAGTTTTGAATCTCTCTTTTTGCAGGATCTACGAGTGGATAATTGGAGAACTTTGAGGCGTACTGTGGAAAATCGAATATCTTCGCATAAAAACTACACAGAAGCATTCTGAGAAACTTCTCTGTCATACGTACATTCATCTCACAGGGTTGATCCTATTTCATGATTGAGCAGTTTTGGAACACTCTTTTTGTAGAATCTGCAAGTGAATATTTGGAGCTCTTTGGGGCCTACTGTGGAAAAACAAATATCTTCACATAAAAACTACACAGAAGCATTCTGAGAAACTACTTTGTGATGTGTGCATTCATCCCACAGAGTAGAACCTTTCTTTTGATTGAGCAGTTTCGAAACACTCTTTTGGTGGAATCTGCAAGTGGACATTTGGAAAGCTTTGAGGCCTATTGTGGAAAGGGAAATATCTTCAAATAAAAACCACCCAGAAGTACTCTGTGAAACTTCTTTGCGATGTATGCATTCAACTCACAGTGTTGAACCTATGTTTTGATTGAGCAGTTTGGAATCTCTCTTTCTGTAGAATCTGCAAGTGAATATTTGGAGCCCTATTTCGCCCTATACTGGAAAAGCAATTATCTTCAAATAAAAACTGCACAGAAGCACTCAGAGAAGCTTCTTTGTGATGAATGCATTCATCACACAGAGTTGAACCTTTGTTTTGATTTAGCAGTTTGAGACAATCTTTCCGTAGAATCTTGAAGTGAATATTTGGAGGGCTTGGAGTTCTGTTTTAGAGAAGAAGATATCTTCATCAAAAACTACACAGAAGCATTCTGAGAAACTTCTTTGGAGGTGTGCATTCAACTCACAGAGTTGAACCTATCTTTTCATTGAGCAGTTTTGAATCTCTCATTTTGTAGACTCTGCTCGCAGATATTTGGAGAGCTTTGAGGCCTATTGTGGAAAAGGAAATATCTTCACATAAAAACACACAGGAAGCACTCTGAGAAACTTCTTTGTGAGGTGTGCTTTCAACTCACAGAGTTGAACCTATCTTTTGATTGAGAAGTTTTGAATCTCTCTTTTTGTAGAAGCTGCATGTGGATATTTGGAGACGTTTGTGGCCTATGGTAGAAAAGGAAATATCTTCAAATAAAAACTAGACAGACGCATTTTGAGAAAATTCTCTGTGCTGTGTGCATTCATATCACATGGTTGAAACTACCTTTGGATTGAGCAGTTTTGAATCTCACTTTTTGTACCATCTGCAATGGATATTTGGAGCCCTTTCTGGTCTGTGGTGGAAAAGGAACTATCCTCAAATAGAAACTACACAGAAGTACTCTGAGAAACTTCTTTGTGATGTGGGCATTCATCTCACAGAGTTGAACCTTTGGTTTGATTGAGCAGTTTTGAGACAATCTTTCCATAGAATCTGGAAGTGAATATTTGGAGAACTTTGAGATCCATTTTGGAGAAGGAGATATCTTTTTATAAAAACTACACAGAAGCATTCTGAGAAACATCCTTGTGAGGTGTGCACTGAAGTCACAGAGTTGAAACTGTCTTTTGATTCAGCAGTTTTGAATCTCTCTTTTTGCAGAATCTGTGAGTGGATATTTGGAGCGCTTTGAGGCCTACTGTGGAAAACCAAATATCTTCACATAAAAACTACACAGAAGCATCCTGAGAAACTTTTTTTGTGATGTGGTCTTTCAGCTAATGGAGTAGAAACTATCTTTTGATTGAGCAGTTTTGAATCTCTCTTTTTGCATAATCTACGAGTGGATAATTGGAGAACTTTGAGGCGTACTGTGGAAAATCGAATATCTTCGCATAAAAACTACACAGAAGCATTCTGAGAAACTTCTCTGTCATACGTACATTCATCTCACAGGGTTGATCCTATTTCATGATTGAGCAGTTTTGGAACACTCTTTTTGTAGAATCTGCAAGTGAATATTTGGAGCTCTTTGGGGCCTACTGTGGAAAAACAAATATCTTCACATAAAAACTACACAGAAGCATTCTGAGAAACTACTTTGTGATGTGTGCATTCATCCCACAGAGTAGAACCTTTCTTTTGATTGAGCAGTTTCGAAACACTCTTTTGGTGGAATCTGCAAGTGGACATTTGGAAAGCTTTGAGGCCTATTGTGGAAAGGGAAATATCTTCAAATAAAAACCACCCAGAAGTACTCTGTGAAACTTCTTTGCGATGTATGCATTCAACTCACAGTGTTGAACCTATGTTTTGATTGAGCAGTTTGGAATCTCTCTTTCTGTAGAATCTGCAAGTGAATATTTGGAGCCCTATTTCGCCCTATACTGGAAAAGCAATTATCTTCAAATAAAAACTGCACAGAAGCATTCAGAGAAACTTCTTTGAGATGAATGCATTCATGACACAGAGTTGAAACTTGTTTTGATTTAGGAGTTTTGAGACAATCTTTCCGTAGAATCTTGAAGTGAATATTTGGAGGGCTTGGAGTTCTGTTTTAGAGAAGGAGATATCTTCATCAAAAATTACACAGAAGCTTTCTGAGAAACTTCTTTGTGATGTGTGCATTCAACTATCGGAGTTGAACCTATCTTATGATTGAGCAGTTTGGAAACACTCTTTGTAGAGTCTGCAAGTGGATATTTACAGAGATTTGAGGCCTATTGAGGAAAAGGAAGTATCTTCACATAAAAACCACACAGAAGCACTCTGAAAAACATCTTTGGGATGTGTGCATTCAACTAACCGTGTTGAAACAATGTTTTGATTGAGCAGCTTAGAATCTCTCTTTTTGTAGGAAATGCAAGTGGATATTTGGAGCCCCATTTCGCCCTATGGTGGAAAACGAAACATACTCACAAAAAAGCTGCAGAGAAGCATTCTGAGAAACTTCTTTGCGATGTTGGCATTCAACTCACAGAGTCGAATCTATCTTTTGATAGAGCAGTTTTGTATCTCTCTTTTTGCAGAATCTGCAAGTGGATATTTGGAAAGCTTTGAGGCCTATTGTGGAAAGGGAAATATCCTCAAATAAAAACTACCCAGAAGCACTCTGTGAAACTTCTTTGTGATGTGTGCATTCAACTCACAGTGTTGAACCTATGTTTTGATTGAGCAGTTTGGAATCTCTCCTTTTGTAGAATCTGCAAGTGAATATTTGGAGCCCTATTTCGCCCTATACTGGAAAAGCAAATATCTTCAAATAAAAACTACACAGAGGCATTCAGAGAAACTTCTCTGTGATGAGTGCATTCATCACACAGAGTTGAACATTTGTTTAGATTTAGCAGTGTTGAGACAATCTTTCCGTAGAATCTTGAAGTGAATATTTGGAGGGCTTTGAGACCTGCTTTGGAGAAGGAGATATCTTCATATAAAAACTACACAGAAGCTTTCTGAGAAACACCCTTGTGAGGTGTGCATTGAAGTCACAGAGTTAAACCTATCTTTTGATTCAGCAGATTTGAATCTCTCTTTTTGCAGAATCTGCGAGTGGATATTTGGAGTGCTTGGAAGCCTGCTGTGGAAAATCAAATATCTTCACAAAAAAAACTACACAGAAGCATTCTGAGAAACTTCTTTGTGATGTGTGCATTGATCTCACAGAGTTGAAAGTTTATTTTGATTGAGCTGTTTTGAAACACTCTTTTTCTAGAATCTGCAAGTGGATAATTGGGGAGATTTGAGGCATATTGTGGAAAAGCAAATATCTTCATATAGAAACTATACAGAAACCTTCTGAGAAACATCTTTGTGATGTGTGCATTCAGCTCACAGAGCTGGACCTAACTTTTGAGTGACCAGTTTTGAATCTCTCTTTTTGTACAATATGCAAGTGGATATTTGGAGCGATTTGAGGCCTACATTTGAAAATCAAATATCTTCCCTTAAAAACTACACAGAAACATTCTCAGAAATTGTTTGTCATGTGTGCTTTCCAATTACCAAGTTGAACCTATCTTGTGATTGAGCAGTTTGGAATCTCTCTTTTTGTGGAATCGGCAAGTGGATATTTTTAGCCCTTTGCGGACTGTGGTGGAAAAGGAATTATCTTCAAATCAATTCTACACAGAAGCATTCAGACAAACTTCTTTGTGATGAGTGCATTGGTCACACAGAATTGAACCTTCCCTTTGATTGAGCAATTCTGAAACACTCTTTTGGAGGGTCTGCAAGTGGATATTTTAGAGCTTTGGGACAACTGTGGAAAAGTAAATATCTTCACATAAAAACTACACGGAAGCATTCTGAGAAACTTCTTTTGAGGTGTGCATTCAACTCACAGAGTTGAACCTATCTTTTCATTGAGCAGTTTTGAATCTCTCATTTTGTAGACTCTGCTCGCAGATATTTGGAGAGCTTTGAGGCCTATTGTGGAAAAGGAAATATCTTCACATAAAAACACACAGAAGCACTCTGAGAAACTTCTTTGTGAGGTGTGCTTTCAACTCACAGAGTTGAACCTATCTTTTGATTGAGAAGTTTTGAATGTCTCTTTTTGTAGAAGCTGCATGTGGATATTTGGAGACGTTTGTGGCCTATGGTAGAAAAGGAAATATCTTCAAATAAAAACTAGACAGACGCATTTTGAGAAAATTCTCTGTGCTGTGTGCATTCATATCACATGGTTGAAACTACCTTTGGATTGAGCAGTTTTGAATCTCACTTTTTGTACCATCTGCAATGGATATTTGGAGCCCTTTCTGGTCTGTGGTGGAAAAGGAACTATCCTCAAATAGAAACTACACAGAAGTACTCTGAGAAACTTCTTTGTGATGTGTGCATTCATCTCACAGAGTTGAACCTTTGGTTTGATTGAGCAGTTTTGAGACAATCTTTCCATAGAATCTGGAAGTGAATATTTGGAGAACTTTGAGATCCATTTTGGAGAAGGAGATATCTTTATATAAAAACTACACAGAAGCATTCTGAGAAACATCCTTGTGAGGTGTGCACTGAAGTCACAGAGTTGAAACTGTCTTTTGATTCAGCAGTTTTGAATCTCTCTTTTTGCAGAATCTGTGAGTGGATATTTGGAGCGCTTTGAGGCCTACTGTGGAAAACCAAATATCTTCACATAAAAACTACACAGAAGCATCCTGAGAAACTTTTTTTGTGATGTGGTCTTTCAGCTAATGGAGTAGAAACTATCTTTTGATTGAGCAGTTTTGAATCTCTCTTTTTGCAGGATCTACGAGTGGATAATTGGAGAACTTTGAGGCGTACTGTGGAAAATCGAATATCTTCGCATAAAAACTACACAGAAGCATTCTGAGAAACTTCTCTGTCATACGTACATTCATCTCACAGGGTTGATCCTATTTCATGATTGAGCAGTTTTGGAACACTCTTTTTGTAGAATCTGCAAGTGAATATTTGGAGCTCTTTGGGGCCTACTGTGGAAAAACAAATATCTTCACATAAAAACTACACAGAAGCATTCTGAGAAACTACTTTGTGATGTGTGCATTCATCCCACAGCAGTAGAACCTTTCTTTTGATTGAGCAGTTTCGAAACACTCTTTTGGTGGAATCTGCAAGTGGACATTTGGAAAGCTTTGAGGCCTATTGTGGAAAGGGAAATATCTTCAAATAAAAACCACCCAGAAGTACTCTGTGAAACTTCTTTGCGATGTATGCATTCAACTCACAGTGTTGAACCTATGTTTTGATTGAGCAGTTTGGAATCTCTCTTTCTGTAGAATCTGCAAGTGAATATTTGGAGCCCTATTTCGCCCTATACTGGAAAAGCAATTATCTTCAAATAAAAACTGCACAGAAGCACTCAGAGAAACTTCTTTGTGATGAATGCATTCATCACACAGAGTTGAACCTTTGTTTTGATTTAGCAGTTTGAGACAATCTTTCCGTAGAATCTTGAAGTGAATATTTGGAGGGCTTGGAGTTCTGTTTTAGAGAAGAAGATATCTTCATCAAAAACTACACAGAAGCTTTCCGAGAAACTTCTTTGTGATGTGTGCATTCAACTATCGGAGTTGAACCTATCTTATGATTGAGGAGTTTGGAAACACTCTTTGTAGAGTCTGCAAGTGGATATTTACAGAGATTTGAGGCCTATTGTGGAAAAGGAAGTATCTTCACATAAAAACCACACAGAAGCACTCTGAAAAACATCTTTGGGATGTGTGCATTCAACTAACCGTGTTGAAACAATGTTTTGATTGAGCAGCTTAGAATCTCTCTTTTTGTAGGAAATGCAAGTGGATATTTGGAGCCCCATTTCGCCCTATGGTGGAAAACGAAACATACTCACAAAAAAGCTGCAGAGAAGCATTCTGAGAAACTTCTTTGCGATGTTGGCATTCAACTCACAGAGTCGAATCTATCTTTTGATAGAGCAGTTTTGTATCCCTCTTTTTGCAGAATCTGCAAGTGGATATTTGGAAAGCTTTGAGGCCTATTGTGGAAAGGGAAATATCCTCAAATAAAAACTACCCAGAAGCACTCTGTGAAACTTCTTTGTGATGTGTGCATTCAACTCACAGTGTTGAACCTATGTTTTGATTGAGCAGTTTGGAATCTCTCCTTTTGTAGAATCTGCAAGTGAATATTTGGAGCCCTATTTCGCCCTATACTGGAAAAGCAAATATCTTCAAATAAAAACTACACAGAGGCATTCAGAGAAACTACTCTGTGATGAGTGCATTCATCACACAGAGTTGAACATTTGTTTAGATTTAGCAGTGTTGAGACAATCTTTCCGTAGAATCTTGAAGTGAATATTTGGAGGGCTTTGAGACCTGCTTTGGAAAAGGAGATATCTTCATATAAAAACTACACAGAAGCTTTCTGAGAAACACCCTTGTGAGGTGTGCATTGAAGTCACAGAGTTAAACCTATCTTTTGATTCAGCAGATTTGAATCTCTCTTTTTGCAGAATCTGCGAGTGGATATTTGGAGTGCTTGGAAGCCTGCTGTGGAAAATCAAATATCTTCACAAAAAAAACTACACAGAAGCATTCTGAGAAACTTCTTTGTGATGTGTGCATTGATCTCACAGAGTTGAAAGTTTATTTTGATTGAGCTGTTTTGAAACACTCTTTTTCTAGAATCTGCAAGTGGATAATTGGGGAGATTTGAGGCATATTGTGGAAAAGCCAATATCTTCATATAGAAACTATACAGAAACCTTCTGAGAAACATCTTTGTGATGTGTGCATTCAGCTCACAGAGCTGGACCTAACTTTTGAGTGACCAGTTTTGAATCTCTCTTTTTGTACAATATGCAAGTGGATATTTGGAGCGATTTGAGGCCTACATTTGAAAATCAAATATCTTCCCCTTAAAAACTACACAGAAACATTCTCAGAAATTGTTTGTCATGTGTGCTTTCCAATTACCAAGTTGAACCTATCTTGTGATTGAGCAGTTTTGAATCTCTCTTTTTGTGGAATCGGCAAGTGGATATTTTTAGCCCTTTGCGGACTGTGGTGGAAAAGGAATTATCTTCAAATCAATTCTACACAGAAAGCATTCAGACAAACTTCTTTGTGATGAGTGCATTGGTCACACAGGAATTGAACCTTCCCTTTGATTGAGCAATTCTGAAACACTCTTTTGGAGGGTCTGCAAGTGGATATTTTAGAGCTTTGGGACAACTGTGGAAAAGTAAATATCTTCACATAAAAACTACACGGAAGCATTCTGAGAAACTTCTTTGGAGGTGTGCATTCAACTCACAGAGTTGAACCTATCTTTTCATTGAGCAGTTTTGAATCTCTCATTTTGTAGACTCTGCTCGCAGATATTTGGAGAGCTTTGAGGCCTATTGTGGAAAAGGAAATATCTTCACATAAAAACACACAGAAGCACTCTGAGAAACTTCTCTGTGAGGTGTGCTTTCAACTCACAGAGTTGAACCTATCTTTTGATTGAGAAGTTTTGAATCTCTCTTTTTGTAGAAGCTGCATGTGGATATTTGGAGACGTTTGTGGCCTATGGTAGAAAAGGAAATATCTTCAAATAAAAACTAGACAGACGCATTTTGAGAAAATTCTCTGTGCTGTGTGCATTCATATCACATGGTTGAAACTACCTTTGGATTGAGCAGTTTTGAATCTCACTTTTTGTACCATCTGCAATGGATATTTGGAGCCCTTTCTGGTCTGTGGTGGAAAAGGAACTATCCTCAAATAGAAACTACACAGAAGTACTCTGAGAAACTTCTTTGTGATGTGGGCATTCATCTCACAGAGTTGAACCTTTGGTTTGATTGAGCAGTTTTGAGACAATCTTTCCATAGAATCTGGAAGTGAATATTTGGAGAACTTTGAGATCCATTTTGGAGAAGGAGATACCTTTATATGAAAACTACACAGAAGCATTCTGAGAAACATCCTTGTGAGGTGTGCACTGAAGTCACAGAGTTGAAACTGTCTTTTGATTCAGCAGTTTTGAATCTCTCTTTTTGCAGAATCTGTGAGTGGATATTTGGAGCGCTTTGAGGCCTACTGTGGAAAACCAAATATCTTCACATAAAAACTACACAGAAGCATCCTGAGAAACTTTTTTTGTGATGTGGTCTTTCAGCTAATGGAGTAGAAACTATCTTTTGATTGAGCAGTTTTGAATCTCTCTTTTTGCAGAATCTACGAGTGGATAATTGGAGAACTTTGAGGCGTACTGTGGAAAGTCGAATATCTTCGCATAAAAACTACACAGAAGCATTCTGAGAAACTTCTCTGTCATACGTACATTCATCTCACAGGGTTGATCCTATTTCATGATTGAGCAGTTTTGGAACACTCTTTTTGTAGAATCTGCAAGTGAATATTTGGAGCTCCTTGGGCCTACTGTGGAAAAACAAATATCTTCACATAAAAACTACACAGAAGCATTCTGAGAAACTACTTTGTGATGTGTGCATTCATCCCACAGAGTAGAACCTTTCTTTTGATTGAGCAGTTTCGAAACACTCTTTTGGTGGAATCTGCAAGTGGACATTTGGAAAGCTTTGAGGCCTATTGTGGAAAGGGAAATATCTTCAAATAAAAACCACCCAGAAGTACTCTGTGAAACTTCTTTGCGATGTATGCATTCAACTCACAGTGTTGAACCTATGTTTTGATTGAGCAGTTTGGAATCTCTCTTTCTGTAGAATCTGCAAGTGAATATTTGGAGCCCTATTTCGCCCTATACTGGAAAAGCAATTATCTTCAAATAAAAACTGCACAGGAAGCACTCAGAGAAACTTCTTTGTGATGAATGCATTCATCACACAGAGTTGAACCTTTGTTTTGATTTAGCAGTTTGAGACAATCTTTCCGTAGAATCTTGAAGTGAATATTTGGAGGGCTTGGAGTTCTGTTTTAGAGAAGAAGATATCTTCATCAAAAACTACACAGAAGCTTTCCGAGAAACTTCTTTGTGATGTGTGCATTCAACTATCGGAGTTGAACCTATCTTATGATTGAGGAGTTTGGAAACACTCTTTGTAGAGTCTGCAAGTGGATATTTACAGAGATTTGAGGCCTATTGTGGAAAAGGAAGTATCTTCACATAAAAACCACACAGAAGCACTCTGAAAAACATCTTTGGGATGTGTGCATTCAACTAACCGTGTTGAAACAATGTTTTGATTGAGCAGCTTAGAATCTCTCTTTTTGTAGGAAATGCAAGTGGATATTTGGAGCCCCATTTCGCCCTATGGTGGAAAACGAAACATACTCACAAAAAAGCTGCAGAGAAGCATTCTGAGAAACTTCTTTGCGATGTTGGCATTCAACTCACAGAGTCGAATCTATCTTTTGATAGAGCAGTTTTGTATCTCTCTTTTTGCAGAATCTGCAAGTGGATATTTGGAAAGCTTTGAGGCCTATTGTGGAAAGGGAAATATCCTCAAATAAAAACTACCCAGAAGCACTCTGTGAAACTTCTTTGTGATGTGTGCATTCAACTCACAGTGTTGAACCTATGTTTTGATTGAGCAGTTTGGAATCTCTCCTTTTGTAGAATCTGCAAGTGAATATTTGGAGCCCTATTTCGCCCTATACTGGAAAAGCAAATATCTTCAAATAAAAACTACACAGAGGCATTCAGAGAAACTTCTCTGTGATGAGTGCATTCATCACACAGAGTTGAACATTTGTTTAGATTTAGCAGTGTTGAGACAATCTTTCCGTAGAATCTTGAAGTGAATATTTGGAGGGCTTTGAGACCTGCTTTGGAGAAGGAGATATCTTCATATAAAAACTACACAGAAGCTTTCTGAGAAACACCCTTGTGAGGTGTGCATTGAAGTCACAGAGTTAAACCTATCTTTTGATTCAGCAGATTTGAATCTCTCTTTTTGCAGAATCTGCGAGTGGATATTTGGAGTGCTTGGAAGCCTGCTGTGGAAAATCAAATATCTTCACAAAAAAAACTACACAGAAGCATTCTGAGAAACTCCTTTGTGATGTGTGCATTGATCTCACAGAGTTGAAAGTTTATTTTGATTGAGCTGTTTTGAAACACTCTTTTTCTAGAATCTGCAAGTGGATAATTGGGGAGATTTGAGGCATATTGTGGAAAAGCCAATATCTTCATATAGAAACTATACAGAAACCTTCTGAGAAACATCTTTGTGATGTGTGCATTCAGCTCACAGAGCTGGACCTAACTTTTGAGTGACCAGTTTTGAATCTCTCTTTTTGTACAATATGCAAGTGGATATTTGGAGCGATTTGAGGCCTACATTTGAAAATCAAATATCTTCCCTTAAAAACTACACAGAAACATTCTCAGAAATTGTTTGTCATGTGTGCTTTCCAATTACCAAGTTGAACCTATCTTGTGATTGAGCAGTTTTGAATCTCTCTTTTTGTGGAATCGGCAAGTGGATATTTTTAGCCCTTTGCGGACTGTGGTGGAAAAGGAATTATCTTCAAATCAATTCTACACAGAAGCATTCAGACAAACTTCTTTGTGATGAGTGCATTGGTCACACAGAATTGAACCTTCCCTTTGATTGAGCAATTCTGAAACACTCTTTTGGAGGGTCTGCAAGTGGACATTTTAGAGCTTTGGGACAACTGTGGAAAAGTAAATATCTTCACATAAAAACTACACGGGAAGCATTCTGAGAAACTTCTTTGGAGGTGTGCATTCAACTCACAGAGTTGAACCTATCTTTTCATTGAGCAGTTTTGAATCTCTCATTTTGTAGACTCTGCTCGCAGATATTTGGAGAGCTTTGAGGCCTATTGTGGAAAAGGAAATATCTTCACATAAAAACACACAGAAGCACTCTGAGAAACTTCTTTGTGAGGTGTGCTTTCAACTCACAGAGTTGAACCTATCTTTTGATTGAGAAGTTTTGAATCTCTCTTTTTGTGGAAGCTGCATGTGGATATTTGGAGACGTTTGTGGCCTATGGTAGAAAAGGAAATATCTTCAAATAAAAACTAGACAGACGCATTTTGAGAAAATTCTCTGTGCTGTGTGCATTCATATCACATGGTTGAAACTACCTTTGGATTGAGCAGTTTTGAATCTCACTTTTTGTACCATCTGCAATGGATATTTGGAGCCCTTTCTGGTCTGTGGTGGAAAAGGAACTATCCTCAAATAGAAACTACACAGAAGTACTCTGAGAAACTTCTTTGTGATGTGGGCATTCATCTCACAGAGTTGAACCTTTGGTTTGATTGAGCAGTTTTGTGACAATCTTTCCATAGAATCTGGAAGTGAATATTTGGAGAACTTTGAGATCCATTTTGGAGAAGGAGATATCTTTATATAAAAACTACACAGAAGCATTCTGAGAAACATCCTTGTGAGGTGTGCACTGAAGTCACAGAGTTGAAACTGTCTTTTGATTCAGCAGTTTTGAATCTCTCTTTTTGCAGAACCTGTGAGTGGATATTTGGAGCGCTTTGAGGCCTACTGTGGAAAACCAAATATCTTCACATAAAAACTACACAGAAGCATCCTGAGAAACTTTTTTTGTGATGTGGTCTTTCAGCTAATGGAGTAGAAACTATCTTTTGATTGAGCAGTTTTGAATCTCTCTTTTTGCAGAATCTACGAGTGGATAATTGGAGAACTTTGAGGCGTACTGTGGAAAATCGAATATCTTCGCATAAAAACTACACAGAAGCATTCTGAGAAACTTCTCTGTCATACGTACATTCATCTCACAGGGTTGATCCTATTTCATGATTGAGCAGTTTTGGAACACTCTTTTTGTAGAATCTGCAAGTGAATATTTGGAGCTCTTTGGGGTCTACTGTGGAAAAACAAATATCTTCACATAAAAACTACACAGAAGCATTCTGAGAAACTACTTTGTGATGTGTGCATTCATCCCACAGAGTAGAACCTTTCTTTTGATTGAGCAGTTTCGAAACACTCTTTTGGTGGAATCTGCAAGTGGACATTTGGAAAGCTTTGAGGCCTATTGTGGAAAGGGAAATATCTTCAAATAAAAACCACCCAGAAGTACTCTGTGAAACTTCTTTGCGATGTATGCATTCAACTCACAGTGTTGAACCTATGTTTTGATTGAGCAGTTTGGAATCTCTCTTTCTGTAGAATCTGCAAGTGAATATTTGGAGCCCTATTTCGCCCTATACTGGAAAAGCAATTATCTTCAAATAAAAACTGCACAGAAGCACTCAGAGAAACTTCTTTGTGATGAATGCATTCATCACACAGAGTTGAACCTTTGTTTTGATTTAGCAGTTTGAGACAATCTTTCCGTAGAATCTTGAAGTGAATATTTGGAGGGCTTGGAGTTCTGTTTTAGAGAAGAAGATATCTTCATCAAAAACTACACAGAAGCTTTCTGAGAAACTTCTTTGTGATGTGTGCATTCAACTATCGGAGTTGAACCTATCTTATGATTGAGCAGTTTGGAAACACTCTTTGTAGAGTCTGCAAGTGGATATTTACAGAGATTTGAGGCCTATTGTGGAAAAGGAAGTATCTTCACATAAAAACCACAGAGAAGCACTCTGAAAAACATCTTTGGGATGTGTGCATTCAACTAACCGTGTTGAAACAATGTTTTGATTGAGCAGCTTAGAATCTCTCTTTTTGTAGGAAATGCAAGTGGATATTTGGAGCCCCATTTCGCCCTATGGTGGAAAACGAAACATACTCACAAAAAAGCTGCAGAGAAGCATTCTGAGAAACTTCTTTGCGATGTTGGCATTCAACTCACAGAGTCGAATCTATCTTTTGATAGAGCAGTTTTGTATCTCTGTTTTTGCAGAATCTGCAAGTGGATATTTGGAAAGCTTTGAGGCCTATTGTGGAAAAGGAAATATCCTCAAATAAAAACTACCCAGAAGCACTCTGTGAAACTTCTTTGTGATGTGTGCATTCAACTCACAGTGTTGAACCTATGTTTTGATTGAGCAGTTTGGAATCTCTCCTTTTGTAGAATCTGCAAGTGAATATTTGGAGCCCTATTTCGCCCTATACTGGAAAAGCAAATATCTTCAAATAAAAACTACACAGAGGCATTCAGAGAAACTTCTCTGTGATGAGTGCATTCATCACACAGAGTTGAACATTTGTTTAGATTTAGCAGTGTTGAGACAATCTTTCCGTAGAATCTTGAAGTGAATATTTGGAGGGCTTTGAGACCTGCTTTGGAGAAGGAGATATCTTCATATAAAAACTACACAGAAGCTTTCTGAGAAACACCCTTGAGAGGTGTGCATTGAAGTCACAGAGTTAAACCTATCTTTTGATTCAGCAGATTTGAATCTCTCTTTTTGCAGAATCTGCGAGTGGATATTTGGAGTGCTTGGAAGCCTGCTGTGGAAAATCAAATATCTTCACAAAAAAAAACTACACAGAAGCATTCTGAGAAACTTCTTTGTGATGTGTGCATTGATCTCACAGAGTTGAAAGTTTATTTTGATTGAGCTGTTTTGAAACACTCTTTTTCTAGAATCTGCAAGTGGATAATTGGGGAGATTTGAGGCATATTGTGGAAAAGCAAATATCTTCATATAGAAACTATACAGAAACCTTCTGAGAAACATCTTTGTGATGTGTGCATTCAGCTCACAGAGCTGGACCTAACTTTTGAGTGACCAGTTTTGAATCTCTCTTTTTGTACAATATGCAAGTGGATATTTGGAGCGATTTGAGGCCTACATTTGAAAATCAAATATCTTCCCTTAAAAACTACACAGAAACATTCTCAGAAATTGTTTGTCATGTGTGCTTTCCAATTACCAAGTTGAACCTATCTTGTGATTGAGCAGTTTTGAATCTCTCTTTTTGTGGAATCGGCAAGTGGATATTTTTAGCCCTTTGCGGACTGTGGTGGAAAAGGAATTATCTTCAAATCAATTCTACACAGAAGCATTCAGACAAACTTCTTTGTGATGAGTGCATTGGTCACACAGAATTGAACCTTCCCTTTGATTGAGCAATTCTGAAACACTCTTTTGGAGGGTCTGCAAGTGGACATTTTAGAGCTTTGGGACAACTGTGGAAAAGTAAATATCTTCACATAAAAACTACACGGAAGCATTCTGAGAAACTTCTTTGGAGGTGTGCATTCAACTCACAGAGTTGAACCTATCTTTTCATTGAGCAGTTTTGAATCTCTCATTTTGTAGACTCTGCTCGCAGATATTTGGAGAGCTTTGAGGCCTATTGTGGAAAAGGAAATATCTTCACATAAAAACACACAGAAGCACTCTGAGAAACTTCTTTGTGAGGTGTGCTTTCAACTCACAGAGTTGAACCTATCTTTTGATTGAGAAGTTTGGAATCTCTCTTTTTGTAGAAGCTGCATGTGGATATTTGGAGACGTTTGTGGCCTATGGTAGAAAAGGAAATATCTTCAAATAAAAACTAGACAGACGCATTTTGAGAAAATTCTCTGTGCTGTGTGCATTCATATCACATGGTTGAAACTACCTTTGGATTGAGCAGTTTTGAATCTCACTTTTTGTACCATCTGCAATGGATATTTGGAGCCCTTTCTGGTCTGTGGTGGAAAAGGAACTATCCTCAAATAGAAACTACACAGAAGTACTCTGAGAAACTTCTTTGTGATGTGGGCATTCATCTCACAGAGTTGAACCTTTGGTTTGATTGAGCAGTTTTGAGACAATCTTTCCATAGAATCTGGAAGTGAATATTTGGAGAACTTTGAGATCCATTTTGGAGAAGGAGATATCTTTATATGAAAACTACACAGAAGCATTCTGAGAAACATCCTTGTGAGGTGTGCACTGAAGTCACAGAGTTGAAACTGTCTTTTGATTCAGCAGTTTTGAATCTCTCTTTTTGCAGAATCTGTGAGTGGATATTTGGAGCGCTTTGAGACCTACTGTGGAAAACCAAATATCTTCACATAAAAACTACACAGAAGCATCCTGAGAAACTTTTTTTGTGATGTGGTCTTTCAGCTAATGGAGTAGAAACTATCTTTTGATTGAGCAGTTTTGAATCTCTCTTTTTGCAGAATCTACGAGTGGATAATTGGAGAACTTTGAGGCGTACTGTGGAAAATCGAATATCTTCGCATAAAAACTACACAGAAGCATTCTGAGAAACTTCTCTGTCATACGTACATTCATCTCACAGGGTTGATCCTATTTCATGATTGAGCAGTTTTGGAACACTCTTTTTGTAGAATCTGCAAGTGAATATTTGGAGCTCTTTGGGGCCTACTGTGGAAAAACAAATATCTTCACATAAAAACTACACAGAAGCATTCTGAGAAACTACTTTGTGATGTGTGCATTCATCCCACAGAGTAGAACCTTTCTTTTGATTGAGCAGTTTCGAAACACTCTTTGGTGGAATCTGCAAGTGGACATTTGGAAAGCTTTGAGGCCTATTGTGGAAAGGGAAATATCTTCAAATAAAAACCACCCAGAAGTACTCTGTGAAACTTCTTTGCGATGTATGCATTCAACTCACAGTGTTGAACCTATGTTTTGATTGAGCAGTTTGGAATCTCTCTTTCTGTAGAATCTGCAAGTGAATATTTGGAGCCCTATTTCGCCCTATACTGGAAAAGCAATTATCTTCAAATAAAAACTGCACAGAAGCATTCAGAGAAACTTCTTTGAGATGAATGCATTCATGACACAGAGTTGAAACTTTGTTTTGATTTAGGAGTTTTGAGACAATCTTTCCGTAGAATCTTGAAGTGAATATTTGGAGGGCTTGGAGTTCTGTTTTAGAGAAGAAGATATCTTCATCAAAAACTACACAGAAGCTTTCTGAGAAACTTCTTTGTGATGTGTGCATTCAACTATCGGAGTTGAACCTATCTTATGATTGAGCAGTTTGGAAACACTCTTTGTAGAGTCTGCAAGTGGATATTTACAGAGATTTGAGGCCTATTGTGGAAAAGGAAGTATCTTCACATAAAAACCACACAGAAGCACTCTGAAAAACATCTTTGGGATGTGTGCATTCAACTAACCGTGTTGAAACAATGTTTTGATTGAGCAGCTTAGAATCTCTCTTTTTGTAGGAAATGCAAGTGGATATTTGGAGCCCCATTTCGCCCTATGGTGGAAAACGAAACATACTCACAAAAAAGCTGCAGAGAAGCATTCTGAGAAACTTCTTTGCGATGTTGGCATTCAACTCACAGAGTCGAATCTATCTTTTGATAGAGCAGTTTTGTATCTCTCTTTTTGCAGAATCTGCAAGTGGATATTTGGAAAGCTTTGAGGCCTATTGTGGAAAGGGAAATATCCTCAAATAAAAACTACCCAGAAGCACTCTGTGAAACTTCCTTTGTGATGTGTGCATTCAACTCACAGTGTTGAACCTATGTTTTGATTGAGCAGTTTGGAATCTCTCCTTTTGTAGAATCTGCAAGTGAATATTTGGAGCCCTATTTCGCCCTATACTGGAAAAGCAAATATCTTCAAATAAAAACTACACAGAGGCATTCAGAGAAACTTCTCTGTGATGAGTGCATTCATCACACAGAGTTGAACATTTGTTTAGATTTAGCAGTGTTGAGACAATCTTTCCGTAGAATCTTGAAGTGAATATTTGGAGGGCTTTGAGACCTGCTTTGGAGAAGGAGATATCTTCATATAAAAACTACACAGAAGCTTTCTGAGAAACACCCTTGTGAGGTGTGCATTGAAGTCACAGAGTTAAACCTATCTTTTGATTCAGCAGATTTGAATCTCTCTTTTTGCAGAATCTGCGAGTGGATATTTGGAGTGCTTGGAAGCCTGCTGTGGAAAATCAAATATCTTCACAAAAAAAACTACACAGAAGCATTCTGAGAAACTTCTTTGTGATGTGTGCATTGATCTCACAGAGTTGAAAGTTTATTTGGATTGAGCTGTTTTGAAACACTCTTTTTCTAGAATCTGCAAGTGGATAATTGGGGAGATTTGAGGCATATTGTGGAAAAGCAAATATCTTCATATAGAAACTATACAGAAACCTTCTGAGAAACATCTTTGTGATGTGTGCATTCAGCTCACAGAGCTGGACCTAACTTTTGAGTGACCAGTTTTGAATCTCTCTTTTTGTACAATATGCAAGTGGATATTTGGAGCGATTTGAGGCCTACATTTGAAAATCAAATATCTTCCCTTAAAAACTACACAGAAACATTCTCAGAAATTGTTTGTCATGTGTGCTTTCCAATTACCAAGTTGAACCTATCTTGTGATTGAGCAGTTTTGAATCTCTCTTTTTGTGGAATCGGCAAGTGGATATTTTTAGCCCTTTGCGGACTGTGGTGGAAAAGGAATTATCTTCAAATCAATTCTACACAGAAGCATTCAGACAAACTTCTTTGTGATGAGTGCATTGGTCACACAGAATTGAACCTTCCCTTTGATTGAGCAATTCTGAAACACTCTTTTGGAGGGTCTGCAAGTGGACATTTTAGAGCTTTGGGACAACTGTGGAAAAGTAAATATCTTCACATAAAAACTACACGGAAGCATTCTGAGAAACTTCTTTGGAGGTGTGCATTCAACTCACAGAGTTGAACCTATCTTTTCATTGAGCAGTTTTGAATCTCTCATTTTGTAGACTCTGCTCGCAGATATTTGGAGAGCTTTGAGGCCTATTGTGGAAAAGGAAATATCTTCACATAAAAACACACAGAAGCACTCTGAGAAACTTCTCTGTGAGGTGTGCTTTCAACTCACAGAGTTGAACCTATCTTTTGATTGAGAAGTTTTGAATCTCTCTTTTTGTAGAAGCTGCATGTGGATATTTGGAGACGTTTGTGGCCTATGGTAGAAAAGGAAATATCTTCAAATAAAAACTAGACAGACGCATTTTGAGAAAATTCTCTGTGCTGTGTGCATTCATATCACATGGTTGAAACTACCTTTGGATTGAGCAGTTTTGAATCTCACTTTTTGTACCATCTGCAATGGATATTTGGAGCCCTTTCTGGTCTGTGGTGGAAAAGGAACTATCCTCAAATAGAAACTACACAGAAGTACTCTGAGAAACTTCTTTGTGATGTGGGCATTCATCTCACAGAGTTGAACCTTTGGTTTGATTGAGCAGTTTTGAGACAATCTTTCCATAGAATCTGGAAGTGAATATTTGGAGAACTTTGAGATCCATTTTGGAGAAGGAGATATCTTTATATAAAAACTACACAGAAGCATTCTGAGAAACATCCTTGTGAGGTGTGCACTGAAGTCACAGAGTTGAAACTGTCTTTTGATTCAGCAGTTTTGAATCTCTCTTTTTGCAGAATCTGTGAGTGGATATTTGGAGCGCTTTGAGGCCTACTGTGGAAAACCAAATATCTTCACATAAAAACTACACAGAAGCATCCTGAGAAACTTTTTTTGTGATGTGGTCTTTCAGCTAATGGAGTAGAAACTATCTTTTGATTGAGCAGTTTTGAGTCTCTCTTTTTGCAGGATCTACGAGTGGATAATTGGAGAACTTTGAGGCGTACTGTGGAAAATCGAATATCTTCGCATAAAAACTACACAGAAGCATTCTGAGAAACTTCTCTGTCATACGTACATTCATCTCACAGGGTTGATCCTATTTCATGATTGAGCAGTTTTGGAACACTCTTTTTGTAGAATCTGCAAGTGAATATTTGGAGCTCTTTGGGGCCTACTGTGGAAAAACAAATATCTTCACATAAAAACTACACAGAAGCATTCTGAGAAACTACTTTGTGATGTGTGCATTCATCCCACAGAGTAGAACCTTTCTTTTGATTGAGCAGTTTCGAAACACGCTTTTGGTGGAATCTGCAAGTGGACATTTGGAAAGCTTTGAGGCCTATTGTGGAAAGGGAAATATCTTCAAATAAAAACCACCCAGAAGTACTCTGTGAAACTTCTTTGCGATGTATGCATTCAACTCACAGTGTTGAACCTATGTTTTGATTGAGCAGTTTGGAATCTCTCTTTCTGTAGAATCTGCAAGTGAATATTTGGAGCCCTATTTCGCCCTATACTGGAAAAGCAATTATCTTCAAATAAAAACTGCACAGAAGCATTCAGAGAAACTTCTTTGAGATGAATGCATTCATGACACAGAGTTGAAACTTTGTTTTGATTTAGGAGTTTTGAGACAATCTTTCCGTAGAATCTTGAAGTGAATATTTGGAGGGCTTGGAGTTCTGTTTTAGAGAAGGAGATATCTTCATCAAAAACTACACAGAAGCTTTCTGAGAAACTTCTTTGTGATGTGTGCATTCAACTATCGGAGTTGAACCTATCTTATGATTGAGCAGTTTGGAAACACTCTTTGTAGAGTCTGCAAGTGGATATTTACAGAGATTTGAGGCCTATTGTGGAAAAGGAAGTATCTTCACATAAAAACCACACAGAAGCACTCTGAGAAACATCTTTGGGATGTGTGCATTCAACTAACCGTGTTGAAACAATGTTTTGATTGAGCAGCTTAGAATCTCTCCTTTTGTAGGAAATGCAAGTGGATATTTGGAGCCCCATTTCGCCCTATGGTGGAAAACGAAACATACTCACAAAAAAGCTGCAGAGAAGCATTCTGAGAAACTTCTTTGCGATGTTGGCATTCAACTCACAGAGTCGAATCTATCTTTTGATAGAGCAGTTTTGTATCTCTCTTTTTGCAGAATCTGCAAGTGGATATTTGGAAAGCTTTGAGGCCTATTGTGGAAAGGGAAATATCCTCAAATAAAAACTACCCAGAAGCACTCTGTGAAACTTCTTTGTGATGTGTGCATTCAACTCACAGTGTTGAACCTATGTTTTGATTGAGCAGTTTGGAATCTCTCCTTTTGTAGAATCTGCAAGTGAATATTTGGAGCCCTATTTCGCCCTATACTGGAAAAGCAAATATCTTCAAATAAAAACTACACAGAGGCATTCAGAGAAACTTCTCTGTGATGAGTGCATTCATCACACAGAGTTGAACATTTGTTTAGATTTAGCAGTGTTGAGACAATCTTTCCGTAGAATCTTGAAGTGAATATTTGGAGGGCTTTGAGACCTGCTTTGGAGAAGGAGATATCTTCATATAAAAACTACACAGAAGCTTTCTGAGAAACACCCTTGTGAGGTGTGCATTGAAGTCACAGAGTTAAACCTATCTTTTGATTCAGCAGATTTGAATCTCTCTTTTTGCAGAATCTGCGAGTGGATATTTGGAGTGCTTGGAAGCCTGCTGTGGAAAATCAAATATCTTCACAAAAAAAACTACACAGAAGCATTCTGAGAAACTTCTTTGTGATGTGTGCATTGATCTCACAGAGTTGAAAGTTTATTTTGATTGAGCTGTTTTGAAACACTCTTTTTCTAGAATCTGCAAGTGGATAATTGGGGAGATTTGAGGCATATTGTGGAAAAGCAAATATCTTCATATAGAAACTATACAGAAACCTTCTGAGAAACATCTTTGTGATGTGTGCATTCAGCTCACAGAGCTGGACCTAACTTTTGAGTGACCAGTTTTGAATCTCTCTTTTTGTACAATATGCAAGTGGATATTTGGAGCGATTTGAGGCCTACATTTGAAAATCAAATATCTTCCCTTAAAAACTACACAGAAACATTCTCAGAAATTGTATGTCATGTGTGCTTTCCAATTACCAAGTTGAACCTATCTTGTGATTGAGCAGTTTTGAATCTCTCTTTTTGTGGAATCGGCAAGTGGATATTTTTAGCCCTTTGCGGACTGTGGTGGAAAAGGAATTATCTTCAAATCAATTCTACACAGAAGCATTCAGACAAACTTCTTTGTGATGAGTGCATTGGTCACACAGAATTGAACCTTCCCTTTGATTGAGCAATTCTGAAACACTCTTTTGGAGGGTCTGCAAGTGGATATTTTAGAGCTTTGGGACAACTGTGGAAAAGTAAATATCTTCACATAAAAACTACACGGAAGCATTCTGAGAAACTTCTTTGGAGGTGTGCATTCAACTCACAGAGTTGAACCTATCTTTTCATTGAGCAGTTTTGAATCTCTCATTTTGTAGACTCTGCTCGCAGATATTTGGAGAGCTTTGAGGCCTATTGTGGAAAAGGAAATATCTTCACATAAAAACACACAGAAGCACTCTGAGAAACTTCTTTGTGAGGTGTGCTTTCAACTCACAGAGTTGAACCTATCTTTTGATTGAGAAGTTTTGAATCTCTCTTTTTGTAGAAGCTGCATGTGGATATTTGGAGACGTTTGTGGCCTATGGTAGAAAAGGAAATATCTTCAAATAAAAACTAGACAGACGCATTTTGAGAAAATTCTCTGTGCTGTGTGCATTCATATCACATGGTTGAAACTACCTTTGGATTGAGCAGTTTTGAATCTCACTTTTTGTACCATCTGCAATGGATATTTGGAGCTCTTTCTGGTCTGTGGTGGAAAAGGAACTATCCTCAAATAGAAACTACACAGAAGTACTCTGAGAAACTTCTTTGTGATGTGTGCATTCATCTCACAGAGTTGAACCTTTGGTTTGATTGAGCAGTTTTGAGACAATCTTTCCATAGAATCTGGAAGTGAATATTTGGGGAACTTTGAGATCCATTTTGGAGAAGGAGATATCTTTATATAAAAACTACACAGAAGCATTCTGAGAAACATCCTTGTGAGGTGTGCACTGAAGTCACAGAGTTGAAACTGTCTTTTGATTCAGCAGTTTTGAATCTCTCTTTTTGCAGAATCTGTGAGTGGATATTTGGAGCGCTTTGAGGCCTACTGTGGAAAACCAAATATCTTCACATAAAAACTACACAGAAGCATCCTGAGAAACTTTTTTTGTGATGTGGTCTTTCAGCTAATGGAGTAGAAACTATCTTTTGATTGAGCAGTTTTGAATCTCTCTTTTTGCAGAATCTACGAGTGGATAATTGGAGAACTTTGAGGCGTACTGTGGAAAATCGAATATCTTCGCATAAAAACTACACAGAAGCATTCTGAGAAACTTCTCTGTCATACGTACATTCATCTCACAGGGTTGATCCTATTTCATGATTGAGCAGTTTTGGAACACTCTTTTTGTAGAATCTGCAAGTGAATATTTGGAGCTCCTTGGGGCCTACTGTGGAAAAACAAATATCTTCACATAAAAACTACACAGAAGCATTCTGAGAAACTACTTTGTGATGTGTGCATTCATCCCACAGAGTAGAACCTTTCTTTTGATTGAGCAGTTTCGAAACACTCTTTTGGTGGAATCTGCAAGTGGACATTTGGAAAGCTTTGAGGCCTATTGTGGAAAGGGAAATATCTTCAAATAAAAACCACCCAGAAGTACTCTGTGAAACTTCTTTGCGATGTATACATTCAACTCACAGTGTTGAACCTATGTTTTGATTGAGCAGTTTGGAATCTCTCTTTCTGTAGAATCTGCAAGTGAATATTTGGAGCCCTATTTCGCCCTATACTGGAAAAGCAATTATCTTCAAATAAAAACTGCACAGAAGCATTCAGAGAAACTTCTTTGAGATGAATGCATTCATGACACAGAGTTGAAACTTTGTTTTGATTTAGGAGTTTTGAGACAATCTTTCCGTAGAATCTTGAAGTGAATATTTGGAGGGCTTGGAGTTCTGTTTTAGAGAAGAAGATATCTTCATCAAAAACTACACAGAAGCTTTCTGAGAAACTTCTTTGTGATGTGTGCATTCAACTATCGGAGTTGAACCTATCTTATGATTGAGCAGTTTGGAAACACTCTTTGTAGAGTCTGCAAGTGGATATTTACAGAGATTTGAGGCCTATTGTGGAAAAGGAAGTATCTTCACATAAAAACCACACAGAAGCACTCTGAAAAACATCTTTGGGATGTGTGCATTCAACTAACCGTGTTGAAACAATGTTTTGATTGAGCAGCTTAGAATCTC
The DNA here is from genome assembly GCF_000001405.40 of Homo sapiens. Classification (NCBI taxonomy): domain Eukaryota; kingdom Metazoa; phylum Chordata; class Mammalia; order Primates; family Hominidae; genus Homo; species Homo sapiens. The sequence goes on from NC_000015.10 coordinate 18,003,886, forward strand.
TCTTTTTGTAGGAAATGCAAGTGGATATTTGGAGCCCCATTTCGCCCTATGGTGGAAAACGAAACATACTCACAAAAAAGCTGCAGAGAAGCATTCTGAGAAACTTCTTTGCGATGTTGGCATTCAACTCACAGAGTCGAATCTATCTTTTGATAGAGCAGTTTTGTATCTCTCTTTTTGCAGAATCTGCAAGTGGATATTTGGAAAGCTTTGAGGCCTATTGTGGAAAGGGAAATATCCTCAAATAAAAACTACCCAGAAGCACTCTGTGAAACTTCTTTGTGATGTGTGCATTCAACTCACAGTGTTGAACCTATGTTTTGATTGAGCAGTTTGGAATCTCTCCTTTTGTAGAATCTGCAAGTGAATATTTGGAGCCCTATTTCGCCCTATACTGGAAAAGCAAATATCTTCAAATAAAAACTACACAGAGGCATTCAGAGAAACTTCTCTGTGATGAGTGCATTCATCACACAGAGTTGAACATTTGTTTAGATTTAGCAGTGTTGAGACAATCTTTCCGTAGAATCTTGAAGTGAATATTTGGAGGGCTTTGAGACCTGCTTTGGAGAAGGAGATATCTTCATATAAAAACTACACAGAAGCTTTCTGAGAAACACCCTTGTGAGGTGTGCATTGAAGTCACAGAGTTAAACCTATCTTTTGATTCAGCAGATTTGAATCTCTCTTTTTGCAGAATCTGCGAGTGGATATTTGGAGTGCTTGGAAGCCTGCTGTGGAAAATCAAATATCTTCACAAAAAAAACTACACAGAAGCATTCTGAGAAACTCCTTTGTGATGTGTGCATTGATCTCACAGAGTTGAAAGTTTATTTTGATTGAGCTGTTTTGAAACACTCTTTTTCTAGAATCTGCAAGTGGATAATTGGGGAGATTTGAGGCATATTGTGGAAAAGCCAATATCTTCATATAGAAACTATACAGAAACCTTCTGAGAAACATCTTTGTGATGTGTGCATTCAGCTCACAGAGCTGGACCTAACTTTTGAGTGACCAGTTTTGAATCTCTCTTTTTGTACAATATGCAAGTGGATATTTGGAGCGATTTGAGGCCTACATTTGAAAATCAAATATCTTCCCTTAAAAACTACACAGAAACATTCTCAGAAATTGTTTGTCATGTGTGCTTTCCAATTACCAAGTTGAACCTATCTTGTGATTGAGCAGTTTTGAATCTCTCTTTTTGTGGAATCGGCAAGTGGATATTTTTAGCCCTTTGCGGACTGTGGTGGAAAAGGAATTATCTTCAAATCAATTCTACACAGAAGCATTCAGACAAACTTCTTTGTGATGAGTGCATTGGTCACACAGAATTGAACCTTCCCTTTGATTGAGCAATTCTGAAACACTCTTTTGGAGGGTCTGCAAGTGGATATTTTAGAGCTTTGGGACAACTGTGGAAAAGTAAATATCTTCACATAAAAACTACACGGAAGCATTCTGAGAAACTTCTTTGGAGGTGTGCATTCAACTCACAGAGTTGAACCTATCTTTTCATTGAGCAGTTTTGAATCTCTCATTTTGTAGACTCTGCTCGCAGATATTTGGAGAGCTTTGAGGCCTATTGTGGAAAAGGAAATATCTTCACATAAAAACACACAGAAGCACTCTGAGAAACTTCTTTGTGAGGTGTGCTTTCAACTCACAGAGTTGAACCTATCTTTTGATTGAGAAGTTTTGAATCTCTCTTTTTGTAGAAGCTGCATGTGGATATTTGGAGACGTTTGTGGCCTATGGTAGAAAAGGAAATATCTTCAAATAAAAACTAGACAGACGCATTTTGAGAAAATTCTCTGTGCTGTGTGCATTCATATCACATGGTTGAAACTACCTTTGGATTGAGCAGTTTTGAATCTCACTTTTTGTACCATCTGCAATGGATATTTGGAGCCCTTTCTGGTCTGTGGTGGAAAAGGAACTATCCTCAAATAGAAACTACACAGAAGTACTCTGAGAAACTTCTTTGTGATGTGGGCATTCATCTCACAGAGTTGAACCTTTGGTTTGATTGAGCAGTTTTGAGACAATCTTTCCATAGAATCTGGAAGTGAATATTTGGAGAACTTTGAGATGCATTTTGGAGAAGGAGATATCTTTATATGAAAACTACACAGAAGCATTCTGAGAAACATCCTTGTGAGGTGTGCACTGAAGTCACAGAGTTGAAACTGTCTTTTGATTCAGCAGTTTTGAATCTCTCTTTTTGCAGAATCTGTGAGTGGATATTTGGAGCGCTTTGAGGCCTACTGTGGAAAACCAAATATCTTCACATAAAAACTACACAGAAGCATCCTGAGAAACTTTTTTTGTGATGTGGTCTTTCAGCTAATGGAGTAGAAACTATCTTTTGATTGAGCAGTTTTGAATCTCTCTTTTTGCAGAATCTACGAGTGGATAATTGGAGAACTTTGAGGCGTACTGTGGAAAATCGAATATCTTCGCATAAAAACTACACAGAAGCATTCTGAGAAACTTCTCTGTCATACGTACATTCATCTCACAGGGTTGATCCTATTTCATGATTGAGCAGTTTTGGAACACTCTTTTTGTAGAATCTGCAAGTGAATATTTGGAGCTCTTTGGGGCCTACTGTGGAAAAACAAATATCTTCACATAAAAACTACACAGGAAGCATTCTGAGAAACTACTTTGTGATGTGTGCATTCATCCCACAGAGTAGAACCTTTCTTTTGATTGAGCAGTTTCGAAACACTCTTTTGGTGGAATCTGCAAGTGGACATTTGGAAAGCTTTGAGGCCTATTGTGGAAAGGGAAATATCTTCAAATAAAAACCACCCAGAAGTACTCTGTGAAACTTCTTTGCGATGTATGCATTCAACTCACAGTGTTGAACCTATGTTTTGATTGAGCAGTTTGGAATCTCTCTTTCTGTAGAATCTGCAAGTGAATATTTGGAGCCCTATTTCGCCCTATACTGGAAAAGCAATTATCTTCAAATAAAAACTGCACAGAAGCACTCAGAGAAACTTCTTTGTGATGAATGCATTCATCACACAGAGTTGAACCTTTGTTTTGATTTAGCAGTTTGAGACAATCTTTCCGTAGAATCTTGAAGTGAATATTTGGAGGGCTTGGAGTTCTGTTTTAGAGAAGAAGATATCTTCATCAAAAACTACACAGAAGCTTTCCGAGAAACTTCTTTGTGATGTGTGCATTCAACTATCGGAGTTGAACCTATCTTATGATTGAGGAGTTTGGAAACACTCTTTGTAGAGTCTGCAAGTGGATATTTACAGAGATTTGAGGCCTATTGTGGAAAAGGAAGTATCTTCACATAAAAACCACACAGAAGCACTCTGAAAAACATCTTTGGGATGTGTGCATTCAACTAACCGTGTTGAAACAATGTTTTGATTGAGCAGCTTAGAATCTCTCTTTTTGTAGGAAATGCAAGTGGATATTTGGAGCCCCATTTCGCCCTATGGTGGAAAACGAAACGTACTCACAAAAAAGCTGCAGAGAAGCATTCTGAGAAACTTCTTTGCGATGTTGGCATTCAACTCACAGAGTCGAATCTATCTTTTGATAGAGCAGTTTTGTATCTCTCTTTTTGCAGAATCTGCAAGTGGATATTTGGAAAGCTTTGAGGCCTATTGTGGAAAGGGAAATATCCTCAAATAAAAACTACCCAGAAGCACTCTGTGAAACTTCTTTGTGATGTGTGCATTCAACTCACAGTGTTGAACCTATGTTTTGATTGAGCAGTTTGGAATCTCTCCTTTTGTAGAATCTGCAAGTGAATATTTGGAGCCCTATTTCGCCCTATACTGGAAAAGCAAATATCTTCAAATAAAAACTACACAGGGCATTCAGAGAAACTTCTCTGTGATGAGTGCATTCATCACACAGAGTTGAACATTTGTTTAGATTTAGCAGTGTTGAGACAATCTTTCCGTAGAATTTTGAAGTGAATATTTGGAGGGCTTTGAGACCTGCTTTGGAGAAGGAGATATCTTCATATAAAAACTACACAGAAGCTTTCTGAGAAACACCCTTGTGAGGTGTGCATTGAAGTCACAGAGTTAAACCTATCTTTTGATTCAGCAGATTTGAATCTCTCTTTTTGCAGAATCTGCGAGTGGATATTTGGAGTGCTTGGAAGCCTGCTGTGGAAAATCAAATATCTTCACAAAAATAACTACACAGAAGCATTCTGAGAAACTTCTTTGTGATGTGTGCATTGATCTCACAGAGTTGAAAGTTTATTTTGATTGAGCTGTTTTGAAACACTCTTTTTCTAGAATCTGCAAGTGGATAATTGGGGAGATTTGAGGCATATTGTGGAAAAGCAAATATCTTCATATAAAAACTATACAGAAACCTTCTGAGAAACATCTTTGTGATGTGTGCATTCAGCTCACAGAGCTGGACCTAACTTTTGAGTGACCAGTTTTGAATCTCTCTTTTTGTACAATATGCAAGTGGATATTTGGAGCGATTTGAGGCCTACATTTGAAAATCAAATATCTTCCCTTAAAAACTACACAGAAACATTCTCAGAAATTGTTTGTCATGTGTGCTTTCCAATTACCAAGTTGAACCTATCTTGTGATTGAGCAGTTTTGAATCTCTCTTTTTGTGGAATCGGCAAGTGGATATTTTTAGCCCTTTGCGGACTGTGGTGGAAAAGGAATTATCTTCAAATCAATTCTACACAGAAGCATTCAGACAAACTTCTTTGTGATGAGTGCATTGGTCACACAGAATTGAACCTGCCCTTTGATTGAGCAATTCTGAAACACTCTTTTGGAGGGTCTGCAAGTGGACATTTTAGAGCTTTGGGACAACTGTGGAAAAGTAAATATCTTCACATAAAAACTACACGGAAGCATTCTGAGAAACTTCTTTGGAGGTGTGCATTCAACTCACAGAGTTGAACCTATCTTTTCATTGAGCAGTTTTGAATCTCTCATTTTGTAGACTCTGCTCGCAGATATTTGGAGAGCTTTGAGGCCTATTGTGGAAAAGGAAATATCTTCACATAAAAACACACCGAAGCACTCTGAGAAACTTCTTTGTGAGGTGTGCTTTCAACTCACAGAGTTGAACCTATCTTTTGATTGAGAAGTTTTGAATCTCTCTTTTTGTAGAAGCTGCATGTGGATATTTGGAGACGTTTGTGGCCTATGGTAGAAAAGGAAATATCTTCAAATAAAAACTAGACAGACGCATTTTGAGAAAATTCTCTGTGCTGTGTGCATTCATATCACATGGTTGAAACTACCTTTGGATTGAGCAGTTTTGAATCTCACTTTTTGTACCATCTGCAATGGATATTTGGAGCCCTTTCTGGTCTGTGGTGGAAAAGGAACTATCCTCAAATAGAAACTACACAGAAAGTACTCTGAGAAACTTCTTTGTGATGTGGGCATTCATCTCACAGAGTTGAACCTTTGGTTTGATTGAGCAGTTTTGAGACAATCTTTCCATAGAATCTGGAAGTGAATATTTGGAGAACTTTGAGATCCATTTTGGAGAAGGAGATATCTTTATATGAAAACTACACAGAAGCATTCTGAGAAACATCCTTGTGAGGTGTGCACTGAAGTCACAGAGTTGAAACTGTCTTTTGATTCAGCAGTTTTGAATCTCTCTTTTTGCAGAATCTGTGAGTGGATATTTGGAGCGCTTTGAGGCCTACTGTGGAAAACCAAATATCTTCACATAAAAACTACACAGAAGCATCCTGAGAAACTTTTTTTGTGATGTGGTCTTTCAGCTAATGGAGTAGAAACTATCTTTTGATTGAGCAGTTTTGAATCTCTCTTTTTGCAGAATCTACGAGTGGATAATTGGAGAACTTTGAGGCGTACTGTGGAAAATCGAATATCTTCGCATAAAAACTACACAGAAGCATTCTGAGAAACTTCTCTGTCATACGTACATTCATCTCACAGAGTTGATCCTATTTCATGATTGAGCAGTTTTGGAACACTCTTTTTGTAGAATCTGCAAGTGAATATTTGGAGCTCTTTGGGGCCTACTGTGGAAAAACAAATATCTTCACATAAAAACTACACAGAAGCATTCTGAGAAACTACTTTGTGATGTGTGCATTCATCCCACAGAGTAGAACCTTTCTTTTGATTGAGCAGTTTCGAAACACTCTTTTGGTGGAATCTGCAAGTGGACATTTGGAAAGCTTTGAGGCCTATTGTGGAAAGGGAAATATCTTCAAATAAAAACCACCCAGAAGTACTCTGTGAAACTTCTTTGCGATGTATGCATTCAACTCACAGTGTTGAACCTATGTTTTGATTGAGCAGTTTGGAATCTCTCTTTCTGTAGAATCTGCAAGTGAATATTTGGAGCCCTATTTCGCCCTATACTGGAAAAGCAATTATCTTCAAATAAAAACTGCACAGAAGCACTCAGAGAAACTTCTTTGTGATGAATGCATTCATCACACAGAGTTGAACCTTTGTTTTGATTTAGCAGTTTGAGACAATCTTTCCGTAGAATCTTGAAGTGAATATTTGGAGGGCTTGGAGTTCTGTTTTAGAGAAGAAGATATCTTCATCAAAAACTACACAGAAGCTTTCTGAGAAACTTCTTTGTGATGTGTGCATTCAACTATCGGAGTTGAACCTATCTTATGATTGAGCAGTTTGGAAACACTCTTTGTAGAGTCTGCAAGTGGATATTTACAGAGATTTGAGGCCTATTGTGGAAAAGGAAGTATCTTCACATAAAAACCACACAGAAGCACTCTGAAAAACGTCTTTGGGATGTGTGCATTCAACTAACCGTGTTGAAACAATGTTTTGATTGAGCAGCTTAGAATCTCTCTTTTTGTAGGAAATGCAAGTGGATATTTGGAGCCCCATTTCGCCCTATGGTGGAAAACGAAACATACTCACAAAAAAGCTGCAGAGAAGCATTCTGAGAAACTTCTTTGCGATGTTGGCATTCAACTCACAGAGTCGAATCTATCTTTTGATAGAGCAGTTTTGTATCTCTCTTTTTGCAGAATCTGCAAGTGGATATTTGGAAAGCTTTGAGGCCTATTGTGGAAAGGGAAATATCCTCAAATAAAAACTACCCAGAAGCACTCTGTGAAACTTCTTTGTGATGTGTGCATTCAACTCACAGCGTTGAACCTATGTTTTGATTGAGCAGTTTGGAATCTCTCCTTTTGTAGAATCTGCAAGTGAATATTTGGAGCCCTATTTCGCCCTATACTGGAAAAGCAAATATCTTCAAATAAAAACTACACAGAGGCATTCAGAGAAACTTCTCTGTGATGAGTGCATTCATCACACAGAGTTGAACATTTGTTTAGATTTAGCAGTGTTGAGACAATCTTTCCGTAGAATCTTGAAGTGAATATTTGGAGGGCTTTGAGACCTGCTTTGGAGAAGGAGATATCTTCATATAAAAACTACACAGAAGCTTTCTGAGTAAACACCCTTGTGAGGTGTGCATTGAAGTCACCGAGTTAAACCTATCTTTTGATTCAGCAGATTTGAATCTCTCTTTTTGCAGAATCTGCGAGTGGATATTTGGAGTGCTTGGAAGCCTGCTGTGGAAAATCAAATATCTTCACAAAAAAAACTACACAGAAGCATTCTGAGAAACTCCTTTGTGATGTGTGCATTGATCTCACAGAGTTGAAAGTTTATTTTGATTGAGCTGTTTTGAAACACTCTTTTTCTAGAATCTGCAAGTGGATAATTGGGGAGATTTGAGGCATATTGTGGAAAAGCAAATATCTTCATATAAAAACTATACAGAAACCTTCTGAGAAACATCTTTGTGATGTGTGCATTCAGCTCACAGAGCTGGACCTAACTTTTGAGTGACCAGTTTTGAATCTCTCTTTTTGTACAATATGCAAGTGGATATTTGGAGCGATTTGAGGCCTACATTTGAAAATCAAATATCTTCCCTTAAAAACTACACAGAAACATTCTCAGAAATTGTTTGTCATGTGTGCTTTCCAATTACCAAGTTGAACCTATCTTGTGATTGAGCAGTTTTGAATCTCTCTTTTTGTGGAATCGGCAAGTGGATATTTTTAGCCCTTTGCGGACTGTGGTGGAAAAGGAATTATCTTCAAATCAATTCTACACAGAAGCATTCAGACAAACTTCTTTGTGATGAGTGCATTGGTCACACAGAATTGAACCTTCCCTTTGATTGAGCAATTCTGAAACACTCTTTTGGAGGGTCTGCAAGTGGATATTTTAGAGCTTTGGGACAACTGTGGAAAAGTAAATATCTTCACATAAAAACTACACGGAAGCATTCTGAGAAACTTCTTTGGAGGTGTGCATTCAACTCACAGAGTTGAACCTATCTTTTCATTGAGCAGTTTTGAATCTCTCATTTTGTAGACTCTGCTCGCAGATATTTGGAGAGCTTTGAGGCCTATTGTGGAAAAGGAAATATCTTCACATAAAAACACACAGAAGCACTCTGAGAAACTTCTTTGTGAGGTGTGCTTTCAACTCACAGAGTTGAACCTATCTTTTGATTGAGAAGTTTTGAATCTCTCTTTTTGTAGAAGCTGCATGTGGATATTTGGAGACGTTTGTGGCCTATGGTAGAAAAGGAAATATCTTCAAATAAAAACTAGACAGACGCATTTTGAGAAAATTCTCTGTGCTGTGTGCATTCATATCACATGGTTGAAACTACCTTTGGATTGAGCAGTTTTGAATCTCACTTTTTGTACCATCTGCAATGGATATTTGGAGCCCTTTCTGGTCTGTGGTGGAAAAGGAACTATCCTCAAATAGAAACTACACAGAAGTACTCTGAGAAACTTCTTTGTGATGTGTGCATTCATCTCACAGAGTTGAACCTTTGGTTTGATTGAGCAGTTTTGAGACAATCTTTCCATAGAATCTGGAAGTGAATATTTGGAGAACTTTGAGATCCATTTTGGAGAAGGAGATATCTTTATATAAAAACTACACAGAAGCATTCTGAGAAACATCCTTGTGAGGTGTGCACTGAAGTCACAGAGTTGAAACTGTCTTTTGATTCAGCAGTTTTGAATCTCTCTTTTTGCAGAATCTGTGAGTGGATATTTGGAGCGCTTTGAGGCCTACTGTGGAAAACCAAATATCTTCACATAAAAACTACACAGAAGCATCCTGAGAAACTTTTTTTGTGATGTGGTCTTTCAGCTAATGGAGTAGAAACTATCTTTTGATTGAGCAGTTTTGAATCTCTCTTTTTGCAGAATCTACGAGTAGATAATTGGAGAACTTTGAGGCGTACTGTGGAAAACCGAATATCTTCGCATAAAAACTACACTGAAGCATTCTGAGAAACTTCTCTGTCATACGTACATTCATCTCACAGAGTTGATCCTATTTCATGATTGAGCAGTTTTGGAACACTCTTTTTGTAGAATCTGCAAGTGAATATTTGGAGCTCTTTGGGGCCTACTGTGGAAAAACAAATATCTTCACATAAAAACTACACAGAAGCATTCTGAGAAACTACTTTGTGATGTGTGCATTCATCCCACAGAGTAGAACCTTTCTTTTGATTGAGCAGTTTCGAAACACTCTTTTGGTGGAATCTGCAAGTGGACATTTGGAAAGCTTTGAGGCCTATTGTGGAAAGGGAAATATCTTCAAATAAAAACCACCCAGAAGTACTCTGTGAAACTTCTTTGCGATGTATGCATTCAACTCACAGTGTTGAACCTATGTTTTGATTGAGCAGTTTGGAATCTCTCTTTCTGTAGAACCTGCAAGTGAATATTTGGAGCCCTATTTCGCCCTATACTGGAAAAGCAATTATCTTCAAATAAAAACTGCACAGAAGCATTCAGAGAAACTTCTTTGAGATGAATGCATTCATGACACAGAGTTGAAACTTTGTTTTGATTTAGGAGTTTTGAGGCAATCTTTCCGTAGAATCTTGAAGTGAATATTTGGAGGGCTTGGAGTTCTGTTTTAGAGAAGAAGATATCTTCATCAAAAACTACACAGAAGCTTTCTGAGAAACTTCTTTGTGATGTGTGCATTCAACTATCGGAGTTGAACCTATCTTATGATTGAGCAGTTTGGAAACACTCTTTGTAGAGTCTGCAAGTGGATATTTACAGAGATTTGAGGCCTATTGTGGAAAAGGAAGTATCTTCACATAAAAACCACACAGAAGCACTCTGAAAAACATCTTTGGGATGTGTGCATTCAACTAACCGTGTTGAAACAATGTTTTGATTGAGCAGCTTAGAATCTCTCTTTTTGTAGGAAATGCAAGTGGATATTTGGAGCCCCATTTCGCCCTATGGTGGAAAACGAAACATACTCACAAAAAAGCTGCAGAGAAGCATTCTGAGAAACTTCTTTGCGATGTTGGCATTCAACTCACAGAGTCGAATCTATCTTTTGATAGAGCAGTTTTGTATCTCTCTTTTTGCAGAATCTGCAAGTGGATATTTGGAAAGCTTTGAGGCCTATTGTGGAAAGGGAAATATCCTCAAATAAAAACTACCCAGAAGCACTCTGTGAAACTTCTTTGTGATGTGTGCATTCAACTCACAGTGTTGAACCTATGTTTTGATTGAGCAGTTTGGAATCTCTCCTTTTGTAGAATCTGCAAGTGAATATTTGGAGCCCTATTTCGCCCTATACTGGAAAAGCAAATATCTTCAAATAAAAACTACACAGAGGCATTCAGAGAAACTTCTCTGTGATGAGTGCATTCATCACACAGAGTTGAACATTTGTTTAGATTTAGCAGTGTTGAGACAATCTTTCCGTAGAATCTTGAAGTGAATATTTGGAGGGCTTTGAGACCTGCTTTGGAGAAGGAGATATCTTCATATAAAAGCTACACAGAAGCTTTCTGAGAAACACCCTTGTGAGGTGTGCATTGAAGTCACAGAGTTAAACCTATCTTTTGATTCAGCAGATTTGAATCTCTCTTTTTGCAGAATCTGCGAGTGGATATTTGGAGTGCTTGGAAGCCTGCTGTGGAAAATCAAATATCTTCACAAAAAAAACTACACAGAAGCATTCTGAGAAACTTCTTTGTGATGTGTGCATTGATCTCACAGAGTTGAAAGTTTATTTTGATTGAGCTGTTTTGAAACACTCTTTTTCTAGAATCTGCAAGTGGATAATTGGGGAGATTTGAGGCATATTGTGGAAAAGCCAATATCTTCATATAGAAACTATACAGAAACCTTCTGAGAAACATCTTTGTGATGTGTGCATTCAGCTCACAGAGCTGGACCTAACTTTTGAGTGACCAGTTTTGAATCTCTCTTTTTGTACAATATGCAAGTGGATATTTGGAGCGATTTGAGGCCTACATTTGAAAATCAAATATCTTCCCTTAAAAACTACACAGAAACATTCTCAGAAATTGTTTGTCATGTGTGCTTTCCAATTACCAAGTTGAACCTATCTTGTGATTGAGCAGTTTTGAATCTCTCTTTTTGTGGAATCGGCAAGTGGATATTTTTAGCCCTTTGCGGACTGTGGTGGAAAAGGAATTATCTTCAAATCAATTCTACACAGAAGCATTCAGACAAACTTCTTTGTGATGAGTGCATTGGTCACACAGAATTGAACCTTCCCTTTGATTGAGCAATTCTGAAACACTCTTTTGGAGGGTCTGCAAGTGGATATTTTAGAGCTTTGGGACAACTGTGGAAAAGTAAATATCTTCACATAAAAACTACACGGAAGCATTCTGAGAAACTTCTTTGGAGGTGTGCATTCAACTCACAGAGTTGAACCTATCTTTTCATTGAGCAGTTTTGAATCTCTCATTTTGTAGACTCTGCTCGCAGATATTTGGAGAGCTTTGAGGCCTATTGTGGAAAAGGAAATATCTTCACATAAAAACACACAGAAGCACTCTGAGAAACTTCTTTGTGAGGTGTGCTTTCAACTCACAGAGTTGAACCTATCTTTTGATTGAGAAGTTTTGAATCTCTCTTTTTGTAGAAGCTGCATGTGGATATTTGGAGACGTTTGTGGCCTATGGTAGAAAAGAAAATATCTTCAAATAAAAACTAGACAGACGCATTTTGAGAAAATTCTCTGTGCTGTGTGCATTCATATCACATGGTTGAAACTACCTTTGGATTGAGCAGTTTTGAATCTCACTTTTTGTACCATCTGCAATGGATATTTGGAGCCCTTTCTGGTCTGTGGTGGAAAAGGAACTATCCTCAAATAGAAACTACACAGAAGTACTCTGAGAAACTTCTTTGTGATGTGGGCATTCATCTCACAGAGTTGAACCTTTGGTTTGATTGAGCAGTTTTGAGACAATCTTTCCATAGAATCTGGAAGTGAATATTTGGAGAACTTTGAGATCCATTTTGGAGAAGGAGATATCTTTTTATAAAAACTACACAGAAGCATTCTGAGAAACATCCTTGTGAGGTGTGCACTGAAGTCACAGAGTTGAAACTGTCTTTTGATTCAGCAGTTTTGAATCTCTCTTTTTGCAGAATCTGTGAGTGGATATTTGGAGCGCTTTGAGGCCTACTGTGGAAAACCAAATATCTTCACATAAAAACTACACAGAAGCATCCTGAGAAACTTTTTTTGTGATGTGGTCTTTCAGCTAATGGAGTAGAAACTATCTTTTGATTGAGCAGTTTTGAATCTCTCTTTTTGCAGAATCTACGAGTGGATAATTGGAGAACTTTGAGGCGTACTGTGGAAAATCGAATATCTTCGCATAAAAACTACACAGAAGCATTCTGAGAAACTTCTCTGTCATACGTACATTCATCTCACAGGGTTGATCCTATTTCATGATTGAGCAGTTTTGGAACACTCTTTTTGTAGAATCTGCAAGTGAATATTTGGAGCTCTTTGGGGCCTACTGTGGAAAAACAAATATCTTCACATAAAAACTACACAGAAGCATTCTGAGAAACTACTTTGTGATGTGTGCATTCATCCCACAGAGTAGAACCTTTCTTTTGATTGAGCAGTTTCGAAACACTCTTTTGGTGGAATCTGCAAGTGGACATTTGGAAAGCTTTGAGGCCTATTGTGGAAAGGGAAATATCTTCAAATAAAAACCACCCAGAAGTACTCTGTGAAACTTCTTTGCGATGTATGCATTCAACTCACAGTGTTGAATCTATGTTTTGATTGAGCAGTTTGGAATCTCTCTTTCTGTAGAATCTGCAAGTGAATATTTGGAGCCCTATTTCGCCCTATACTGGAAAAGCAATTATCTTCAAATAAAAACTGCACAGAAGCACTCAGTGTAAACTTCTTTGAGATGAATGCATTCATGACACAGAGTTGAAACTTTGTTTTGATTTAGGAGTTTTGAGACAATCTTTCCGTAGAATCTTGAAGTGAATATTTGGAGGGCTTGGAGTTCTGTTTTAGAGAAGAAGATATCTTCATCAAAAACTACACAGAAGCTTTCTGAGAAACTTCTTTGTGATGTGTGCATTCAACTATCGGAGTTGAACCTATCTTATGATTGAGGAGTTTGGAAACACTCTTTGTAGAGTCTGCAAGTGGATATTTACAGAGATTTGAGGCCTATTGTGGAAAAGGAAGTATCTTCACATAAAAACCACACAGAAGCACTCTGAAAAACATCTTTGGGATGTGTGCATTCAACTAACCGTGTTGAAACAATGTTTTGATTGAGCAGCTTAGAATCTCTCTTTTTGTAGGAAATGCAAGTGGATATTTGGAGCCCCATTTCGCCCTATGGTGGAAAACGAAACATACTCACAAAAAAGCTGCAGAGAAGCATTCTGAGAAACTTCTTTGCGATGTTGGCATTCAACTCACAGAGTCGAATCTATCTTTTGATAGAGCAGTTTTGTATCTCTCTTTTTGCAGAATCTGCAAGTGGATATTTGGAAAGCTTTGAGGCCTATTGTGGAAAGGGAAATATCCTCAAATAAAAACTACCCAGAAGCACTCTGTGAAACTTCTTTGTGATGTGTGCATTCAACTCACAGTGTTGAACCTATGTTTTGATTGAGCAGTTTGGAATCTCTCCTTTTGTAGAATCTGCAAGTGAATATTTGGAGCCCTATTTCGCCCTATACTGGAAAAGCAAATATCTTCAAATAAAAACTACACAGAGGCATTCAGAGAAACTTCTCTGTGATGAGTGCATTCATCACACAGAGTTGAACATTTGTTTAGATTTAGCAGTGTTGAGACAATCTTTCCGTAGAATCTTGAAGTGAATATTTGGAGGGCTTTGAGACCTGCTTTGGAGAAGGAGATATCTTCATATAAAAACTACACAGAAGCTTTCTGAGAAACACCCTTGTGAGGTGTGCATTGAAGTCACAGAGTTAAACCTATCTTTTGATTCAGCAGATTTGAATCTCTCTTTTTGCAGAATCTGCGAGTGGATATTTGGAGTGCTTGGAAGCCTGCTGTGGAAAATCAAATATCTTCACAAAAAAAACTACACAGAAGCATTCTGAGAAACTTCTTTGTGATGTGTGCATTGATCTCACAGAGTTGAAAGTTTATTTTGATTGAGCTGTTTTGAAACACTCTTTTTCTAGAATCTGCAAGTGGATAATTGGGGAGATTTGAGGCATATTGTGGAAAGGCCAATATCTTCATATAGAAACTATACAGAAACCATCTGAGAAACATCTTTGTGATGTGTGCATTCAGCTCACAGAGCTGGACCTAACTTTTGAGTGACCAGTTTTGAATCTCTCTTTTTGTACAATATGCAAGTGGATATTTGGAGCGATTTGAGGCCTACATTTGAAAATCAAATATCTTCCCTTAAAAACTACACAGAAACATTCTCAGAAATTGTTTGTCATGTGTGCTTTCCAATTACCAAGTTGAACCTATCTTGTGATTGAGCAGTTTTGAATCTCTCTTTTTGTGGAATCGGCAAGTGGATATTTTTAGCCCTTTGCGGACTGTGGTGGAAAAGGAATTATCTTCAAATCAATTCTACACAGAAGCATTCAGACAAACTTCTTTGTGATGAGTGCATTGGTCACACAGAATTGAACCTTCCCTTTGATTGAGCAATTCTGAAACACTCTTTTGGAGGGTCTGCAAGTGGATATTTTAGAGCTTTGGGACAACTGTGGAAAAGTAAATATCTTCACATAAAAACTACACGGAAGCATTCTGAGAAACTTCTTTGGAGGTGTGCATTCAACTCACAGAGTTGAACCTATCTTTTCATTGAGCAGTTTTGAATCTCTCATTTTGTAGACTCTGCTCGCAGATATTTGGAGAGCTTTGAGGCCTATTGTGGAAAAGGAAATATCTTCACATAAAAACACACAGAAGCACTCTGAGAAACTTCTCTGTGAGGTGTGCTTTCAACTCACAGAGTTGAACCTATCTTTTGATTGAGAAGTTTTGAATCTCTCTTTTTGTAGAAGCTGCATGTGGATATTTGGAGACGTTTGTGGCCTATGGTAGAAAAGGAAATATCTTCAAATAAAAACTAGGCAGACGCATTTTGAGAAAATTCTCTGTGCTGTGTGCATTCATATCACATGGTTGAAACTACCTTTGGATTGAGCAGTTTTGAATCTCACTTTTTGTACCATCTGCAATGGATATTTGGAGCCCTTTCTGGTCTGTGGTGGAAAAGGAACTATCCTCAAATAGAAACTACACAGAAGTACTCTGAGAAACTTCTTTGTGATGTGTGCATTCATCTCACAGAGTTGAACCTTTGGTTTGATTGAGCAGTTTTGAGACAATCTTTCCATAGAATCTGGAAGTGAATATTTGGAGAACTTTGAGATCCATTTTGGAGAAGGAGATATCTTTATATAAAAACTACACAGAAGCATTCTGAGAAACATCCTTGTGAGGTGTGCACTGAAGTCACAGAGTTGAAACTGTCTTTTGATTCAGCAGTTTTGAATCTCTCTTTTTGCAGAATCTGTGAGTGGATATTTGGAGCGCTTTGAGGCCTACTGTGGAAAACCAAATATCTTCACATAAAAACTACACAGAAGCATCCTGAGAAACTTTTTTTGTGATGTGGTCTTTCAGCTAATGGAGTAGAAACTATCTTTTGATTGAGCAGTTTTGAATCTCTCTTTTTGCAGAATCTACGAGTGGATAATTGGAGAACTTTGAGGCGTACTGTGGAAAATCGAATATCTTCGCATAAAAACTACACAGAAGCATTCTGAGAAACTTCTCTGTCATACGTACATTCATCTCACAGGGTTGATCCTATTTCATGATTGAGCAGTTCTGGAACACTCTTTTTGTAGAATCTGCAAGTGAATATTTGGAGCTCTTTGGGGCCTACTGTGGAAAAACAAATATCTTCACATAAAAACTACACAGAAGCATTCTGAGAAACTACTTTGTGATGTGTGCATTCATCCCACAGAGTAGAACCTTTCTTTTGATTGAGCAGGTTCGAAACACTCTTTTGGTGGAATCTGCAAGTGGACATTTGGAAAGCTTTGAGGCCTATTGTGGAAAGGGAAATATCTTCAAATAAAAACCACCCAGAAGTACTCTGTGAAACTTCTTTGCGATGTATGCATTCAACTCACAGTGTTGAACCTATGTTTTGATTGAGCAGTTTGGAATCTCTCTTTCTGTAGAATCTGCAAGTGAATATTTGGAGCCCTATTTCGCCCTATACTGGAAAAGCAATTATCTTCAAATAAAAACTGCACAGAAGCATTCAGAGAAACTTCTTTGAGATGAATGCATTCATGACACAGAGTTGAAACTTTGTTTTGATTTAGGAGTTTTGAGACAATCTTTCCGTAGAATCTTGAAGTGAATATTTGGAGGGCTTGGAGTGCTGTTTTAGGGAAGAAGATATCTTCATCAAAAACTACACAGAAGCTTTCTGAGAAACTTCTTTGTGATGTGTGCATTCAACTATCGGAGTTGAACCTATCTTATGATTGAGCAGTTTGGAAACACTCTTTGTGGAGTCTGCAAGTGGATATTTACAGAGATTTGAGGCCTATTGTGGAAAAGGAAGTATCTTCACATAAAAACCACACAGAAGCACTCTGAAAAACACCTTTGGGATGTGTGCATTCAACTAACCGTGTTGAAACAATGTTTTGATTGAGCAGCTTAGAATCTCTCTTTTTGTAGGAAATGCAAGTGGATATTTGGAGCCCCATTTCGCCCTATGGTGGAAAACGAAACATACTCACAAAAAAGCTGCAGAGAAGCATTCTGAGAAACTTCTTTGCGATGTTGGCATTCAACTCACAGAGTCGAATCTATCTTTTGATAGAGCAGTTTTGTATCTCTCTTTTTGCAGAATCTGCAAGTGGATATTTGGAAAGCTTTGAGGCCTATTGTGGAAAGGGAAATATCCTCAAATAAAAACTACCCAGAAGCACTCTGTGAAACTTCTTTGTGATGTGTGCATTCAACTCACAGTGTTGAACCTATGTTTTGATTGAGCAGTTTGGAATCTCTCCTTTTGTAGAATCTGCAAGTGAATATTTGGAGCCCTATTTCGCCCTATACTGGAAAAGCAAATATCTTCAAATAAAAACTACACAGAGGCCTTCAGAGAAACTTCTCTGTGATGAGTGCATTCATCACACAGAGTTGAACATTTGTTTAGATTTAGCAGTGTTGAGACAATCTTTCCGTAGAATCTTGAAGTGAATATTTGGAGGGCTTTGAGACCTGCTTTGGAGAAGGAGATATCTTCATATAAAAACTACACAGAAGCTTTCTGAGAAACACCCTTGAGAGGTGTGCATTGAAGTCACAGAGTTAAACCTATCTTTTGATTCAGCAGATTTGAATCTCTCTTTTTGCAGAATCTGCGAGTGGATATTTGGAGTGCTTGGAAGCCTGCTGTGGAAAATCAAATATCTTCACAAAAAAAAACTACACAGAAGCATTCTGAGAAACTTCTTTGTGATGTGTGCATTGATCTCACAGAGTTGAAAGTTTATTTTGATTGAGCTGTTTTGAAACACTCTTTTTCTAGAATCTGCAAGTGGATAATTGGGGAGATTTGAGGCATATTGTGGAAAAGCAAATATCTTCATATAGAAACTATACAGAAACCTTCTGAGAAACATCTTTGTGATGTGTGCATTCAGCTCACAGAGCTGGACCTAACTTTTGAGTGACCAGTTTTGAATCTCTCTTTTTGTACAATATGCAAGTGGATATTTGGAGCGATTTGAGGCCTACATTTGAAAATCAAATATCTTCCCTTAAAAACTACACAGAAACATTCTCAGAAATTGTTTGTCATGTGTGCTTTCCAATTACCAAGTTGAACCTATCTTGTGATTGAGCAGTTTTGAATCTCTCTTTTTGTGGAATCGGCAAGTGGATATTTTTAGCCCTTTGCGGACTGTGGTGGAAAAGGAATTATCTTCAAATCAATTCTACACAGAAGCATTCAGACAAACTTCTTTGTGATGAGTGCATTGGTCACACAGAATTGAACCTTCCCTTTGATTGAGCAATTCTGAAACACTCTTTTGGAGGGTCTGCAAGTGGATATTTTAGAGCTTTGGGACAACTGTGGAAAAGTAAATATCTTCACATAAAAACTACACGGAAGCATTCTGAGAAACTTCTTTGGAGGTGTGCATTCAACTCACAGAGTTGAACCTATCTTTTCATTGAGCAGTTTTGAATCTCTCATTTTGTAGACTCTGCTCGCAGATATTTGGAGAGCTTTGAGGCCTATTGTGGAAAAGGAAATATCTTCACATAAAAACACACCGAAGCACTCTGAGAAACTTCTTTGTGAGGTGTGCTTTCAACTCACAGAGTTGAACCTATCTTTTGATTGAGAAGTTTTGAATCTCTCTTTTTGTAGAAGCTGCATGTGGATATTTGGAGACGTTTGTGGCCTATGGTAGAAAAGGAAATATCTTCAAATAAAAACTAGACAGACGCATTTTGAGAAAATTCTCTGTGCTGTGTGCATTCATATCACATGGTTGAAACTACCTTTGGATTGAGCAGTTTTGAATCTCACTTTTTGTACCATCTGCAATGGATATTTGGAGCCCTTTCTGGTCTGTGGTGGAAAAGGAACTATCCTCAAATAGAAACTACACAGAAGTACTCTGAGAAACTTCTTTGTGATGTGGACATTCATCTCACAGAGTTGAACCTTTGGTTTGATTGAGCAGTTTTGAGACAATCTTTCCATAGAATCTGGAAGTGAATATTTGGAGAACTTTGAGATCCATTTTGGAGAAGGAGATATCTTTATATGAAAACTACACAGAAGCATTCTGAGAAACATCCTTGTGAGGTGTGCACTGAAGTCACAGAGTTGAAACTGTCTTTTGATTCAGCAGTTTTGAATCTCTCTTTTTGCAGAATCTGTGAGTGGATATTTGGAGCGCTTTGAGGCCTACTGTGGAAAACCAAATATCTTCACATAAAAACTACACAGAAGCATCCTGAGAAACTTTTTTTGTGATGTGGTCTTTCAGCTAATGGAGTAGAAACTATCTTTTGATTGAGCAGTTTTGAATCTCTCTTTTTGCAGAATCTACGAGTGGATAATTGGAGAACTTTGAGGCGTACTGTGGAAAATCGAATATCTTCACATAAAAACTACACAGAAGCATTCTGAGAAACTTCTCTGTCATACGTACATTCATCTCACAGGGTTGATCCTATTTCATGATTGAGCAGTTTTGGAACACTCTTTTTGTAGAATCTGCAAGTGAATATTTGGAGCTCTTTGGGGCCTACTGTGGAAAAACAAATATCTTCACATAAAAACTACACAGAAGCATTCTGAGAAACTACTTTGTGATGTGTGCATTCATCCCACAGAGTAGAAACTTACTTTTGATTGAGCAGTTTCGAAACACTCTTTTGGTGGAATCTGCAAGTGGACATTTGGAAAGCTTTGAGGCCTATTGTGGAAAGGGAAATATCTTCAAATAAAAACCACCCAGAAGTACTCTGTGAAACTTCTTTGCGATGTATGCATTCAACTCACAGTGTTGAACCTATGTTTTGATTGAGCAGTTTGGAATCTCTCTTTCTGTAGAATCTGCAAGTGAATATTTGGAGCCCTATTTCGCCCTATACTGGAAAAGCAATTATCTTCAAATAAAAACTGCACAGAAGCACTCAGAGAAACTTCTTTGTGATGAATGCATTCATCACACAGAGTTGAACCTTTGTTTTGATTTAGCAGTTTGAGACAATCTTTCCGTAGAATCTTGAAGTGAATATTTGGAGGGCTTGGAGTTCTGTTTTAGAGAAGAAGATATCTTCATCAAAAACTACACAGAAAGCTTTCTGAGAAACTTCTTTGTGATATGTGCATTCAACTATCGGAGTTGAACCTATCTTATGATTGAGCAGTTTGGAAACACTCTTTGTGGAGTCTGCAAGTGGATATTTACAGAGATTTGAGGCCTATTGTGGAAAAGGAAGTATCTTCACATAAAAACCACACAGAAGCACTCTGAAAAACATCTTTGGGATGTGTGCATTCAACTAACCGTGTTGAAACAATGTTTTGATTGAGCAGCTTAGAATCTCTCTTTTTGTAGGAAATGCAAGTGGATATTTGGAGCCCCATTTCGCCCTATGGTGGAAAACGAAACATACTCACAAAAAAGCTGCAGAGAAGCATTCTGAGAAACTTCTTTGCGATGTTGGCATTCAACTCACAGAGTCGAATCTATCTTTTGATAGAGCAGTTTTGTATCTCTCTTTTTGCAGAATCTGCAAGTGGATATTTGGAAAGCTTTGAGGCCTATTGTGGAAAGGGAAATATCCTCAAATAAAAACTACCCAGAAGCACTCTGTGAAACTTCTTTGTGATGTGTGCATTCAACTCACAGTGTTGAACCTATGTTTTGATTGAGCAGTTTGGAATCTCTCCTTTTGTAGAATCTGCAAGTGAATATTTGGAGCCCTATTTCGCCCTATACTGGAAAAGCAAATTCTTCAAATAAAAACTACACAGAGGCATTCAGAGAAACTTCTCTGTGATGAGTGCATTCATCACACAGAGTTGAACATTTGTTTAGATTTAGCAGTGTTGAGACAATCTTTCCGTAGAATCTTGAAGTGAATATTTGGAGGGCTTTGAGACCTGCTTTGGAGAAGGAGATATCTTCATATAAAAACTACACAGAAGCTTTCTGAGAAACACACTTGTGAGGTGTGCATTGAAGTCACAGAGTTAAACCTATCTTTTGATTCAGCAGATTTGAATCTCTCTTTTTGCAGAATCTGCGAGTGGATATTTGGAGTGCTTGGAAGCCTGCTGTGGAAAATCAAATATCTTCACAAAAAAAACTACACAGAAGCATTCTGAGAAACTTCTTTGTGATGTGTGCATTGATCTCACAGAGTTGAAAGTTTATTTTGATTGAGCTGTTTTGAAACACTCTTTTTCTAGAATCTGCAAGTGGATAATTGGGGAGATTTGAGGCATATTGTGGAAAAGCAAATATCTTCATATAAAAACTATACAGAAACCTTCTGAGAAACATCTTTGTGATGTGTGCATTCAGCTCACAGAGCTGGACCTAACTTTTGAGTGACCAGTTTTGAATCTCTCTTTTTGTACAATATGCAAGTGGATATTTGGAGCGATTTGAGGCCTACATTTGAAAATCAAATATCTTCCCTTAAAAACTACACAGAAACATTCTCAGAAATTGTTTGTCATGTGTGCTTTCCAATTACCAAGTTGAACCTATCTTGTGATTGAGCAGTTTTGAATCTCTCTTTTTGTGGAATCGGCAAGTGGATATTTTTAGCCCTTTGCGGACTGTGGTGGAAAAGGAATTATCTTCAAATCAATTCTACACAGAAGCATTCAGACAAACTTCTTTGTGATGAGTGCATTGGTCACACAGAATTGAACCTTCCCTTTGATTGAGCAATTCTGAAACACTCTTTTGGAGGGTCTGCAAGTGGATATTTTAGAGCTTTGGGACAACTGTGGAAAAGTAAATATCTTCACATAAAAACTACACGGAAGCATTCTGAGAAACTTCTTTGGAGGTGTGCATTCAACTCACAGAGTTGAACCTATCTTTTCATTGAGCAGTTTTGAATCTCTCATTTTGTAGACTCTGCTCGCAGATATTTGGAGAGCTTTGAGGCCTATTGTGGAAAAGGAAATATCTTCACATAAAAACACACAGAAGCACTCTGAGAAACTTCTTTGTGAGGTGTGCTTTCAACTCACAGAGTTGAACCTATCTTTTGATTGAGAAGTTTTGAATCTCTCTTTTTGTAGAAGCTGCATGTGGATATTTGGAGACGTTTGTGGCCTATGGTAGAAAAGGAAATATCTTCAAATAAAAACTAGACAGACGCATTTTGAGAAAATTCTCTGTGCTGTGTGCATTCATATCACATGGTTGAAACTACCTTTGGATTGAGCAGTTTTGAATCCCACTTTTTGTATCATCTGCAATGGATATTTGGAGCCCTTTCTGGTCTGTGGTGGAAAAGGAACTATCCTCAAATAGAAACTACACAGAAGTACTCTGAGAAACTTCTTTGTGATGTGGGCATTCATCTCACAGAGTTGAACCTTTGGTTTGATTGAGCAGTTTTGAGACAATCTTTCCATAGAATCTGGAAGTGAATATTTGGAGAACTTTGAGATCCATTTTGGAGAAGGAGATATCTTTATATAAAAACTACACAGAAGCATTCTGAGAAACATCCTTGTGAGGTGTGCACTGAAGTCACAGAGTTGAAACTGTCTTTTGATTCAGCAGTTTTGAATCTCTCTTTTTGCAGAGTCTGTGAGTGGATATTTGGAGCGCTTTGAGGCCTACTGTGGAAAACCAAATATCTTCACATAAAAACTACACAGAAGCATCCTGAGAAACTTTTTTTGTGATGTGGTCTTTCAGCTAATGGAGTAGAAACTATCTTTTGATTGAGCAGTTTTGAATCTCTCTTTTTGCAGAATCTACGAGTGGATAATTGGAGAACTTTGAGGCGTACTGTGGAAAATCGAATATCTTCGCATAAAAACTACACAGAAGCATTCTGAGAAACTTCTCTGTCATACGTACATTCATCTCACAGGGTTGATCCTATTTCATGATTGAGCAGTTTTGGAACACTCTTTTTGTAGAATCTGCAAGTGAATATTTGGAGCTCTTTGGGGCCTACTGTGGAAAAACAAATATCTTCACATAAAAACTACACAGAAGCATTCTGAGAAACTACTTTGTGATGTGTGCATTCATCCCACAGAGTAGAACCTTTCTTTTGATTGAGCAGTTTCGAAACACTCTTTTGGTGGAATCTGCAAGTGGACATTTGGAAAGCTTTGAGGCCTATTGTGGAAAGGGAAATATCTTCAAATAAAAACCACCCAGAAGTACTCTGTGAAACTTCTTTGCGATGTATGCATTCAACTCACAGTGTTGAACCTATGTTTTGATTGAGCAGTTTGGAATCTCTCTTTCTGTAGAATCTGCAAGTGAATATTTGGAGCCCTATTTCGCCCTATACTGGAAAGGCAATTATCTTCAAATAAAAACTGCACAGAAGCATTCAGAGAAACTTCTTTGAGATGAATGCATTCATGACACAGAGTTGAAACTTTGTTTTGATTTAGGAGTTTTGAGACAATCTTTCCGTAGAATCTTGAAGTGAATATTTGGAGGGCTTGGAGTTCTGTTTTAGAGAAGAAGATATCTTCATCAAAAACTACACAGAAGCTTTCTGAGAAACTTCTTTGTGATGTGTGCATTCAACTATCGGAGTTGAACCTATCTTATGATTGAGCAGTTTGGAAACACTCTTTGTAGAGTCTGCAAGTGGATATTTACAGAGATTTGAGGCCTATTGTGGAAAAGGAAGTATCTTCACATAAAAACCACACAGAAGCACTCTGAAAAACATCTTTGGGATGTGTGCATTCAACTAACCGTGTTGAAACAATGTTTTGATTGAGCAGCTTAGAATCTCTCTTTTTGTAGGAAATGCAAGTGGATATTTGGAGCCCCATTTCGCCCTATGGTGGAAAACGAAACATACTCACAAAAAAGCTGCAGAGAAGCATTCTGAGAAACTTCTTTGCGATGTTGGCATTCAACTCACAGAGTCGAATCTATCTTTTGATAGAGCAGTTTTGTATCTCTCTTTTTGCAGAATCTGCAAGTGGATATTTGGAAAGCTTTGAGGCCTATTGTGGAAAGGGAAATATCCTCAAATAAAAACTACCCAGAAGCACTCTGTGAAACTTCTTTGTGATGTGTGCATTCAACTCACAGTGTTGAACCTATGTTTTGATTGAGCAGTTTGGAATCTCTCCTTTTGTAGAATCTGCAAGTGAATATTTGGAGCCCTATTTCGCCCTATACTGGAAAAGCAAATATCTTCAAATAAAAACTACACAGAGGCATTCAGAGAAACTTCTCTGTGATGAGTGCATTCATCACACAGAGTTGAACATTTGTTTAGATTTAGCAGTGTTGAGACAATCTTTCCGTAGAATCTTGAAGTGAATATTTGGAGGGCTTTGAGACCTGCTTTGGAGAAGGAGATATCTTCATATAAAAACTACACAGAAGCTTTCTGAGAAACACCCTTGTGAGGTGTGCTTTGAAGTCACAGAGTTAAACCTATCTTTTGATTCAGCAGATTTGAATCTCTCTTTTTGCAGAATCTGCGAGTGGATATTTGGAGTGCTTGGAAGCCTGCTGTGGAAAATCAAATATCTTCACAAAAAAAACTACACAGAAGCATTCTGAGAAACTTCTTTGTGATGTGTGCATTGATCTCACAGAGTTGAAAGTTTATTTTGATTGAGCTGTTTTGAAACACTCTTTTTCTAGAATCTGCAAGTGGATAATTGGGGAGATTTGAGGCATATTGTGGAAAAGCCAATATCTTCATATAGAAACTATACAGAAACCTTCTGAGAAACATCTTTGTGATGTGTGCATTCAGCTCACAGAGCTGGACCTAACTTTTGAGTGACCAGTTTTGAATCTCTCTTTTTGTACAATATGCAAGTGGATATTTGGAGCGATTTGAGGCCTACATTTGAAAATCAAATATCTTCCTTTAAAAACTACACAGAAACATTCTCAGAAATTGTTTGTCATGTGTGCTTTCCAATTACCAAGTTGAACCTATCTTGTGATTGAGCAGTTTTGAATCTCTCTTTTTGTGGAATCGGCAAGTGGATATTTTTAGCCCTTTGCGGACTGTGGTGGAAAAGGAATTATCTTCAAATCAATTCTACACAGAAGCATTCAGACAAACTTCTTTGTGATGAGTGCATTGGTCACACAGAATTGAACCTTCCCTTTGATTGAGCAATTCTGAAACACTCTTTTGGAGGGTCTGCAAGTGGACATTTTAGAGCTTTGGGACAACTGTGGAAAAGTAAATATCTTCACATAAAAACTACACGGAAGCATTCTGAGAAACTTCTTTGGAGGTGTGCATTCAACTCACAGAGTTGAACCTATCTTTTCATTGAGCAGTTTTGAATCTCTCATTTTGTAGACTCTGCTCGCAGATATTTGGAGAGCTTTGAGGCCTATTGTGGAAAAGGAAATATCTTCACATAAAAACACACAGAAGCACTCTGAGAAACTTCTTTGTGAGGTGTGCTTTCAACTCACAGAGTTGAACCTATCTTTTGATTGAGAAGTTTTGAATCTCTCTTTTTGTAGAAGCTGCATGTGGATATTTGGAGACGTTTGTGGCCTATGGTAGAAAAGGAAATATCTTCAAATAAAAACTAGACAGACGCATTTTGAGAAAATTCTCTGTGCTGTGTGCATTCATATCACATGGTTGAAACTACCTTTGGATTGAGCAGTTTTGAATCTCACTTTTTGTACCATCTGCAATGGATATTTGGAGCCCTTTCTGGTCTGTGGTGGAAAAGGAACTATCCTCAAATAGAAACTACACAGAAGTACTCTGAGAAACTTCTTTGTGATGTGGGCATTCATCTCACAGAGTTGAACCTTTGGTTTGATTGAGCAGTTTTGAGACAATCTTTCCATAGAATCTGGAAGTGAATATTTGGAGAACTTTGAGATCCATTTTGGAGAAGGAGATATCTTTATATAAAAACTACACAGAAGCATTCTGAGAAACATCCTTGTGAGGTGTGCACTGAAGTCACAGAGTTGAAACTGTCTTTTGATTCAGCAGTTTTGAATCTCTCTTTTTGCAGAATCTGTGAGTGGATATTTGGAGCGCTTTGAGGCCTACTGTGGAAAACCAAATATGTTCACATAAAAACTACACAGAAGCATCCTGAGAAACTTTTTTTGTGATGTGGTCTTTCAGCTAATGGAGTAGAAACTATCTTTTGATTGAGCAGTTTTGAATCTCTCTTTTTGCAGAATCTACGAGTGGATAATTGGAGAACTTTGAGGCGTACTGTGGAAAATCGAATATCTTCGCATAAAAACTACACAGAAGCATTCTGAGAAACTTCTCTGTCATACGTACATTCATCTCACAGGGTTGATCCTATTTCATGATTGAGCAGTTTTGGAACACTCTTTTTGTAGAATCTGCAAGTGAATATTTGGAGCTCTTTGGGGCCTACTGTGGAAAAACAAATATCTTCACATAAAAACTACACAGAAGCATTCTGAGAAACTACTTTGTGATGTGTGCATTCATCCCACAGAGTAGAACCTTTCTTTTGATTGAGCAGTTTCGAAACACTCTTTTGGTGGAATCTGCAAGTGGACATTTGGAAAGCTTTGAGGCCTATTGTGGAAAGGGAAATATCTTCAAATAAAAACCACCCAGAAGTACTCTGTGAAACTTCTTTGCGATGTATGCATTCAACTCACAGTGTTGAACCTATGTTTTGATTGAGCAGTTTGGAATCTCTCTTTCTGTAGAATCTGCAAGTGAATATTTGGAGCCCTATTTCGCCCTATACTGGAAAAGCAATTATCTTCAAATAAAAACTGCACAGAAGCACTCAGAGAAACTTCTTTGTGATGAATGCATTCATCACACAGAGTTGAACCTTTGTTTTGATTTAGCAGTTTGAGACAATCTTTCCGTAGAATCTTGAAGTGAATATTTGGAGGGCTTGGAGTTCTGTTTTAGAGAAGAAGATATCTTCATCAAAAACTACACAGAAGCTTTCCGAGAAACTTCTTTGTGATGTGTGCATTCAACTATCGGAGTTGAACCTATCTTATGATTGAGCAGTTTGGAAACACTCTTTGTAGAGTCTGCAAGTGGATATTTACAGAGATTTGAGGCCTATTGTGGAAAAGGAAGTATCTTCACATAAAAACCACACAGAAGCACTCTGAAAAACATCTTTGGGATGTGTGCATTCAACTAACCGTGTTGAAACAATGTTTTGATTGAGCAGCTTAGAATCTCTCTTTTTGTAGGAAATGCAAGTGGATATTTGGAGCCCCATTTCGCCCTATGGTGGAAAACGAAACATACTCACAAAAAAGCTGCAGAGAAGCATTCTGAGAAACTTCTTTGCGATGTTGGCATTCAACTCACCGAGTCGAATCTATCTTTTGATAGAGCAGTTTTGTATCTCTCTTTTTGCAGAATCTGCAAGTGGATATTTGGAAAGCTTTGAGGCCTATTGTGGAAAGGGAAATATCCTCAAATAAAAACTACCCAGAAGCACTCTGTGAAACTTCTTTGTGATGTGTGCATTCAACTCACAGTGTTGAACCTATGTTTTGATTGAGCAGTTTGGAATCTCTCCTTTTGTAGAATCTGCAAGTGAATATTTGGAGCCCTATTTCGCCCTATACTGGAAAAGCAAATATCTTCAAATAAAAACTACACAGAGGCATTCAGAGAAACTTCTCTGTGATGAGTGCATTCATCACACAGAGTTGAACATTTGTTTAGATTTAGCAGTGTTGAGACAATCTTTCCGTAGAATCTTGAAGTGAATATTTGGAGGGCTTTGAGACCTGCTTTGGAGAAGGAGATATCTTCATATAAAAACTACACAGAAGCTTTCTGAGAAACACCCTTGTGAGGTGTGCATTGAAGTCACAGAGTTAAACCTATCTTTTGATTCAGCAGATTTGAATCTCTCTTTTTGCAGAATCTGCGAGTGGATATTTGGAGTGCTTGGAAGCCTGCTGTGGAAAATCAAATATCTTCACAAAAAAAACTACACAGAAGCATTCTGAGAAACTTCTTTGTGATGTGTGCATTGATCTCACAGAGTTGAAAGTTTATTTTGATTGAGCTGTTTTGAAACACTCTTTTTCTAGAATCTGCAAGTGGATAATTGGGGGAGATTTGAGGCATATTGTGGAAAAGCAAATATCTTCATATAGAAACTATACAGAAACCTTCTGAGAAACATCTTTGTGATGTGTGCATTCAGCTCACAGAGCTGGACCTAACTTTTGAGTGACCAGTTTTGAATCTCTCTTTTTGTACAATATGCAAGTGGATATTTGGAGCGATTTGAGGCCTACATTTGAAAATCAAATATCTTCCCTTAAAAACTACACAGAAACATTCTCAGAAATTGTTTGTCATGTGTGCTTTCCAATTACCAAGTTGAACCTATCTTGTGATTGAGCAGTTTTGAATCTCTCTTTTTGTGGAATCGGCAAGTGGATATTTTTAGCCCTTTGCGGACTGTGGTGGAAAAGGAATTATCTTCAAATGAATTCTACACAGAAGCATTCAGACAAACTTCTTTGTGATGAGTGCATTGGTCACACAGAATTGAACCTTCCCTTTGATTGAGCAATTCTGAAACACTCTTTTGGAGGGTCTGCAAGTGGACATTTTAGAGCTTTGGGACAACTGTGGAAAAGTAAATATCTTCACATAAAAACTGCACGGAAGCATTCTGAGAAACTTCTTTGGAGGTGTGCATTCAACTCACAGAGTTGAACCTATCTTTTCATTGAGCAGTTTTGAATCTCTCATTTTGTAGACTCTGCTCGCAGATATTTGGAGAGCTTTGAGGCCTATTGTGGAAAAGGAAATATCTTCACATAAAAACACACAGAAGCACTCTGAGAAACTTCTTTGTGAGGTGTGCTTTCAACTCACAGAGTTGAACCTATCTTTTGATTGAGAAGTTTTGAATCTCTCTTTTTGTAGAAGCTGCATGTGGATATTTGGAGACGTTTGTGGCCTATAGTAGAAAAGGAAATATCTTCAAATAAAAACTAGACAGGCGCATTTTGAGAAAATTCTCTGTGCTGTGTGCATTCATATCACATGGTTGAAACTACCTTTGGATTGAGCAGTTTTGAATCTCACTTTTTGTACCATCTGCAATGGATATCTGGAGCCCTTTCTGGTCTGTGGTGGAAAAGGAACTATCCTCAAGTAGAAACTACACAGAAGTACTCTGAGAAACTTCTTTGTGATGTGTGCATTCATCTCACAGAGTTGAACCTTTGGTTTGATTGAGCAGTTTTGAGACAATCTTTCCATAGAATCTGGAAGTGAATATTTGGAGAACTTTGAGATCCATTTTGGAGAAGGAGATATCTTTATATAAAAACTACACAGAAGCATTCTGAGAAACATCCTTGTGAGGTGTGCACTGAAGTCACAGAGTTGAAACTGTCTTTTGATTCAGCAGTTTTGAATCTCTCTTTTTGCAGAATCTGTGAGTGGATATTTGGAGCGCTTTGAGGCCTACTGTGGAAAACCAAATATCTTCACATAAAAACTACACAGAAGCATCCTGAGAAACTTTTTTTGTGATGTGGTCTTTCAGCTAATGGAGTAGAAACTATCTTTTGATTGAGCAGTTTTGAATCTCTCTTTTTGCAGGATCTACGAGTGGATAATTGGAGAACTTTGAGGCGTACTGTGGAAAATCGAATATCTTCGCATAAAAACTACACAGAAGCATTCTGAGAAACTTCTCTGTCATACGTACATTCGTCTCACAGGGTTGATCCTATTTCATGATTGAGCAGTTTTGGAACACTCTTTTTGTAGAATCTGCAAGTGAATATTTGGAGCTCTTTGGGGCCTACTGTGGAAAAACAAATATCTTCACATAAAAACTACACAGAAGCATTCTGAGAAACTACTTTGTGATGTGTGCATTCATCCCACAGAGTAGAACCTTTCTTTTGATTGAGCAGTTTCGAAACACTCTTTTGGTGGAATCTGCAAGTGGACATTTGGAAAGCTTTGAGGCCTATTGTGGAAAGGGAAATATCTTCAAATAAAAACCACCCAGAAGTACTCTGTGAAACTTCTTTGCGATGTATGCATTCAACTCACAGTGTTGAACCTATGTTTTGATTGAGCAGTTTGGAATCTCTCTTTCTGTAGAATCTGCAAGTGAATATTTGGAGCCCTATTTCGCCCTATACTGGAAAAGCAATTATCTTCAAATAAAAACTGCACAGAAGCACTCAGAGAAACTTCTTTGTGATGAATGCATTCATCACACAGAGTTGAACCTTTGTTTTGATTTAGCAGTTTGAGACAATCTTTCCGTAGAATCTTGAAGTGAATATTTGGAGGGCTTGGAGTTCTGTTTTAGAGAAGGAGATATCTTCATCAAAAACTACACAGAAGCTTTCTGAGAAACTTCTTTGTGATGTGTGCATTCAACTATCGGAGTTGAACCTATCTTATGATTGAGGAGTTTGGAAACACTCTTTGTAGAGTCTGCAAGTGGATATTTACAGAGATTTGAGGCCTATTGTGGAAAAGGAAGTATCTTCACATAAAAACCACAGAGAAGCACTCTGAAAAACATCTTTGGGATGTGTGCATTCAACTAACCGTGTTGAAACAATGTTTTGATTGAGCAGCTTAGAATCTCTCTTTTTGTAGGAAATGCAAGTGGATATTTGGAGCCCCATTTCGCCCTATGGTGGAAAACGAAACATACTCACAAAAAAGCTGCAGAGAAGCATTCTGAGAAACTTCTTTGCGATGTTGGCATTCAACTCACAGAGTCGAATCTATCTTTTGATAGAGCAGTTTTGTATCTCTCTTTTTGCAGAATCTGCAAGTGGATATTTGGAAAGCTTTGAGGCCTATTGTGGAAAGGGAAATATCCTCAAATAAAAACTACCCAGAAGCACTCTGTGAAACTTCTTTGTGATGTGTGCATTCAACTCACAGTGTTGAACCTATGTTTTGATTGAGCAGTTTGGAATCTCTCCTTTTGTAGAATCTGCAAGTGAATATTTGGAGCCCTATTTCGCCCTATACTGGAAAAGCAAATATCTTCAAATAAAAACTACACAGAGGCATTCAGAGAAACTTCTCTGTGATGAGTGCATTCATCACACAGAAGTTGAACATTTGTTTAGATTTAGCAGTGTTGAGACAATCTTTCCGTAGAATCTTGAAGTGAATATTTGGAGGGCTTTGAGACCTGCTTTGGAGAAGGAGATATCTTCATATAAAAACTACACAGAAGCTTTCTGAGAAACACCCTTGTGAGGTGTGCATTGAAGTCACAGAGTTAAACCTATCTTTTGATTCAGCAGATTTGAATCTCTCTTTTTGCAGAATCTGCGAGTGGATATTTGGAGTGCTTGGAAGCCTGCTGTGGAAAATCAAATATCTTCACAAAAAAAACTACACAGAAGCATTCTGAGAAACTTCTTTGTGATGTGTGCATTGATCTCACAGAGTTGAAAGTTTATTTTGATTGAGCTGTTTTGAAACACTCTTTTTCTAGAATCTGCAAGTGGATAATTGGGGAGATTTGAGGCATATTGTGGAAAAGCCAATATCTTCATATAAAAACTATACAGAAACCTTCTGAGAAACATCTTTGTGATGTGTGCATTCAGCTCACAGAGCTGGACCTAACTTTTGAGTGACCAGTTTTGAATCTCTCTTTTTGTACAATATGCAAGTGGATATTTGGAGCGATTTGAGGCCTACATTTGAAAATCAAATATCTTCCCTTAAAAACTACACAGAAACATTCTCAGAAATTGTTTGTCATGTGTGCTTTCCAATTACCAAGTTGAACCTATCTTGTGATTGAGCAGTTTTGAATCTCTCTTTTTGTGGAATCGGCAAGTGGATATTTTTAGCCCTTTGCGGACTGTGGTGGAAAAGGAATTATCTTCAAATCAATTCTACACAGAAGCATTCAGACAAACTTCTTTGTGATGAGTGCATTGGTCACACAGAATTGAACCTTCCCTTTGATTGAGCAATTCTGAAACACTCTTTTGGAGGGTCTGCAAGTGGACATTTTAGAGCTTTGGGACAACTGTGGAAAAGTAAATATCTTCACATAAAAACTACACGGAAGCATTCTGAGAAACTTCTTTGGAGGTGTGCATTCAACTCACAGAGTTGAACCTATCTTTTCATTGAGCAGTTTTGAATCTCTCATTTTGTAGACTCTGCTCGCAGATATTTGGAGAGCTTTGAGGCCTATTGTGGAAAAGGAAATATCTTCACATAAAAACACACAGAAGCACTCTGAGAAACTTCTCTGTGAGGTGTGCTTTCAACTCACAGAGTTGAACCTATCTTTTGATTGAGAAGTTTTGAATCTCTCTTTTTGTAGAAGCTGCATGTGGATATTTGGAGACGTTTGTGGCCTATGGTAGAAAAGGAAATATCTTCAAATAAAAACTAGACAGACGCATTTTGAGAAAATTCTCTGTGCTGTGTGCATTCATATCACATGGTTGAAACTACCTTTGGATTGAGCAGTTTTGAATCTCACTTTTTGTACCATCTGCAATGGATATTTGGAGCCCTTTCTGGTCTGTGGTGGAAAAGGAACTATCCTCAAATAGAAACTACACAGAAGTACTCTGAGAAACTTCTTTGTGATGTGGGCATTCATCTCACAGAGTTGAACCTTTGGTTTGATTGAGCAGTTTTGAGACAATCTTTCCATAGAATCTGGAAGTGAATATTTGGAGAACTTTGAGATCCATTTTGGAGAAGGAGATACCTTTATATGAAAACTACACAGAAGCATTCTGAGAAACATCCTTGTGAGGTGTGCACTGAAGTCACAGAGTTGAAACTGTCTTTTGATTCAGCAGTTTTGAATCTCTCTTTTTGCAGAATCTGTGAGTGGATATTTGGAGCGCTTTGAGGCCTACTGTGGAAAACCAAATATCTTCACATAAAAACTACACAGAAGCATCCTGAGAAACTTTTTTTGTGATGTGGTCTTTCAGCTAATGGAGTAGAAACTATCTTTTGATTGAGCAGTTTTGAATCTCTCTTTTTGCAGAATCTACGAGTGGATAATTGGAGAACTTTGAGGCGTACTGTGGAAAGTCGAATATCTTCGCATAAAAACTACACAGAAGCATTCTGAGAAACTTCTCTGTCATACGTACATTCATCTCACAGGGTTGATCCTATTTCATGATTGAGCAGTTTTGGAACACTCTTTTTGTAGAATCTGCAAGTGAATATTTGGAGCTCCTTGGGGCCTACTGTGGAAAAACAAATATCTTCACATAAAAACTACACAGAAGCATTCTGAGAAACTACTTTGTGATGTGTGCATTCATCCCACAGAGTAGAACCTTTCTTTTGATTGAGCAGTTTCGAAACACTCTTTTGGTGGAATCTGCAAGTGGACATTTGGAAAGCTTTGAGGCCTATTGTGGAAAGGGAAATATCTTCAAATAAAAACCACCCAGAAGTACTCTGTGAAACTTCTTTGCGATGTATGCATTCAACTCACAGTGTTGAACCTATGTTTTGATTGAGCAGTTTGGAATCTCTCTTTCTGTAGAATCTGCAAGTGAATATTTGGAGCCCTATTTCGCCCTATACTGGAAAAGCAATTATCTTCAAATAAAAACTGCACAGAAGCATTCAGAGAAACTTCTTTGAGATGAATGCATTCATGACACAGAGTTGAAACTTTGTTTTGATTTAGGAGATTTGAGACAATCTTTCCGTAGAATCTTGAAGTGAATATTTGGAGGGCTTGGAGTTCTGTTTTAGAGAAGAAGATATCTTCATCAAAAACTACACAGAAGCTTTCTGAGAAACTTCTTTGTGATGTGTGCATTCAACTATCGGAGTTGAACCTATCTTATGATTGAGGAGTTTGGAAACACTCTTTGTAGAGTCTGCAAGTGGATATTTACAGAGATTTGAGGCCTATTGTGGAAAAGGAAGTATCTTCACATAAAAACCACACAGAAGCACTCTGAAAAACATCTTTGGGATGTGTGCATTCAACTAACCGTGTTGAAACAATGTTTTGATTGAGCAGCTTAGAATCTCTCTTTTTGTAGGAAATGCAAGTGGATATTTGGAGCCCCATTTCGCCCTATGGTGGAAAACGAAACATACTCACAAAAAAGCTGCAGAGAAGCATTCTGAGAAACTTCTTTGCGATGTTGGCATTCAACTCACAGAGTCGAATCTATCTTTTGATAGAGCAGTTTTGTATCTCTCTTTTTGCAGAATCTGCAAGTGGATATTTGGAAAGCTTTGAGGCCTATTGTGGAAAGGGAAATATCCTCAAATAAAAACTACCCAGAAGCACTCTGTGAAACTTCTTTGTGATGTGTGCATTCAACTCACAGTGTTGAACCTATGTTTTGATTGAGCAGTTTGGAAACTCTCCTTTTGTAGAATCTGCAAGTGAATATTTGGAGCCCTATTTCGCCCTATACTGGAAAAGCAAATATCTTCAAATAAAAACTACACAGAGGCATTCAGAGAAACTTCTCTGTGATGAGTGCATTCATCACACAGAGTTGAACATTTGTTTAGATTTAGCAGTGTTGAGACAATCTTTCCGTAGAATCTTGAAGTGAATATTTGGAGGGCTTTGAGACCTGCTTTGGAGAAGGAGATATCTTCATATAAAAACTACACAGAAGCTTTCTGAGAAACACCCTTGTGAGGTGTGCATTGAAGTCACAGAGTTAAACCTATCTTTTGATTCAGCAGATTTGAATCTCTCTTTTTGCAGAATCTGCGAGTGGATATTTGGAGTGCTTGGAAGCCTGCTGTGGAAAATCAAATATCTTCACAAAAAAAACTACACAGAAGCATTCTGAGAAACTTCTTTGTGATGTGTGCATTGATCTCACAGAGTTGAAAGTTTATTTTGATTGAGCTGTTTTGAAACACTCTTTTTCTAGAATCTGCAAGTGGATAATTGGGGAGATTTGAGGCATATTGTGGAAAAGCAAATATCTTCATATAAAAACTATACAGAAACCTTCTGAGAAACATCTTTGTGATGTGTGCATTCAGCTCACAGAGCTGGACCTAACTTTTGAGTGACCAGTTTTGAATCTCTCTTTTTGTACAATATGCAAGTGGATATTTGGAGCGATTTGAGGCCTACATTTGAAAATCAAATATCTTCCCTTAAAAACTACACAGAAACATTCTCAGAAATTGTTTGTCATGTGTGCTTTCCAATTACCAAGTTGAACCTATCTTGTGATTGAGCAGTTTTGAATCTCTCTTTTTGTGGAATCGGCAAGTGGATATTTTTAGCCCTTTGCGGACTGTGGTGGAAAAGGAATTATCTTCAAATCAATTCTACACAGAAGCATTCAGACAAACTTCTTTGTGATGAGTGCATTGGTCACACAGAATTGAACCTTCCCTTTGATTGAGCAATTCTGAAACACTCTTTTGGAGGGTCTGCAAGTGGATATTTTAGAGCTTTGGGACAACTGTGGAAAAGTAAATATCTTCACATAAAAACTACACGGAAGCATTCTGAGAAACTTCTTTGGAGGTGTGCATTCAACTCACAGAGTTGAACCTATCTTTTCATTGAGCAGTTTTGAATCTCTCATTTTGTAGACTCTGCTCGCAGATATTTGGAGAGCTTTGAGGCCTATTGTGGAAAAGGAAATATCTTCACATAAAAACACACAGAAGCACTCTGAGAAATTTCTTTGTGAGGTGTGCTTTCAACTCACAGATTTGAACCTATCTTTTGATTGAGAAGTTTTGAATCTCTCTTTTTGTAGAAGCTGCATGTGGATATTTGGAAACGTTTGTGGCCTATGGTAGAAAAGGAAATATCTTCAAATAAAAACTAGACAGACGCATTTTGAGAAAATTCTCTGTGCTGTGTGCATTCATATCACATGGTTGAAACTACCTTTGGATTGAGCAGTTTTGAATCTCACTTTTTGTACCATCTGCAATGGATATTTGGAGCCCTTTCTGGTCTGTGGTGGAAAAGGAACTATCCTCAAATAGAAACTACACAGAAGTACTCTGAGAAACTTCTTTGTGATGTGGGCATTCATCTCACAGAGTTGAACCTTTGGTTTGATTGAGCAGTTTTGAGACAATCTTTCCATAGAATCTGGAAGTGAATATTTGGAGAACTTTGAGATCCATTTTGGAGAAGGAGATATCTTTATATGAAAACTACACAGAAGCATTCTGAGAAACATCCTTGTGAGGTGTGCACTGAAGTCACAGAGTTGAAACTGTCTTTTGATTCAGCAGTTTTGAATCTCTCTTTTTGCAGAATCTGTGAGTGGATATTTGGAGCGCTTTGAGGCCTACTGTGGAAAACCAAATATCTTCACATAAAAACTACACAGAAGCATCCTGAGAAACTTTTTTTGTGATGTGGTCTTTCAGCTAATGGAGTAGAAACTATCTTTTGATTGAGCAGTTTTGAATCTCTCTTTTTACAGAATCTACGAGTGGATAATTGGAGAACTTTGAGGCGTACTGTGGAAAATCGAATATCTTCGCATAAAAACTACACAGAAGCATTCTGAGAAACTTCTCTGTCATACGTACATTCATCTCACAGGGTTGATCCTATTTCATGATTGAGCAGTTTTGGAACACTCTTTTTGTAGAATCTGCAAGTGAATATTTGGAGCTCTTTGGGGCCTACTGTGGAAAAACAAATATCTTCACATAAAAACTACACAGAAGCATTCTGAGAAACTACTTTGTGATGTGTGCATTCATCCCACAGAGTAGAACCTTTCTTTTGATTGAGCAGTTTCGAAACACTCTTTTGGTGGAATCTGCAAGTGGACATTTGGAAAGCTTTGAGGCCTATTGTGGAAAGGGAAATATCTTCAAATAAAAACCACCCAGAAGTACTCTGTGAAACTTCTTTGCGATGTATGCATTCAACTCACAGTGTTGAACCTATGTTTTGATTGAGCAGTTTGGAATCTCTCTTTCTGTAGAATCTGCAAGTGAATATTTGGAGCCCTATTTCGCCCTATACTGGAAAAGCAATTATCTTCAAATAAAAACTGCACAGAAGCATTCAGAGAAACTTCTTTGAGATGAATGCATTCATGACACAGAGTTGAAACTTTGTTTTGATTTAGGAGATTTGAGACAATCTTTCCGTAGAATCTTGAAGTGAATATTTGGAGGGCTTGGAGTTCTGTTTTAGAGAAGAAGATATCTTCATCAAAAACTACACAGAAGCTTTCTGAGAAACTTCTTTGTGATGTGTGCATTCAACTATCGGAGTTGAACCTATCTTATGATTGAGGAGTTTGGAAACACTCTTTGTAGAGTCTGCAAGTGGATATTTACAGAGATTTGAGGCCTATTGTGGAAAAGGAAGTATCTTCACATAAAAACCACACAGAAGCACTCTGAAAAACATCTTTGGGATGTGTGCATTCAACTAACCGTGTTGAAACAATGTTTTGATTGAGCAGCTTAGAATCTCTCTTTTTGTAGGAAATGCAAGTGTATATTTGGAGCCCCATTTCGCCCTATGGTGGAAAACGAAACATACTCACAAAAAAGCTGCAGAGAAGCATTCTGAGAAACTTCTTTGCGATGTTGGCATTCAACTCACAGAGTCGAATCTATCTTTTGATAGAGCAGTTTTGTATCTCTCTTTTTGCAGAATCTGCAAGTGGATATTTGGAAAGCTTTGAGGCCTATTGTGGAAAGGGAAATATCCTCAAATAAAAACTACCCAGAAGCACTCTGTGAAACTTCTTTGTGATGTGTGCATTCAACTCACAGTGTTGAACCTATGTTTTGATTGAGCAGTTTGGAATCTCTCCTTTTGTAGAATCTGCAAGTGAATATTTGGAGCCCTATTTCGCCCTATACTGGAAAAGCAAATATCTTCAAATAAAAACTACACAGAGGCATTCAGAGAAACTTCTCTGAGATGAGTGCATTCATCACACAGAGTTGAACATTTGTTTAGATTTAGCAGTGTTGAGACAATCTTTCCGTAGAATCTTGAAGTGAATATTTGGAGGGCTTTGAGACCTGCTTTGGAGAAGGAGATATCTTCATATAAAAACTACACAGAAGCTTTCTGAGAAACACCCTTGTGAGGTGTGCATTGAAGTCACAGAGTTAAACCTATCTTTTGATTCAGCAGATTTGAATCTCTCTTTTTGCAGAATCTGCGAGTGGATATTTGGAGTGCTTGGAAGCCTGCTGTGGAAAATCAAATATCTTCACAAAAAAAACTACACAGAAGCATTCTGAGAAACTTCTTTGTGATGTGTGCATTGATCTCACAGAGTTGAAAGTTTATTTTGATTGAGTTGTTTTGAAACACTCTTTTTCTAGAATCTGCAAATGGATAATTGGGGAGATTTGAGGCATATTGTGGAAAAGCAAATATCTTCATATAAAAACTATACAGAAACCTTCTGAGAAACATCTTTGTGATGTGTGCATTCAGCTCACAGAGCTGGACCTAACTTTTGAGTGACCAGTTTTGAATCTCTCTTTTTGTACAATATGCAAGTGGATATTTGGAGCGATTTGAGGCCTACATTTGAAAATCAAATATCTTCCCTTAAAAACTACACAGAAACATTCTCAGAAATTGTTTGTCATGTGTGCTTTCCAATTACCAAGTTGAACCTATCTTGTGATTGAGCAGTTTTGAATCTCTCTTTTTGTGGAATCGGCAAGTGGATATTTTTAGCCCTTTGCGGACTGTGGTGGAAAAGGAATTATCTTCAAATCAATTCTACACAGAAGCATTCAGACAAACTTCTTTGTGATGAGTGCATTGGTCACACAGAATTGAACCTTCCCTTTGATTGAGCAATTCTGAAACACTCTTTTGGAGGGTCTGCAAGTGGATATTTTAGAGCTTTGGGACAACTGTGGAAAAGTAAATATCTTCACATAAAAACTACACGGAAGCATTCTGAGAAACTTCTTTGGAGGTGTGCATTCAACTCACAAGAGTTGAACCTATCTTTTCATTGAGCAGTTTTGAATCTCTCATTTTGTAGACTCTGCTCGCAGATATTTGGAGAGCTTTGAGGCCTATTGTGGAAAAGGAAATATCTTCACATAAAAACACACAGAAGCACTCTGAGAAATTTCTTTGTGAGGTGTGCTTTCAACTCACAGATTTGAACCTATCTTTTGATTGAGAAGTTTTGAATCTCTCTTTTTGTAGAAGCTGCATGTGGATATTTGGAAACGTTTGTGGCCTATGGTAGAAAAGGAAATATCTTCAAATAAAAACTAGACAGACGCATTTTGAGAAAATTCTCTGTGCTGTGTGCATTCATATCACATGGTTGAAACTACCTTTGGATTGAGCAGTTTTGAATCTCACTTTTTGTACCATCTGCAATGGATATTTGGAGCCCTTTCTGGTCTGTGGTGGAAAAGGAACTATCCTCAAATAGAAACTACACAGAAGTACTCTGAGAAACTTCTTTGTGATGTGGGCATTCATCTCACAGAGTTGAACCTTTGGTTTGATTGAGCAGTTTTGAGACAATCTTTCCATAGAATCTGGAAGTGAATATTTGGAGAACTTTGAGATCCATTTTGGAGAAGGAGATATCTTTATATGAAAACTACACAGAAGCATTCTGAGAAACATCCTTGTGAGGTGTGCACTGAAGTCACAGAGTTGAAACTGTCTTTTGATTCAGCAGTTTTGAATCTCTCTTTTTGCAGAATCTGTGAGTGGATATTTGGAGCGCTTTGAGGCCTACTGTGGAAAACCAAATATCTTCACATAAAAACTACACAGAAGCATCCTGAGAAACTTTTTTTGTGATGTGGTCTTTCAGCTAATGGAGTAGAAACTATCTTTTGATTGAGCAGTTTTGAATCTCTCTTTTTGCAGAATCTACGAGTGGATAATTGGAGAACTTTGAGGCGTACTGTGGAAAATCGAATATCTTCGCATAAAAACTACACAGAAGCATTCTGAGAAACTTCTCTGTCATACGTACATTCATCTCACAGGGTTGATCCTATTTCATGATTGAGCAGTTTTGGAACACTCTTTTTGTAGAATCTGCAAGTGAATATTTGGAGCTCCTTGGGGCCTACTGTGGAAAAACAAATATCTTCACATAAAAACTACACAGAAGCATTCTGAGAAACTACTTTGTGATGTGTGCATTCATCCCACAGAGTAGAACCTTTCTTTTGATTGAGCAGTTTCGAAACACTCTTTTGGTGGAATCTGCAAGTGGACATTTGGAAAGCTTTGAGGTCTATTGTGGAAAGGGAAATATCTTCAAATAAAAACCACCCAGAAGTACTCTGTGAAACTTCTTTGCGATGTACGCATTCAACTCACAGTGTTGAACCTATGTTTTGATTGAGCAGTTTGGAATCTCTCTTTCTGTAGAATCTGCAAGTGAATATTTGGAGCCCTATTTCGCCCTATACTGGAAAAGCAATTATCTTCAAATAAAAACTGCACAGAAGCACTCAGAGAAACTTCTTTGAGATGAATGCATTCATGACACAGAGTTGAAACTTTGTTTTGATTTAGGAGTTTTGAGACAATCTTTCCGTAGAATCTTGAAGTGAATATTTGGAGGGCTTGGAGTTCTGTTTTAGAGAAGAAGATATCTTCATCAAAAACTACACAGAAGCTTTCTGAGAAACTTCTTTGTGATGTGTGCATTCAACTATCGGAGTTGAACCTATCTTATGATTGAGCAGTTTGGAAACACTCTTTGTAGAGTCTGCAAGTGGATATTTACAGAGATTTGAGGCCTATTGTGGAAAAGGAAGTATCTTCACATAAAAACCACACAGAAGCACTCTGAGAAACATCTTTGGGATGTGTGCATTCAACTAACCGTGTTGAAACAATGTTTTGATTGAGCAGCTTAGAATCTCTCTTTTTGTAGGAAATGCAAGTGGATATTTGGAGCCCCATTTCGCCCTATGGTGGAAAACGAAACATACTCACAAAAAAGCTGCAGAGAAGCATTCTGAGAAACTTCTTTGCGATGTTGGCATTCAACTCACAGAGTCGAATCTATCTTTTGATAGAGCAGTTTTGTATCTCTCTTTTTGCAGAATCTGCAAGTGGATATTTGGAAAGCTTTGAGGCCTATTGTGGAAAGGGAAATATCCTCAAATAAAAACTACCCAGAAGCACTCTGTGAAACTTCTTTGTGATGTGTGCATTCAACTCACAGTGTTGAACCTATGTTTTGATTGAGCAGTTTGGAATCTCTCCTTTTGTAGAATCTGCAAGTGAATATTTGGAGCCCTATTTCGCCCTATACTGGAAAAGCAAATATCTTCAAATAAAAACTACACAGAGGCATTCAGAGAAACTTCTCTGTGATGAGTGCATTCATCACACAGAGTTGAACATTTGTTTAGATTTAGCAGTGTTGAGACAATCTTTCCGTAGAATCTTGAAGTGAATA
The DNA here is from genome assembly GCF_000001405.40 of Homo sapiens. Taxonomy (NCBI): domain Eukaryota; kingdom Metazoa; phylum Chordata; class Mammalia; order Primates; family Hominidae; genus Homo; species Homo sapiens. Next base: position 18,045,410 of record NC_000015.10, read on the forward strand.
TTTGGAGGGCTTTGAGACCTGCTTTGGAGAAGGAGATATCTTCATATAAAAACTACACAGAAGCTTTCTGAGAAACACCCTTGTGAGGTGTGCATTGAAGTCACAGAGTTAAACCTATCTTTTGATTCAGCAGATTTGAATCTCTCTTTTTGCAGAATCTGCGAGTGGATATTTGGAGTGCTTGGAAGCCTGCTGTGGAAAATCAAATATCTTCACAAAAAAAACTACACAGAAGCATTCTGAGAAACTTCTTTGTGATGTGTGCATTGATCTCACAGAGTTGAAAGTTTATTTTGATTGAGCTGTTTTGAAACACTCTTTTTCTAGAATCTGCAAGTGGATAATTGGGGAGATTTGAGGCATATTGTGGAAAAGCCAATATCTTCATATAGAAACTATACAGAAACCTTCTGAGAAACATCTTTGTGATGTGTGCATTCAGCTCACAGAGCTGGACCTAACTTTTGAGTGACCAGTTTTGAATCTCTCTTTTTGTACAATATGCAAGTGGATATTTGGAGCGATTTGAGGCCTACATTTGAAAATCAAATATCTTCCCTTAAAAACTACACAGAAACATTCTCAGAAATTGTTTGTCATGTGTGCTTTCCAATTACCAAGTTGAACCTATCTTGTGATTGAGCAGTTTTGAATCTCTCTTTTTGTGGAATCGGCAAGTGGATATTTTTAGCCCTTTGCGGACTGTGGTGGAAAAGGAATTATCTTCAAATCAATTCTACACAGAAGCATTCAGACAAACTTCTTTGTGATGAGTGCATTGGTCACACAGAATTGAACCTTCCCTTTGATTGAGCAATTCTGAAACACTCTTTTGGAGGGTCTGCAAGTGGATATTTTAGAGCTTTGGGACAACTGTGGAAAAGTAAATATCTTCACATAAAAACTACACGGAAGCATTCTGAGAAACTTCTTTGGAGGTGTGCATTCAACTCACAGAGTTGAACCTATCTTTTCATTGAGCAGTTTTGAATCTCTCATTTTGTAGACTCTGCTCGCAGATATTTGGAGAGCTTTGAGGCCTATTGTGGAAAAGGAAATATCTTCACATAAAAACACACAGAAGCACTCTGAGAAACTTCTTTGTGAGGTGTGCTTTCAACTCACAGAGTTGAACCTATCTTTTGATTGAGAAGTTTTGAATCTCTCTTTTTGTAGAAGCTGCATGTAGATATTTGGAGACGTTTGTGGCCTATGGTAGAAAAGGAAATATCTTCAAATAAAAACTAGACAGACGCATTTTGAGAAAATTCTCTGTGCTGTGTGCATTCATATCACATGGTTGAAACTACCTTTTTATTGAGCCGTTTTGAATCTCTCTTTTTGTACCATCTGCAATGGATATTTGGAGCCCATTTTGGTCTGTGGTGGAAAAGGAACTATCCTCAAATAGAAACTACACAAATGTATTGTGGGAAACTTCTTTGTGATGTGTGCATTCATCTCGCAGTGTTGAACTTTTGGTTTGATTGAGCAGTTTTGAGACAATCTTTCCATAGCATCTGGAAGTGAATATTTGGGGAACTTTGAGATCCATTTTGGAGAAGGAGATATCCTTATATAAAAACTACACAGAAGCATTCTGAGAAACATCTTTGTGAGGTATGCACTGAAGTCACAGAGTTGAAACTGTCTTTTGATTCAGCAGTTTTGAATTTCTCTTTTCGCATAATCTGTGAGTGGATATGTGGAGCGCTTTGAGGCCTACTGTGGAAAACCTAATATCTTCACTTAAAAACTACGCAGAAGCATCCTGAGAAACTTTTTTTGTGATGTGGTCTTTCAACTAATGGAGTTGAACCTATCTTTTGATTGAGCAGTTTTGAATCTCTCTTTTTGCAGAATCTACAAGTGGATAATTGGAGAACTTTGAGGCGTCCTGTGCAAAATCGAATATCTTCGCATAAAAGCTACACAGAAGCATTCTGAGAAACTTCTCTGTCATGCGTACATTCATCTCACAGGGTTGATCCTATTTTATGATTGAGCAGTTTTGAGACACTCTTTTTGTAGAATCTGCAAGTGAATATTTGGGGCTCATTGGGGCCTACTGTGGAAAAATAAATATCTTCACATAAAAACTACACTGAAGCATTCTGAGAAACTAGTTTGTGATGTTTGCATTCATCCCACAGAGTAGAATATTTCTTTTGATTGAGCAGTTTGGAATCTCTCTTTTTGTAGGATCTGCAAGTGAATATTTGGAGCCCTATTTCGCCCTATACTGGAAAAGCAATTATCTTCAAATAAAAACTGCACAGAAGCATTCAGAGAAACTTCTTTGTGATGAATGCATTCATCCCACAGAGTTGAACCTTTGTTTTGATTTAGCAGTTTTGAGACAATCTTTCTGTAGAATCTTGAAGTGAATATTTGGACGGCTTGGAGTTCTGTTTTAGAGAAGAAGATATCTTCATCAAAAACTACACAGAAGCTTTCTGAGAAACTTCTTTGTGATGTGTGCATTCAACTATCTGTGTTGAACCTATCTTATGATTGAGCAGTTTGGAAACAGGCTTTGTAGAGTCTGCAAGTGGATATTTACAGAGATTTGAGACCTATTGTGGAAAAGGAAATATCTTCACTTAAAAACTAAACAGAACATTTCTGAGAAACTTCTGTGGGAAGTGTGCATTCAACTAACAGTGTTGAAACTATCTTTTGATTGAGCAGCTTAGAATCTCTCTTTTTGTAGAAAATGCAAGTGGATATTTGGAGCCCCATTTCGCCCTATTGTGGGAAACGAAACATATTCACAAAAGAGCTACACAGAAGCATTCTGAGAAACTTCTTTCCGACGTTTGCATTCAACTCACAGAGTCGAATCTATCTTTTGATAGAGCAGTTTTGTATCTCTCTTTTTGCAGAATCTGCAAGTGGATATTTGGAAAGCTTTGAGGCCTATTGTGGAAAGGGAAATATCCTCAAATAAAAACTACCCAGAAGCACTCTGTGAAACTTCTTTGCGATGTGTGCATTCAACTCACAGTGCTGAACCTATGTTTTGATTGAGCAGTTTGGAATCTCTCTTTTTGTAGAATCTGCAAGTGAATATTTGGAGCCCTATTTCGCCCTATACTGGAAAGGCAAATATCGTCAAATAAAAACTACACAGAGGCATTCAGAGAAACTTCTCTGTGATGAGTGCATTCATCACACAGAAGTTGAACATTTGTTTAGATTTAGCAGTGTTGAGACAATCTTTCCGTAGAATCTTGAAGTGAATATTTGGAGGGCTTTGAGACCTGCTTTGGAGAAGGAGATATCTTCATATAAAAACTACACAGAAGCTTTCTGAGAAACACCCTTGTGAGGTGTGCATTGAAGTCACAGAGTTAAACCTATCTTTTGATTCAGCAGATTTGAATCTCTCTTTTTGCAGAATCTGCGAGTGGATATTTGGAGTGCTTGGAAGCCTGCTGTGGAAAATCAAATATCTTCACAAAAAAAACTACACAGAAGCATTCTGAGAAACTTCTTTGTGATGTGTGCATTGATCTCACAGAGTTGAAAGTTTATTTTGATTGAGCTGTTTTGAAACACTCTTTTTCTAGAATCTGCAAGTGGATAATTGGGGAGATTTGAGGCATATTGTGGAAAAGCAAATATCTTCATATAGAAACTATACAGAAACCTTCTGAGAAACATCTTTGTGATGTGTGCATTCAGCTCACAGAGCTGGACCTAACTTTTGAGTGACCAGTTTTGAATCTCTCTTTTTGTACAATATGCAAGTGGATATTTGGAGCGATTTGAGGCCTACATTTGAAAATCAAATATCTTCCCTTAAAAACTACACAGAAACATTCTCAGAAATTGTTTGTCATGTGTGCTTTCCAATTACCAAGTTGAACCTATCTTGTGATTGAGCAGTTTTGAATCTCTCTTTTTGTGGAATCGGCAAGTGGATATTTTTAGCCCTTTGCGGACTGTGGTGGAAAAGGAATTATCTTCAAATCAATTCTACACAGAAGCATTCAGACAAACTTCTTTGTGATGAGTGCATTGGTCACACAGAATTGAACCTTCCCTTTGATTGAGCAATTCTGAAACACTCTTTTGGAGGGTCTGCAAGTGGACATTTTAGAGCTTTGGGACAACTGTGGAAAAGTAAATATCTTCACATAAAAACTGCACGGAAGCATTCTGAGAAACTTCTTTGGAGGTGTGCATTCAACTCACAGAGTTGAACCTATCTTTTCATTGAGCAGTTTTGAATCTCTCATTTTGTAGACTCTGCTCGCAGATATTTGGAGAGCTTTGAGGCCTATTGTGGAAAAGGAAATATCTTCACATAAAAACACACAGAAGCACTCTGAGAAACTTCTTTGTGAGGTGTGCTTTCAACTCACAGAGTTGAACCTATCTTTTGATTGAGAAGTTTTGAATCTCTCTTTTTGTAGAAGCTGCATGTGGATATTTGGAGACGTTTGTGGCCTATGGTAGAAAAGGAAATATCTTCAAATAAAAACTAGACAGACGCATTTTGAGAAAATTCTCTGTGCTGTGTGCATTCATATCACATGGTTGAAACTACCTTTGGATTGAGCAGTTTTGAATCTCACTTTTTGTACCATCTGCAATGGATATTTGGAGCCCTTTCTGGTCTGTGGTGGAAAAGGAACTATCCTCAAATAGAAACTACACAGAAGTACTCTGAGAAACTTCTTTGTGATGTGGGCATTCATCTCACAGAGTTGAACCTTTGGTTTGATTGAGCAGTTTTGAGACAATCTTTCCATAGAATCTGGAAGTGAATATTTGGAGAACTTTGAGATCCATTTTGGAGAAGGAGATACCTTTATATGAAAACTACACAGAAGCATTCTGAGAAACATCCTTGTGAGGTGTGCACTGAAGTCACAGAGTTGAAACTGTCTTTTGATTCAGCAGTTTTGAATCTCTCTTTTTGCAGAATCTGTGAGTGGATATTTGGAGCGCTTTGAGGCCTACTGTGGAAAACCAAATATCTTCACATAAAAACTACACAGAAGCATCCTGAGAAACTTTTTTTGTGATGTGGTCTTTCAGCTAATGGAGTAGAAACTATCTTTTGATTGAGCAGTTTTGAATCTCTCTTTTTGCAGAATCTACGAGTGGATATTTGGAGAACTTTGAGGCGTACTGTGGAAAATCGAATATCTTCGCATAAAAACTACACAGAAGCATTCTGAGAAACTTCTCTGTCATACGTACATTCATCTCACAGGGTTGATCCTATTTCATGATTGAGCAGTTTTGGAACACTCTTTTTGTAGAATCTGCAAGTGAATATTTGGAGCTCCTTGGGGCCTACTGTGGAAAAACAAATATCTTCACATAAAAACTACACAGAAGCATTCTGAGAAACTACTTTGTGATGTGTGCATTCATCCCACAGAGTAGAACCTTTCTTTTGATTGAGCAGTTTCGAAACACTCTTTTGGTGGAATCTGCAAGTGGACATTTGGAACGCTTTGAGGCCTATTGTGGAAAGGGAAATATCTTCAAATAAAAACCACCCAGAAGTACTCTGTGAAACTTCTTTGCGATGTATGCATTCAACTCACAGTGTTGAACCTATGTTTTGATTGAGCAGTTTGGAATCTCTCTTTCTGTAGAATCTGCAAGTGAATATTTGGAGCCCTATTTCGCCCTATACTGGAAAAGCAATTATCTTCAAATAAAAACTGCACAGAAGCACTCAGAGAAACTTCTTTGTGATGAATGCATTCATCACACAGAGTTGAACCTTTGTTTTGATTTAGCAGTTTGAGACAATCTTTCCGTAGAATCTTGAAGTGAATATTTGGAGGGCTTGGAGTTCTGTTTTAGAGAAGAAGATATCTTCATCAAAAACTACACAGAAGCTTTCTGAGAAACTTCTTTGTGATGTGTGCATTCAACTATCGGAGTTGAACCTATCTTATGATTGAGCAGTTTGGAAACACTCTTTGTAGAGTCTGCAAGTGGATATTTACAGAGATTTGAGGCCTATTGTGGAAAAGGAAGTATCTTCACATAAAAACCACACAGAAGCACTCTGAAAAACATCTTTGGGATGTGTGCATTCAACTAACCGTGTTGAAACAATGTTTTGATTGAGCAGCTTAGAATCTCTCTTTTTGTAGGAAATGCAAGTGGATATTTGGAGCCCCATTTCGCCCTATGGTGGAAAACGAAACATACTCACAAAAAAGCTGCAGAGAAGCATTCTGAGAAACTTCTTTGCGATGTTGGCATTCAACTCACAGAGTTGAATCTATCTTTTGATAGAGCAGTTTTGTATCTCTCTTTTTGCAGAATCTGCAAGTGGATATTTGGAAAGCTTTGAGGCCTATTGTGGAAAGGGAAATATCCTCAAATAAAAACTACCCAGAAGCACTCTGTGAAACTTCTTTGTGATGTGTGCATTCAACTCACAGTGTTGAACCTATGTTTTGATTGAGCAGTTTGGAATCTCTCCTTTTGTAGAATCTGCAAGTGAATATTTGGAGCCCTATTTCGCCCTATACTGGAAAAGCAAATATCTTCAAATAAAAACTACACAGAGGCATTCAGAGAAACTTCTCTGTGATGAGTGCATTCATCACA